>NC_000001.11:44099289-44402319 GCF_000001405.40 Homo sapiens
GCTACCTGGAAGACTAAGGTGGGAGGATTACTTGAGCCCAAGAACTTGAGGTTGCAGTGAACTGTGATCATGCTGCTACACTCCTGCCTGCATGACAGAGCAAGACAGTCTTCTAAATAAATAAATAAATATTTTTAAAAAGAAAATATGCATATACCTACTCATTTGTGCAAGAATAACAAAATAGACAGGAAATAAATGAGACCTGGGCCAGGTGCAGTGGCTCACACCTGTAATCCCAGCACTTTGGGAGGCCAAGGCAGGTGAATCAGGAGTCAGGAGGCCAAGGCGGGTGAATCAGGATTCAGGAGGTCAGGAGTTCGAGACCAGCCTGGCCAACATGGTTAAACCCCATCTCTACTAAAAGTAGAAAAATTAGCTGGGTGTGGTGGTGCATGCCTGTAGTCCCAGCTACCTGGGAGGCTGAAGCAGGAGAATCACTTGAACCCAGGTGGCGGAGGTTGTGGTTGAGCCGAGATTGCACCACTGGACTCCAGCCTGGGCGACAGAGTGAGACTCTGTCTCAGAAAGAAAAAGAAGAAAGAAAGAAAGAAAGAAAGAAAGAAAGAAAGAAAGAAAGAAAGAAAGAAAGAAAGAAAGAAAGAAAGAAAGAAAGAAAGAAAGAAAGAAAAGAAAGGGAGGGAGGGAGGGAGACAAAGAGACTGGGCTGGGCACCGTTGCTCACGCCTGTAATCTCAGCACTTTGGGAGGCCAAGGTGGGTGGATCACTTGAGTCAGGAGTTCGAGACCAGCCTGGCCAACATGGTGAAACCCCGTCTCTACTAAAAATACACACACACACACACACACACACACACACACACACAAATTAGCTGGGCATGGTGGTGTGTGCCTGTAATCCCAGCTACTCAGGAGGCTGAGGCAGGGAACCTGGGAGGCAGAGATTGCAGTGAGCCGAGATCACGCCACTGAACTCTAGCCTGGGTAACAGAGTGAGACTCCATCTCAAAAAAAAAAAAAAAAGAGAGAGAGAGAAAGAAATGACACTGGTGACCCATACTGGGTCGGATGGGGTAGAAAGAATATGGGAATGGAAGTGAGGTACAGAGGATGGGAAACAGGAGAGAAGCTTTGCTGAGTGGACTTTTTTGTACAGTTGAGTTTTAGAACCATGCTAATTTATATATTTTATAAATTGAAACAAAAACAAGTAAAAATCTAAGAATGAGGGGGGGAACCTATGATGTAATATAAAGAAACAAATGAAACAAAATGTATTTCAAATGAATAACATAACCGCACTGGAGGAAAAAATAAAAGAACTAATTCGAGTAACTTTTATAGGTGTGAGCCACCGCACTTGGCTGTTTTGTTTTTGTTTTTGTTTTTGTTTTGTTTTGTTTTGTTTTGTTCTTGTTTTTTTGAGACAGAGTCTCACTCTGTCACCTAGGCCGGAGTGCAGTGGCGCAATCTCCACTCACTGCAACCTCTGCCTCCTGGGTCCAAGCAATTCTTGTGTCTCAGCCTCCAAGTAGCTGGGATTACAGGTGTGAGCCACCACCGCCCAGCCCATTCTATGACTTTAGACAAAAGTATAATGACATGTATCCACCATTGTAGTATACAGAAGTTTTACTGCCCTAAAAACCCTCACATTTTTAGGTTGATATCTAACATTTTCATTGTAAATTGAATAGTTGCAAAGAATATAATTTCTGGAGTACTATAAACATTGACATTTAAAAACACAACTACTACAACACTCTAATACCATCTAAATACTAGGACTCTAAGTACCTTCAGAATTTTTTTAACTTTTTATTTTGAAATAATTTCAGATTTACAGAAAGTTTCCAAGAATACTACAAAGAATTCCCATGTACCCTCACTCAGATTCCTCAGATGTTAACCTTTTACCACATTTGCTCTATCTACCTACCTACCTATATCTTTATCTCAAAATACAGTGTAGATTTCCTAAAAACAAGGCCATTCTGTTACAGAACCACAATATAAACCTCATAATCAGGAAACTAATGCTGATATTTATACTAAATGGTCTTATTCAAATTTTTCCAATTGTCCTAATAACATTCATTATAGGCAAAGAAAATCTTGGACCATGAGTTACCTTCAGTTGTTATGTGTCACGTCTTCTTTATGACTGAAACAGTTCCCTCCGTCTTTCCTTATCTTTTATGACCTCGACATTTTGAAGAGTACAGTCAGGTTACTTTGTGGAATGTCCTTTAATTTGGGTTCGTTTGATGTTTCCTCATGATTAATTCGAGTTATGCATTTTTTGGCAGGAATACCAGATAAATGACGTTGTGCCCTTCTCAATGATCACGTCAGGAGACACATGGTATCTATTTGTCTTTTTACTGGTGATGTTAACTTTGGTCACAAATTTCTCCACTATAAAGTTACTATTTTTCTTGATATTTTAAGAAAATTGAATCATATAAAATGCTCAGTTAAAACCACAAAATGCAGCCAGGCATGGTGGCTCATGCCTGTAATCCCAGCACTTTGGGAGGCCGAGGCAGACAGATCACTTGAGCCCAGGAGTTTGAGACCAGCCTAGGCAATGTAGTGAAACCGTGTTTCTCAAAAACAAAACAAAACAAACAAACAAACAAAACCCACAAAAATTAGCCAGGCATGGTGGCATGCACATGTAGTCCCAGCTGCTCAGGTGGCTGAGGTGGGAGGATCACCTGGACCCATGAGGTCGGGGCTGCAGTGAGCAGCCTCTATTGCCAACCTGGGCAATAGATTGAGACCCTGTCTCAAAAACAAACAAACAAACAAAAGAGTGGAAGTCAAAATGGGAACAAAGAGGAAGGGCAATGAATAGAAAACAAATATGGTAGATATTAATCCAACTATATCAATAATCACTTTAATTGTCAATGGTCTAAATATATTGATTAAAAGATTCTCAGAGTAGATCAAAAAACAAGACCCAACTATATATTCCTACAAAGAACCCACTTTAGGCCGGGCACGGTGACTCACACCCATAATCCCAGCACTTTGGGAGGCTGAGGTGGGCAGATCACTTAAGGCGGACAGATCACTTGCGGTCAGGAGTTCGAGACCAGCCTGGCCAACAACGGTGAAACCCTGTCTCTACTAAAAATACAAAAATTAACCAGGTGTGGTGGTGGGCACCTGTAATCCTAGCTGCTCAGGAGGCTGAGGCAGGAGAATCGCTTGAACCCAGGAGATGGAGGTTGCAGTGAGCTGAGATCCTGCCATTGCACTCCAGCCTGGGCAACAAGAGCAAAACTCCATCACACACATACACATACACACACACACACACACACACACACACACACACACACACACACACACAGAAAAGAAAAAGAAAAAGAAAGAAAGAAAGTCATAACACGAACACCAGGAGTGAATCCTAATAGAAACTGTAGACTTTGGGTGATAATGATCTGTCAGTGTAGGTTCATCGATTGTAACAAATGCACCATTCTGGCGCAGGATGTTGATAGTGGGAATAGCTGTGCACATGTGGCCAGAGGGGTGCTTGGACACTTTCTGTACTTTCTACCTATTTTTTCTGTGAACCTAAAACTGCCATAAAAAAATGTTGCTTGATATCTTGTCATATATATAATATAATATAATAAGCTTATTTATTTAAATGTGTGGAAGGACACAAAGAGGCTTTTACAGGTAAATGAGAAAAATAATTTGAGCTCACTTCCCTAGAGGATTTGTGGCATGTTCGCCAGAATGCTTATATGAGAACAATCATAGCAGCAATGTTTTGTTTTTGTTTTTGTTTTCAGAGCTAGCTGAGGTTTTATTTTGGACACACAAAAAAGAAAAAAGCAATTGAATTGTTTTGTAGCTGGAGACATGGGCAAGGGGGTATCCCCAAGCAGTAAACTCCTCCGCAGGTGGGCTGAGGGCTAGGGCTGAGCCTCAGGTGGGTCTCCCGTTCCCTGTGCTCCCCTGCACAGCGGCCTCCCTCCCGGACTCTGGGGCAGCCGCAGGAGGGGCAGGCTGGGAGGGGCTGCCCTGGCTGTTCACTTGGGCAGGACGTCAAAGGACTCGGACACCGGACTCGGACACCGGCTTCCCGTTGCAGGTCTGGATCTTCTTCACAACCACGGCCCTGGTGGAGCTGGTGCGGCTGAAGGAGCTGGCGCCCATGCCAGAGCCAAAGCTGGAGCCCAGACCGTAGCTGAGGCCGGGGCTCGTGAGGCCCCCATAGGCCGAGCTCAGCGCACCTGCATAGCTGCTGGTGGTCTTCGTATGGATACTCCTGTTCTGCATCCCAGACTCCAGCCGGCTCTCCTCGCCCTCTAGCAGCTTCCTGTAGGTGGCGATCTCGATCTCGATGTCCAGGGCCAGCTTGACGTTCATCAGCTCCTAGTACTCACGCAGCTGCCGCGCCATGTCCTGCTTGGCCGGCTGGAGGGCGGCCTCCAGCTCGGACAGCTTGGCGTTGGCACCCTTAACTGCCAGCTCCTCAGGCTGCTCGGCATCTGTGATGGCGGCCTCCAGGGAAGCCCTCTGGCCTTTGAGGCACTCAGTCTCAGCCTGGAGCCCACTGATGTTCCAGTTTATCTCGGAGGTCTCAGTCTTTGTATGCTGCACGTCATCCCAGTGCCTCCCAGCCAGCGCCTGCAGCTTCTCATACTTGATCTGGTACATGCTCTCAGCCTCAGCCCGCCTGCGGTTGGCGATCTCGTACTGCGCCTTGACCTCAGCGATGATGCTGTCCGTGTCCATGGAGCGGCTGTTGTCCATGGACAGCACCACAGACGTGGCGGAGATCTGGGACTGCAGCTCCCGGATCTTCTCTTCATACAGCCGCCTGAGGAAGTTGATCTCGTCAGTCAGCCCTTCCAGGCCAGACTCCAGCTCTAACTTGTTCATGTAAGCTTCATCCACATCCTTCTTGATGAGGACAAATTGATTCTCCATCTCTGTACGCTTATTGATCTCATCCTCGTACTTGTTCTTGAAGTCCTCCACCAGCCCCTGCGTGTTGCCAAGCTCCGTCTCCAGCTTCAGCTTCTCCTGGCCCAGAGTCTCCAGCTGCCGCCTAAGGTTGTTGATGTAGCTCTGGAACATGTTGTCCGTGTTGCTCCCAGCCGTCTGCTGCTGCTGCAGGAGGCTCCACTTCGTCTCCTGAATCTTGTTCTGCTGCCCCAGGAACCGCACCTTGTCGATGAAGGAGGCAAACTTGTTGGTGGGGTTCTTGATCTGCTCCTTCTCCTGGGTGCGCATGGCCTGGATGTTGAGATCCACCTCCTAAGGGGGCTCAGCAGACTCTGGTTGACTGTGACAGCAGTGATGCCTCCCATGCCGCTGGTCCCACCATAGCCTCTGCCCAGGCCAGCCCAGAAGCTGCTGCTGCCCAGTAGGGAGAAGCTCTAAGAGCTGATGCAGGCACTGGGCCCACTCGTATAGGAGCGGCATAGCAGCATTTTTACAATAATCCAGTAACCCTGTTGTTCATCAATAGCATAATTGAGAAATATATTGTGATATATTTATACGATGGAAACTATTCAGCAATGGGAATGACTGAACTACAGCACTATGAATCTTATAGATTGAGTATACGAAGCAAGATACAAATTACTCCATTTATATAAATGTAAAAAAAAAAACAAAACAAAACCTAGGCAGCATAGCCAAACCCTGTCTGCACAAAAATGTAAAATAAAATTAGCCAGGTATGGTGGAGGATGAGTCCTAGCTACTTAGGAGGCTGAGGTGTGTGGATCACTTGAGCCAGGAGTTCAAGGCTGCAGTGAGTCATGACAGGACAGAGGGAGACCTGTCTACTGTCTGTCCCTATAGAAAAAGAAAAAAGTAAGTCAAAAAACAAGCCAAATGAAACTATATTGTTGAGAGATGTGTATATAAGTGGTAAAATGGAAAACAAGCAAGTAGCTAACATAAAATTCAAGATCATGGTTACCTCTAGAGATAGAATGGGGTGTGTGACCTGAGGGAAGTCTCGTATGGATGAAGGGCTGCTTTTGGGGTGCTGGGTAAATTCTAATTTTTGAAGTGGGTGGTGGTGGAATGTTTTAAAAACATTAAAACTTTTTAAAATGAATGGTGCTTATAAGGGATTAAAAAAAAAAAACATGAAGCATAACCTGAAGTTTTCATGATGCCAGTCTCCTGGTGTCTTTTCCTGAATTTGGCAGACAGGATGGCCAGAGGAAATGCATCAATGCAGAGGGACAGAAACAGCAGTGTGGCCTGGGAAAGGTGAGTGGCCACTGCTTCAGCCATGGCATTCACTACAGCAGTGCTTCTTTTTCATTATTTCTTTTCCTTTATCATCTTATTTTAAAAACATTTTGCATGTATATATTTTCAAGTTTCCACACAATGCATTGATTTACTTATATTTTCCATTTTTTTCTTTTTAATTTTTTTCTAGAACAATGCTTCTTAAACTTTAGTGTGCACACTGGGACTCTTACTAAATGCAGATTCTGGTTTAGTAGGTCCCGGGGAAGGACCAGGGATTCTGCATTTCTAACAAGCTCCCTGGTGAGGTCCTTGCTGCTGGTTCACGGAACCCCACTTTGGCCAGAAGCTAGAGCATTTCCAAGTGGAAAGTGGCCTCTGCAGCCAGGTTCAGTGGCTCACGCCTGTAATCTCAGCACTTTTGGAGGCTGGGGTGGGAGGATTGCTTGAGCCCAGGAGTTTAAGACCAGCCTGGGCAACATAGTGAGATCCCATCTCAGGAAGGAAGGAAGGAAGGGAGGGAGGAAGAGAGAGAGGGAAAGAGGGAAAAGCAAGCAAGCAAGCCATCCTGCCAGTTTCCTACCCGAGTGTTGACTGCTGAATGAGGAGACCTCATCACAGGAAGTACACTCATCCTATTCCTACTTCCACTCTCCTTCCATCACCACTCCTATCTCCATACTGGTTCTGAGCTCATAGGTCCCAGGGAGGGGCCAAGGATCCCTACAGATCCACCTGCCCATCTCCATTCCACTCCCACTTATCTCCTCTGTCCCTCTGTCCATCCTCAGATTCTTTCCCAACCCCATCTGCATGTGGTCTCCATTGCATCCATATCGCTATCTTCATTTCTGTCTGTTTTCCCATCTGTTGCAATCTCCAGCTCCAGGTGAATCCCAACTCCCATTGCTATCTCCATCCTATCCCCACTATACCCCATCCCTATTCTGATACACTTCCTTTTCACCCTTACTTTCTCCAGAGTGAAAATTGAGGCAGATTCATAAAGAAGTCTAAGAGTTTTGGGGATGTTGGGGACTATCAAGGTTGACAGTCTCTCCATATAGAAATTCTTCCCCAGATTCCCAGGAGAAACTTTGAAATAAATTACTCAAGTCAAGATTTCAGATATAACTTATTCACTGCCCATGGTGAGTATGGGGGAGGGCTAGGACTGGGATGGGAAGCAGGAGGGAATAAAAAGGAGATAGGGCTCTCCAGAGAGACAAGAAGGTAAAGATTCAACAAGGGAAGCTAAGAAGTCACAGACTGGGAGACAGAGGCAAATGAGAAATGTATGGATAACAGATCTCAAATCTAGTTTAACCTCTTCCCCACCTTCCCATCCCCATACAGGTCAGGCTTTGACACAAGGAATTTAGAGAAGAAAAAAGGTGTGGTCTGCTGTTTCATTCAGTCCATTATCTGTTGAGCATTCCTTTTTTTATTCAAATAGAGCAGAAGAAAGGAGCTTGAAATGGACAGTTATCTCTGGTTTATCTGGCTGTAGAGTGCAGAGATGATTCTCTTTCAGGATGGGAGAGGGGGTGGGGAGGAGGAGAGAGGTGGGAATGTAATGATGATGGTGATGGGTTGATGAATGTGAGACTGGAGGTTTTTTTCATACAAAGTCTCGCTCTTGTTCCCCAAGCTGGAGTGCAATGGCATGATCTTGGCTCACTGCAACCTCCGCCTCTTGGGTTCAAGCAATTCTCCTGCCTCAGCCTCCCAAGTAGCTGGGATTACAGGCACCTGCCACCATGCCCAGCTAATTTTTGTATTTTAAGTAGAGACAGGGTTTCACTGTTTTGGCCAGGCTGGTCTCGAACTCCTGACCTTAGGTTATCCACCCGCCTCGGCTTCCCAAAGTGCTGGGATTACAGGTGTGAGCCACCGCGCCTGGCTGAGACTGGAGTTTTAAATTACAGTAGTCCCTCCTCCTGTATCTGCGGTTTCAGTTACCTGAGGTCGACCACACTCTGAAATTATTAAATGAGAAAAATCCAGAAACAAACAATTCATAAATTTTAAATTGCATGTTGTTCTGAGTAGCATGGTAAGATCTCAAGCAATTCCACTCCGTCCTGCTCAGGAGGAATCATTTCTTTGACTTATCCCTTTGTCCAGCATTTCCACTCTGTCTATGCTACCCTTCATTGGTCGCTTGGTAAAGGTCTCGGTTATCAGATCAACTGTTGCGGTATCACAGTGCTTATGTTCAAGTAACCCTTATTTTACTTAATAATGGCCCCTAAGTGCTAGAGTAGTGATGCTGGTATATTGTTATAATTGTTTTATTTTATTATTACTGTTAAACTCTTACTGTGTGTAATTTATACATTAAACTTTATCATAGGTATGTACGTATAGGAAAAAAACACAGCATATATAGGGTCTGATATTATTCAAAGCTTCAGGCATCCGTTGGAGCATCTTGGAAAGTATCCCCTTGGATAAGAGAGGACTAGTGTATATTGAATGACTAGAAGACGAATGAGCCCATCCAAGATACTGTTAAGGCACAGAGAAGGGAAATGTGACAACACTGAGTTGAAGGCAGTGACTGGAGGAAAATAAAACAGTTTCATGTTTGTGCCCCCACTGAGTTTCAGATTATTCAACTAACCAGTCACCTGCCGTGTAGAGCTTCTTTCTTTCCCAAGATCTTGCTGTCTTGCTTAGAGATTTCAGGTTTCTTCCCTTATATGCGTGCTGGGAATTCAGCAGTGGAAGCTCTGTCCAGATGCCTTCTGCTGGAATTAGCAATAGAATCTCACAAATTGTTTAAGCCCAGCTATGTCTCTTCTTGACTTCTTGAGTGAATCCCAAGAGGCATTGGAACTTTACTTTTGCTGACTGTTTCCCCATTTTTCCTTCTGATTCTTTCAGTTTCTGGTTATTGGCTAGGGTTGTTTGTGAGTCATCTAACTTGTATTTTTGCTGTTCCATAGCCTGCCCATGAATGCAGGGGATTGGGGTGAGAAGGCAGCCCACGCATTCAAGTTGAATTTGTGCAGGGTGGTGAGCTTCCCCCTGGGTAGGCAGCAGACTTGGTTAGGAGCCTGGTTTCATGGTTTGACCACTGGTGATCTCTGCTGGGTGGCTGGTGGGATCTAGTCTCTGATAGGTGAGAGATGACAGAGAATCTCGTTTGTTAGCTCTTTTTTTTTTTTTTTTTTTTTTTTGACAAAGTTTCCCTCGTGTTGCCCAAGCTGGAGTGCAATAGCGTGATCTCAGCTCACTGCAACCTCTGCCTCCTGGGTTCAAGTGATTCTCCTGCCTCAGCCTCCCAAGTAGCTGGGATTACAGGTGCATACCACCATACCCTGCTAATTTTTTGTATTTTTAGTAGAAATGGGGTTTCACAATGTTAGCCAGGCTGGTCTTGAACTCCTGACCTCAGGTGATCTGCCCGCCTTGGCCTCCCAAAGTGCTGGGATTACAGGCATGAGCCACCGCACCCAGCCTGTTAGTTCATTTTGTATGACAGATTGTTTATTTGTGAGATCAAGTCACTTAAACTCTTTTGTGCCCAAAAGAAGGAGAAGAGCCCTTTGAGATCTGTCTGAACTGGTGAGTTTTTGTGGTTCTGTGGCTACTGACCGATGAGGAGTTATAAAAATGAAGCTGCAAACTCTGGGGTCTCTAGGCCTGTAAATGAGAAAAGCCTTAAATCTCATTGTGTGAATGGGGAAAATTTTTCTACCTCCTGAGGGTATTAACAAATTAGATTATAAAGATTTAAATTAAAGGGGCTTTGTCCTGATTGGTTTATAGAGACCAGTAAGAGCTTTTGTAAATCCAATTTTGCCCAAACTCCCAGAAAACAAAGAAGCTGAACTCCTAATACTTTAAATGGGATAAGCAAAACAAAACAAAAACCTTTTTCATAGAAACTGCTAGCTCAGAAGCAATTTTATACAATAATCCACGGTTCATGTAATCAGGAAAGGTTTAATCCTTGGGCAAGTCAGACTGATTTGATGATTTTGCCCTAAAAAGTAACATCTTTTTACTGATTTTACCAGTGTAGAATATAATACAAACATATGTTTCAGTTTATTTTATTTTTTTTAACTGTACCTGCTGGAATAGGATTAGTTTGATTTTAAGAATTGCTTTTGTTTTCTTATGGAGAAAATAATCTGTATACCGAACACACAGACGTACTCCTCTGCCTCTGTTGGTCCCAGTATCAATCACCCTTCTTCCAACTTTATCAATCACCCTCTTTCCAACTTTACCTAAGTAGCTAAGTTCTGTTTCAGGGAGGGAGAGAACTGGGAGGTAGGGCATGGAGAACTATCTATTATATACAAACATTTTATCAAATCAACAGTGTTTACAAAGAATATATAATATGACCCCCACAGCCATATACATATATCTTTTTTATACTTTTTTTTTTTTTTTTTTTTTTGCGGGGGGGACAGAGTCTCACCCTGTCACCCAGGCTGGAGTGCAATGGCACGATCTCGGCTCACTGCACCTCCGCCTCCCGGGTTCAAGCAATTCTCCTGCTTCAGCCTCTTCAGTAGTTGGGATTACAGGCATGTGCCACCACGCCTGGCTAATTTTTGTATTTTTACTAGAGACGGGGTTTCACCATGTTGGCCAGGCTGGTCTCAAACTCCTGACCTCAAGTGATCTACCTGCCTCAGCCTCCCAAAGTGCTGGGATTATAGGCGTGGGCCACTGGGCCTGGCCTACACTTTCTTAAAATGGCAATGATGAACACACTCATGAAAATGACCCAAAGGTTAAGCCACTCCATAATATAGAAAAGTAAGAAGTAAAGGTAGACAGACTATGCTTGGTGACCCATGTTTGAGCATTCTATCTTAATTAGAAATTATCCAGATACCCAAAAATTATTATTTAATATTTAACCTAGGTTTTAAAGTTAGCTGGCCGGGTGCAGTGGCTCATGCCTGTAATCCCAGTGCTTTGGGAGTCCAAGGCGGGCAGATCAACTGACGTCAGGGGTTCGAGACCAGCCTGAGCAACATGGACAAACCCCGTCTCTACTAAAAATAAAGAAAAAATTAGCCTGGTGTGGTGGTGCATGCCTGTAATCCCAGCTACTCAGGAGGCTGAGGTAGGAAAAGCACTTGAACCCTGGAGGTGGAGGTTGCGATGAGCCGAGATCACGCCATTGCACTCCAGCCTGGACAACGAGAGCGAAACTCCATCTCGAAATAAATAAATAAGTAAATAAATAAATAAGGTTAGCTAAAGAAGGAAAAAAAGTTAGCTAAAGATCTTGGGGATTATATTTAAACGGATGTATTATAGAACCTAACTACTACTTATATAAAAAAATTGGTCAGAATTGTGCTTCAGCTGGCATGGTGGCTCACACCTATAATCCCAGCACTTTGGGAGGCCAAGGCAGGAGGATTGCTTTGAGCCCAGGAGTTTGAGACCAGCCTGGGCAACAAAGCGAAACCCCATCTTAAAAAAAAATAATTTAGTTAAACGCATTATTCTGTTTTCCTTTTTTTTGAGACAAGGTCTCTCTCTGCCACCCAGGTTGGAATGCAGTGGTGTGACCATGGCTCACTGCAGCCTTGACCTCCTGGGCTCAATTAATCTTCCTACTTAAGCCTCCCTAACAGCTGGGACCACAGTGCACACCACCACTCCCAGCTATATATATATTCTTTAATGCTTTGTAGAGATGAAGAAGTGTCACTGTGTTGCCCAGGCTGGTCTCAAACTCCTGGGCTCAAGCGATCCACCTGCCTCGGTCTCCTAAAACACTGGGATTACAGGCTTAAGCCACCATGCCCGGCCTGTGTTTTTCTTAATCTTACTATCTCAAATTAGGTATCTATCATTCCCATGGATGTTTTTATGTCTTTATTACATATGTTGGTGTATCCATAAACAATTTCTACTATTTTGCATGTTTTAAAGCTTTTTGTAAATGCTGTTATTTTGCATGAATTCCTTTGCAACTTGTTTTTTTTTTTTTTTTTTTGAGCTTATATTTTTAAACCTTCTTATTTGGGAATAATTTTAGGTTTACAGGAAAATTGCAAAAGTAGTACAGTTACTGTATGCCTTTCAGTCAGCTTCTAATGTTAACACCATACATAACTGTGGTGCATTTATCAAAACTAAGAAATAGCCTGTAATCTCAGCACTTTGGGAGGCCGAGGTGGGCGGATCATGAGGTCAGGAGTTCGAGACTGTCCTGGCTTACACGGTGAAACCCCATCTCTACTAAAAATACAAAAAATTAGCTGGGTGTGGTGGCACGCTCCTGTAGTCCCAGCTACTCCGGAGGCTGAGACAGGAGAATTGCTTGAACCCTGGAGGCAGAGCTTGCAGTGAGCTGAGATCGCGCCATTGCACTCCAGCCTGGGCGACGCAGCAAGACTATCTCAAAACAAAACAAAACAAAAACTAAGAAATAAACGTTGGTACAATACTATTAACTAAGCTATAGACTTTATTCAGATTTCACCAGTTTTTCCACTAATGTCCTTTTCCAGGATCCTACCCAGGATACCACATTACACTTAGCAGATTGCATTTTTGAGATTTATGATGACACATGACATTTTAATTTATTCATTCTAATTGAAGTTGGATTCCCATTGTTTGACCATACCAACATGTATTTATTCTCCTGTCGGTAGGTAGTTAGGTTGTTTCCAAATTTCTTTTACTATTACAAACAATGGTGCAATACTTGTACCTCTGTCCTTATCTTCTTTACACTGTCAGGAAACAGAGAGCACCTATCTATAATTTACGATGAAGTCTAAGCCTGTACCTTCAAAACCTGGCTCTGACTTTTTCTTCTAGCCTCCTCTTCATCTCCCACCAAACCTCCAGGTTCAGGACTGGTTACTCCAGCTCTCTCCAATGTTTTCTTTTTCTTTCTTTTTTTTATTTTCTTTTTTTATTTTTTAGCATCAGGGTCTCAGTCTTTTTGTCCAGGCTGGAGTACAGTGGCATGAACATAGCTCACTTTAACCTTGAACTCCTAGGCTCAAGCAATCCTCCCACCTTAGCCTCCCAAGTACTAGGACTACAGGCACTTGCCACCATGCCTGGCCATTTTTATTGTTTATTTTTGAAGAGACGGGGTCTTGCTTTGTTGCCCAGGCTGGTCTGGAGCTCCTGGGCTCAAGCAATTCTCCCACCTCGGCCTTGCAAAGTGCTGGGATTATGGATGTGAGTCACCGCAATTGGCCTTCAGCCTTCCCTTTTCTGGTCATCTTTCTTACCCCACTGCCAGCCCCAGCAGTGTCTATCTGAATGCTGTGCAATTTAAGAGTAAAATAGGGTTAGTAAGGAAAGCTTGGACTGGGCATGAAAGAGACTT
This sequence comes from Homo sapiens, assembly GCF_000001405.40. Taxonomy (NCBI): domain Eukaryota; kingdom Metazoa; phylum Chordata; class Mammalia; order Primates; family Hominidae; genus Homo; species Homo sapiens. The sequence goes on from NC_000001.11 coordinate 44,112,839, forward strand.
ATGTTCATGTCTATCTACCTCTTCATTTGACAAAGGGTTCCTAATTATCTCCCATGTGGCAGACACAGTGCTAGGTACCCAGAGGTTTGTCCTTAGATGCTCCCCTTTTCATTCCACATCTCAGGGGCTCTTGTTCATTCTGATGGCTTCAATTCTGAAATCCATAACTCCAGCCCAGACTTTGTTTCCTGAGCTTCTAGCTCATATATGTAACTGCTTCCTGGACATTCCCATTTCTCATAGGTAACCTCAAAGTTGATTTGTTCAAAAATTACTTCATGGCTGGGTGCTGTGGCTTATGCCTGTAATCCCAGCATTTTGGGAGGCTGAAGTGGGAGGATTTCTTGAGCCCAAGAGTTCAAGAAATTTCAAGACAGCTTCTTTCAATTTCTGTAGCTATCCAGTTGCAGACTGGTGAAATTTGCAAACCATTGTTAACCACAGACCACACTTTGAGTAGCACCAAAGAGAGGCAACAGAACAGAATGTACATATGTGGTCCTTAGAGCAGGACAGCAGAAGGCAGAAAAAGAAGATTCTTTTAAGCAAACAGGTAATAATGACATCATCAGTAACTACAGTTACTGATGTAGTTCTCTACTAAGTTCTCTGTACTCAATCAGTTCTCTGTACTAAGATATGGGTAACCCGGGGCAGTGCAAGTGCAGAGGAGGCACCTAGGCCAGCCTGGGTATCAGGGAAGGCATAAGACAGGTAGGAGTTGGGTGGGGGAAGCATTAGTGACGAGTGGGAAGGACACTCCAGGCAGAGAAACAAGTTCTGGAGTCATTCTGCAGCATATGGGTTAGAGGATGACCTTTCCTGTGATTTGATGGCTACTTGTCTCTGCGCATCAGCATTAGTTTCCATGTGTATAAAATGGATATGATAATCCTTTCTTTGAATCACAAAAAGATAAAGCATGAGATGTACCTGTTATAATGCCTGGTGCTTGCTAATATTGCTGTTCTGTGTGTAAAAGATACAGGAGTCAGAGCTGCCACAGACAGCGAGTTACAGCACTTTGCAGGGGACAGCTCATGGACCCAGGACTGGAGCCCAGAATGACAAGGGTTCTGGAAGGTAACAGGGAAAATGGCAGTGGGGTGGGCAGCATGCCTGCCCCTGAGTCATTCCCAGGCCTAGGTGTGTGTCTACAGGATGGACTGTCAGGGGAGGATAGGGTGCATTGTAAGGTTGGGGGAGGAGGCAGGACCTCAGGGCAAACTCCTCTGACCTACAAGGCCCAGGCATTCCAGATGTCCACGCAAAAATTGGCTCCAAATTAAAAGGCTGAAAGGTGGGGCTGGCTCTGTCCTATTTTGATATGCTTTGAGGCATTCGATAAAGATGTTAATGGGATCATTCATAAATCAGGAAACTAATCCTCTGAGGTGCTGGTTGCTAATGAAGCGAGAATCAGGAAGATTAAATCACAGATTTCAAAATCTCAGGCTGGAATTTAATCCCAGACCTTGAGTCCAGACTTCATCTCAAACAGATGGCATGGTTCGAAACATATCCCGACTGCAGTAGTCACTTGGAAATGAGTTCCCAGTAGTCCTTGCAGTTCAACCAAATACTACTTCTGGGAATGGGGCATGGAAATGGGACGTCGGGGTGCAGCAAAGGCTTCCTGGAGGTGACCCCAAGGGAGAGTGGCCTATAGTAGACACTCATTAAATATTGGTAAAACAAATGGAGTTAGTAGATGAAGAAAAGGGGGAAGAGCATTCCAGGCAGAGATAATACAGGGCCACCTGGCAGGGTCAAGAAGACTTGGGGCCCCTTGGCATATTAAAGTGGGCGGTGGTAGCAGTCTGTCCACATGCAGGCTAGAAGGGGTGCATATCTATAAAGAGCTTAACAATAATAGATCCAACTAAAAGTTGGTCTGCCTTTTATTATTGCTGTGTGCCAGTGATTTTTAAATACTGTTGAAATACTCCTCTCCTAAAAAATCTTTTGTTGGTTTAAGTTCTAAATAATTGCTGTAGATACTGAATTTTATTTGTACATGTAAACTTCACACTAACACATTTTTATTAGCGATCCTTTAATAAATATTGCATTCTATGTGGAAGTTCATTTGGAGAATGCTTGGTTATATAGTCACACCAATACCCATCTTTGGAGCTCACTTTAGGCAAGGGTCACATCTCCTACCCCTGTGGTATTAGACACATCCAAGTTTACACTGTAGATTCAGAATAAACAATCATGAGTTACTGTCAGTGATGACAAAGACAAACAGGGCTTGACTTTTTTCAATTCTGTCATTCTATGTAACCAGTTGGACTTTTGTGTTAAAACAGTGGGACAGGCCAGGCGCGGTGGCTCATGCCTGTAATCCCAACACTTTGGGATGCCGAGGTGGGCGGATCATGAGGTCAGGAGATCGAGACCATCCTGGCTAACACAGTGAAACCCCGTCTCTACTACAAATACACACACACAAAAAAATTAGCCAAGAGTGGTGGCAGGCGCCTGTAGTCACAGCTACTTGGGAGGCTGAGGCAGGAGAATGGCATGAACCCGGGAGGCGGAGCTTGCAGTGAGCCGAGATCGCGCCACTGCACTCTAGCCTGGGCAATGGAGCGAGACTCTGTGTCAAAAAAAAAAAAAAAAAAAAAACCAAAACAAAAAAAAAACAAAAACCAGTGGGACAGAGTGCAAACTGAGAGGCAAAACATTTTTGTTTGTTAAGTGCAAATTTTTAATTTGTACATGAAATATGTTACTGAATTTGAATAAAAATTTACCTTTGAAATGAAAACCTATTCCTTTATACTTGTTAATGGTTTTAAAATGAAAGATGAATAAAGGAAATAAATGTTATAGCCTAAGTATTATTGCCTAAATTGTATCTTATTTAGATGCTTTGGTTTTATTAAAATTTGCTTGTTGGTTGCTGGATGACCATTTACATAAGGGAGTATATCAGATTGTAAAGAAAGGATCAAAATTTAAACAGGTAGATGTGAAAATGATTGAAATAAATAGTTGTGCCTTTTTCATTTTTTGGAGCCATAATATTAATTTTATGTATTTATTTTATGATGTGAGTATGCATACAAATTTTGGCAAATAAATTTTTCACTTTTGCCTTTCCTTTTTCTGGCCATTATTATGATTTGTTTCATTTTATGATGATTTGAAAATATGAAATTTGAATTATGGAAATAATTTTATTTTTAGAGGAGGGGGGTATAAAAATGATCTGCTCTGTGTGTCAAACATGATCCATTCTACAAATATTTCCTAAATGCCATGTTGGGAGAAACACTAGGTATGTGGGAACTGAAAGAGGCATCAAATGGGAGTCAGAGATGGCCCCAGGAGGAGGTGATCCTGGAGTTGAGAGCTGAGCCATTGTTAGCCATAGAATCATAGCCACCATTTCTCAAGGGCCTGCTCTCAGCCCCACTCCATACTAGTAGTTGGGGACCCTAAGATACATAAGAGCCTTCTTACCCCACTTGTTATGATAGAGCAAATGTCCCTGCTCTCACTAAAGGCCCACTTGTCTATTGGTACTCCAGATCCTGTCCTTTCTTGATTCATCCATGACTTTGCTCTTATAATTGAGCCCTCTGTTTCTATATCAGTTTCTCCTTTGGTGCATCCCCATCAGCCTATAACATGCCCTCCCTTAACTGCCACCTCATTTTTCTGCTCTCATTCGTAGCAAAACTTCTTGTTTAGAGTTTAGAGATAATGTCCCACTCCATCAACTCCTCTTCCCTTGGCAGCCCAGTCCAATCAGGCTTCCTTTCTACTGCACTTGGTTTTGTCAGAGTCACCAGTGACCTCCGTCTTGCCAAATCCAGTAGTCACTTACCTGTTTATTTCAACCTCTCAGGTTCTTTGGATGACTTTGCTGTTCTGCTGGGCCTTAAATGTAGGAGTCCCCAGGCTCTGTCCTCTGTCCTGTTGTCAAACTATCTCCAGTGTTGATAGCATCCACTCTAATGGCCTTCTAACTACCATCTCTATGCTGACAACACCCAAGTTTACATTTACAGCCCTGACCTTCTCTGAGCATAATTAATAGACATCTCAAAATCAGTGTCTAAAATGGAATTCTTGTTTCAGTTGCCTCCAAATCTGCTCCTCTTCCTATCTTTCCATATACCAAGTGGCACGATCATCATGCAGTTGCTCAAGCCAATAATCTAGGAGCCTTTTTGATTCCTCTTTCCCTCCCTCCCTACCCCCTTCTGATCCATTACAAATTCTGTTTTTCATTCTTTTTTTTTAGAGATGGGATCTCACTATGTTGCCAAGGTTGGAGTGCACTGGCCATTCACAGGTGTAGTAATCCCATTACCAATCAGCATAGGAGTTTTGACCTACTCTATTTCTGACCTGGGCCAGTTCATCCCTCCTTAGGCAACCTGGTGGTGCCCCACTCCTGGGAGCTCACCATACTGATGCTGAACTTAGTGTGGACACCCAATCAGCACAGCACACTGCAGCCCAGACCTCCTGGGCTCAAGTGGTCTCCCGCCTCAGCCTCCTGAGTAGCTGGGACTACAGGTGGGCACCACCTCCATGACCAAACACTGACATCTCTTTCTTGGACAGCTCCTTTTTTATTTATTTTATTTTATTTTATTTTATTTTATTTATTTTATTTTATTTTATTTTATATTTTATTTTATTTTATTTTTTGAGACGGAATTTTGCTCTTGTTGCCCAGGCTGGAGTGCAATGGCGCGATCTCGACACACTGGAACCTCCACCACCCGGATTCAAGCGATTCTCCTGCCTCAGCCTCCTGAGTAGCTGGGATTACAGGCACGCGCCACCACGCCTGGCTAATTTTTTATTTTTAGTAGAGACGGGGTTTCACCATGTTGGCCAGGCTGGTCTCAAACTCCTGACCTCAAGTGATCTGCCCGCCTCAGCCTCCCAAAGTGCTGGCGTTGCAGGCGTGAACCACTGCGCCCAGCCTCATCTCCTTTAGATTTCTAACTGGTGTCTCTGCACCCCTCTGGCCCTTTATAATCCATAAGGAGCCAAATGGTTTATTTTAAAAACATATATCAGATCACATCAAATTCCTGTTTAAAAGCATCAGTGGCTTCCCGCCACACTTAGAATAAAATCCAAATTCCTTTCTATGGTCTTCAAGGCCCTATCCCTCTGTCCTCGTGTCACTGTCCATGTGGTATCACCGTGGTCACCTTGCCTTCAATTTCCTTCTAGCACCGTTGGGCTCTTTTTTGCCTTAGAGCCCTTCAATCTTCCTATGGCTGGCTCCTTTCAGGCATTTCATTTTCAGCTCACATTTCTGTTTTGGTTTTCCATAGCACTCACCACCACCTAAAATTATAATAGTTAACAACTTTATTACTCATTTCTTGTCTTCCCGTATAAGATGGAAATTGACAGCAAGGACTTTGTTCTGTCCTGTTTACTATTTTACCCCTAGTTCAGAGATCAGTGCCCAACACACACGGGGCACTCAGTAAACACTGCGGAATAAACAGGTTGTGCCATGAAGCTCCCAGTCTTCAGTTCGTACAGACAAGGGACAGAGGTGCACAGACTGTAGCAGAAAAGCTCCAGCCCTTCCAAAGCTTATGGCAAGATCCCGACCTGAGAGAGTGCTGGTGGAGGCTCTCCTATCGGTAGAGGCCCTACACCCAACCTTGCCTCTCTCTCCAGCCTCGCCTCTCTCTCCAGCCTCCTCCTGGCTGGAGTTGGAGACCTGGGTGTCCTCAGTCCCCACTTGGGTGAAACAGTTGCTCAGACTGAGGGGTGGAATGGGTCGGTTGGGTGGGCGGACCAAATTCCTTTAAGAAGCGTTCAAGGCCTGAAGTGGCTGGCTGTCCGTGAGGCTGCCTTGGTTGGGGCATGGTGAGGGTGGGTGGCAGCCTGGGGCAGGGCTGCGAGGGCGGCGCAGGGCGGGACGGGTGGGGCCTGACCCCGCCCCTTGGCGCAGCTGTAAATAGGTAAATAGAAGGTGATTGTGGCGTGGCGATGTACCGATACCCGCCTGCGACGCCGTGGTGGCTGGTTCCCTGTCTCTTCAGTAGAGAGTCTAGACCCCACCCAGTCTTCATGTACGGCCGACCGCAGGCTGAGATGGAACAGGAGGCTGGGGAGCTGAGCCGGTGGCAGGCGGCGCACCAGGCTGCCCAGGTGAGTCAGGTGCCAGCCCCTGGCAGGCCGGGCGGGCCCAGGCTAGGGGGCGGCGGGGAGGGGAGGCCTTGGAGGAGAGGTGAGGCGGAGGGAAGCAGAAACCCGAGGGGTAGAAATCCGAGGGGAGGGGTGGCAAAGGAAGGAATGGGAGATTGGGGAGGGGTTGCAAAGGGAGGGATGGGAGATTGGGGAGGGGTTGCAAAGGGAGGGATGGGAGACTGGGGAGGGATTGGAAAGGGAGGGTTGTGAGATTGAGGGTGTAAATCATACGTCGTTTATTCCAACAATGTTCGCCCAGCAGTAGAGCTTGTGTTGGCCGCGTGGCGGGTAAGAGGGTTCTAGGCAACTTTCTGGTGAGGGACTTGAGTAGGCAGGACAGCAAAGACCAAGTTAGGAAGTGAGCAGGAAACAACAGGAAAAAAAAAAAAAACCCCAAAAATGTTAATTGGAGCCCTACTAAGTGGTAGGCTTTTCCCAGACCCTGGAAATACAATGATGAATTTACCATGAAACAGATATATATAAAATTGTATGAATAAATCGTTAACTGAATGATTGGAATTGTACAGCGTTACATGAAGAAGAAGTCAGGGGCGCGTGGGAGCAGATACCAGAGGTGTTTGACCCGATTTGGGAGGCTTAGGAGACAGCTGAGACTCTGTTCTGGGACTAAAGAACCCGTCAGGTGAAAGGTTCCCAGGTCTGAGACCACAGGCTGCATGCTTCCTCTTAGGAGGAACTGAAAGACCAGGGCCTAGACAGTGATGGAAGGGTGGCCCCAGGGACACCATTGAGATCATTCAGGGCTTGTTTATTCCAAGAACAGTGGGAAGCCATTGATGAGTTTAAACATAATCTGTCTCAATTAGATTTGCATTTTCAAAGGAGTGCCCTGGTGGATGTGGGCTGGATTCAAGGCAACAGTTAGAAAGCTTTTGTGATAATCCAGGTGAGAATTCAAATGGCGGCCTACCTGCAGAAGTGAGAGTGGAGATGGAGAAGCTAAATATATCATAGATTGTGGAGATGTTTTGGAGGCAGAGACCACAATCATTGGTCCCCGGGTGGTGAGGGAGACATCTAGAGTAACAGATTTCTTGCTTGCACAATTGGGTGACAATAGTGACATTTTCTGAGAGAGAGTGAAGGATGAGAAGGACAAGATTAATTTGTTGTTTGAGGGAGGTGGGCAAAGATGCTAGTGAATTTTGGCCATAGTCCATTAGAAGAGCATGTGGGCCATCCGAAAGGACTCAAACAATAGGTAGCTGGAAAATTCAGGAGCCATCTTCGCCAGAGCGAAGATTCCAGATTTAGGAATAGTTGGACTGTAAACAGAAACAAAACCACTGGCATGGGGAAGCTTGCCCAGAGAGAGCAGGGAAAGGGAAATCTGCAAAAGAAACTGTGAAGGAGGGGGTCTGAGAGAAGGGAAGGAGAAAAACTTGGAAAGTGTGGCCATGCGTGTTAGAGAGGCCAAGCATTCTAAGAAGGGTGTGGCCAGTGGTCGTATAAGCTCCTGAGAGTTCAAGCGAGGAGTCTGGAAAGTGCTGCTTGGTCATAGTGGGATGGAAGTCATCAGTGGTGACCTTTATGAAAGCTGGTTCTGTGGAGAGATAGAGGCCAGAGCAAATTTGGGAGACTCATAAGGCAAAGTAGTGGTGAAGGCATGTTTAGACAACTTAATTTGCCATGAAGGACTGGGAAAACAAGAGGGCCATTGCTGAGAGTTAGGGAGGAGAGGCTGAGCACCCCAGAGGTGCCCACCCAATAGTCATTTACCTAGTTCCTATTATATGTCTGTCTTATGCTAGTTGCTGAGCATATAGTGGTAAATAAAACAGATAAGGCTGGGCATGGTGGCTCACACCTGTAGTCCCAGCAGCCCAGGAGGCTGAAGCAGAAGGCTCGTTTGAGCTCAGGAGTTTTAGGCTGTGGTCCACAACGATCACACCTGGGCATAGCCACTGCACTTCAGCCTGGGCAACATAGTGAGATCCTGTCTCTAAAATTAATTAAATAAAAAATAAAACAAGATCTTCCCAACTCTTCTAGAGTTTTTTTTAAAAAATGAACATTTTTCTCTATAGCCAAAACCACATAATCAAACGTATCAAAATTGTATATATATATACACTTTCTTTTGAGACAGGGTCTTGGTGCTGTTGTCCAGGCTGGGGTGCAGTGGCACCATCTCAGCTCACTGAAACCTCCGCTTCCCAGGTTCAAGCAATTCTCGTGCCTCAGCCTCCCAAGTAGCTGGGATTACAGGCGTGTGCCACTCCACCCAGCTAATTTTTTGTAATTTTAGTAGCGGGATTTTGCTATGTTTGTCAGGCTGGTCTCAATCTTCTGCCCTCAAATGATCTACCCGCCTCAGCCTCCCAAAGAGGTGGGATTACAGGCATGAGCCGCCACGCCCAGCCGATAATTCCTTTAAATTATCTTAGATGCAAGCCTTATTCAAATGCCCCTAGCTATTCCTAAAATGTACTTCGTAGCTGGTACGTCCAAACCAGAATTTAAGACCATACACTGTATCTGGTGATTATGTCCCTTGAGTCTCTGAAATTAGAATAGTTTTATTTTTTCATGATTGGGATTCAGTTTTTCATGATGCTAACTTTTGTCTTATAGAATGTTCCTTTCCGATATATCAGATTGCTTCCTCATGATAACATTTAGCTTTATCTTCTATCACTTGTATTACCTTTAAGTTATGATTAGATCTTACAGCTTAACTGGATTCAAGATTTTTGGCAAGAATGCCTCATGTGTATGGTAGGTTTCATCTTGCATTACATCAGGAGACACATCTGGCTACCATTTGGTGATACTTGTATTAAGGTAGCGAAAAGCCTCATTGATCTCTCTGTAGAAATTTACCTTGTGGTCAGAAAGTAATCTGTGTGATTCTGCCTTTTGTGTATCCAGTGTCCAGTTCCCTACCAGCCATTCACCTACTGGTTTTAACACCAAATTTAAATTTTTCCTCAATTAAATTTCCTTAGGGATGGCAAAATAAATTTCCTTTTCCTTTATGTCTTTTCCTTTTTTCATTTTTTTGTCCCACTTTTATGTTTATTAAAAACTGACATAAACACAACCTGTACAAAAAATATCCCAAATCCCGTATGACTTTGAAACAGTAATCCTGAGAGACATTATCGCCTAGGACCCCCTCTTCCTCTGCCACGGCCACGTCCTCTTCCTCTTCCTCTGCCTCTGCCTCTTCCTGCAACAGCTTCCCTTTTCTTAGATTTCACCTTAGGTTCAACATCCACAAGTAGTGTATCCAGAGGTAAACTGTCTAGTAGAATAAAATACCGAATGTTATTTCCTCGAATACTCAGCGTTTCCAGCTGTACAGGTTCTCTGTTCTTCGGGGTCATTTTCACAGCTTTAAGATGTGTATTCATGCTGACATCCACACCTGTGACTGTTCCATGGACCTGTGTTCTGTTCTTCAATGCAATGGTTACAGTTTCATGACTCAATTTCATCAAAAATCTCACGAGCTTCATCCTAGCGGTGCCATCACCCTTTGGGTCCGATAGCACACTGAATCCAACAACCGAATACTGACCGACTGCAGTATGAATGGCCGTTTTTGGTTTTTTTTTTGAGATAGAGTCTCACTCTCTCCCCCAGGCTGGAGTGCAGTGGCACGATCTTGGCTCACTGCTGCAACTTCTGCCTCCCAAATTCAAGCGATTCTCATGCCTCAGCCTCCCGAGTAGCTGGGATTACAGGCATGCACCACCACGCCCGGCTACTTTTTTGTATTTTTAGTAGAGACAGGGTTTTGCCATGTTGGCCAGGCTGGTCTTGAACTCCTGACCTCAAGTGATCCACCCCCCTTGGCCTCCCAAAGTACTAGAATTACAGGCATGAGCCACTGCACCTGGCAGCAAAATAAATTTTCTAATTCCACCATTCATTCTACATTTATTAGTTTGTATTCTTCTGTAAAGTAGGAAGTAATATTTAACTGCAATTATTTGGTAATTTTGAATTTTTTTTTCTTTTAGAGGCAGAATAAATGCTTAATTTATTCACTTCTATTAGCAATCTTCAAAGTTAGGATAAGAGCTGAGCTTTTGTCACGTGAGGCTGCAGTGAGCCATGATCATACCACTGTATTCCAGCCCAAAATGAACCATGATTGATCGCACCATTCACATCTCAGCCTCTGGAGTAGCTGGGACTACAGACACTTGCCACTATACCTGGCAATTTTTAGGGTTTTTTTGTAGAAATGGGGGGTCTCACCATGTTGCCCTGGCTGGTCTCGAACTCCTGGCCTCAAGCGATCCACCTGCTTCGTAGTCTCAAAATGCTCAGCCTGTAACAGTCTTGATAGGTTTTGTGTTTCTAGGAATTTGTCCATTTTATCCAGGTTGTCCAATTTGTTGGTGTGCAATTTTTCATAATATTGTATTATAATCCTTTTTACTTCTGTAAAATTGGTAATAATGTCCCCGATTTCATTTCTCATGTTCAATCATTTGAGTCTTTTCTTTTTCCTTAGTTGATCTAGCTAAGTGTTTGGCAATGTTGTTAATCTTTCCTAAGAACTTTTAGTTTCATTGATTTTTTTCATTCCTTTCTTCTGCTGGTTTGGGGTTTAGTGTATTTTTCTAGTTCCTTAAGGTATAAAGTTAGGTTGTTGGTTTGAGATCTTTTTTACTGAAAGCATTTAAACCAGTAGGTTTTCCCCTTATGACTGCTTTTGCTGTATCTATCCCATTAGTTTTGATAGTTATGTTTTCATTTTTATTGGTCTCTAAGTATTTTCTAATTTTCATTGTGATTTTTTTATTTGACCCATTGATTGTTTCAGAGAGTGCTATTTAATTTCCACACAGATTTGTAAATTTTCTAGTTTATCTGGTTGTGGGTCAGAGAAGATACTTTGTATGATACCTTTTTTTTTTTATTTTTTTCTAAAAGCGGCAAGAGAAAAGTTTATTTTGAAATCTATTGAGACTTAATTTGTGATCTACTATATGGTCTTCTGAAGAATGTCCCATGAACACTTTCGAAGAATGGATATTCTATTGTTGAGTGGAGTGTTCTGTGTATGTCTGTTAGATCTACTTGGTTTATTGTGGTGTTTGGATCTAAATATATATACAGCATATATTTGGATCATGTTTTTAATCCATTCTGCCAAATTGTCTTTTGGAAAGTATTATCCATTTACTTTCCAAAGTATTTTACTTTCAAGGAATGATTTAATTCTGCCATTCTTTTCCTCATTTCCAGCATTGTCTTTTTGTTTGATTTTTTTTTTTGTAGTGAAAATACATTTCCTTAAAACACAATTTCCTTTTGTATATATTCTTTTTTTTTTTTTGAGACAGAGTCTCGCTGTGTTGCCCAGGCTGGAGTGCAGTGGCTGGATCTCAGCTGACTGCAACCTCTACCTCCTGGGTTCAAGTGATTCTCCTGCCTCAGCCTCTGAGTAGCTAGGACTACAGGCACGTGCCACCACACTTGGCTAATTTTTTTTTTTTTTTTTTTGAGATGGAGTCTCACTGTCGCCCAGGCTGTAGTGCAGTGGCACGATCTCGGCTCACTGCAGGCTCCGCCCCCGGGGTTCACGCCATTCTCCTGCCTCAGCCTCCCGAGTAGGTGGGACTACAGGCGCCCGCCACCTCGCCCGGCTAATTTTTTGTATTTTTAGTAGAGATGGGGTTTTACCATGTTGGCCAGGCTTGTCTCGAACTCCTGACCTCAAGTGATCCACCCACCTCGGTCTCCCAAAGTGCTGGGATTACAGGTGTGAGCTGCTGTGCCTGGCCCCTTTTGTATGTATTCTCTAGCTATGTCCTTTGTGGTTGCCATGGGGATTACATTTGACATCCTAGTTTATAACATTCTAATTTGAATTTATACCAGATTAACTTCAATAGCACATAAAAACTGCTTCTGTATAGCTCCATTCCCACCTCTTTTCAGTTACTGATCTCACTAAATTACATTTTTATGCATCGTATGTCAAAAAATAAAAGTATAAATTTTATGCATTCTTTTAAATCATGTAGAAAACAAAAAGTGGAGTTATATATCAAAGTTAAAATAATACTCACTTTTACAATTGTCCATATATTTACCCTTATCAGAAATTTTTCTTATGACAGATTTCTTCACATGGCTTCAAGCTACTATCTAGTGTCATTTCATTTCAACCTTAAGGACTGCCATTAGCATTTCTTGCAGGACATGTCTAGTGGTAATGATCTCTCAGCTTTTGTCTACCTGGGAATGTCTAATTTCTTCCTCATTTTGCAAAGACAGTTTTGCCGTATATAGGATGGTTAATAGTTATTTTTCCTTTAGTACTTTGAATATATCAACCCATGGTCTTTTAGTGTCCAAGGTTTTTGATGAAAGAGCTACTGGTAATTTGTGGGATCCCCTATAAGCGATGAGTCACTTCTCTTGCTATTTTCAAGATTCTCTCTTTGTCCTGGGCTTTCGACAGTTTTATTTTTTATTTTTGAGACGGGGTCTCACTCTCTGGAATGCAATAGTGCGATCTTGGCTCACTGCAAACTCTGTCTCCTGGATTCAAGCAATTCTCGTGCCTCAGCCTCCTGAGTAGCTGGGATTACAGGTGCCCGCCACCACACCTGGCTAATTTTTGTATTTTTAGTTGAGACGGGGTTTCACTATGTTGGCCAGGCTGGCCTTGAACTTCTGACCTCAAGAGATCCACCTGCTTCAGCCTCCCAAAGTGTTGGAATTACAGGCATGAGCCACCGCACCTGGCCTCAACTGTTTTATTATAATGTTTCTTGGTATAGGTCTGTGAGTTTATCCTACTTGAATTTTGTTGAGCTTCTTGGATATTTGTATTCATATCTGGAAGTCTCTTCAGTGGGAAGGGGAGGGGGTTGTAACATTGGGGGTTGAGTTGCCATAATGGCTGCCAACCTCTGTCTGCACCTCATAATCAGAAACAGCAAATAACAATCAGGATATAGATTCCCTAATAGTTGGAGGACAAGGTTTTTTTTGTTTTGTTTTGTTTTGTTTTGTTTTTTTGAGACAGAGTCTTGCTGTGTCACCCAGGCTGGAGTGCAGTGGCATGATCTTGGCTCACTGCAAGCTCTGCCTCCCGGGTTCACACCATTCTCCTGCCTCAGCCTCCTGAGTAGCTGGGACCACAGGCATCCACCAGCACACCTGGCTAATTTTTTTGTATTTTTAGTGGAGACATGGGTCTCACCATGTTAGCTGGGATGGTCTCGATCTTCTGACCTTGCGATCCACCCGCCTCGGCCTCCCAAAGTGCTGGGATAACAGGCGTGAGCCACCGCACCCGGCCAAGGACAAGGTTTTTATTGCCCACTCTGGCTCCTGCAAGCTGCATGCAAGTTGCTCCAGGAACATGGGGTGTGTATCGGTAGCTACTACCTACCTAAGAATTTAGGTTGACCAAAATTAACTGCAATTTACTTTCAAAGCCTTCCTTTGGAAGTTACAAGCCTTTAATACCCTTCATTGTTCCAAAAAACTTATAACAGACAAATGCTGCCAGTGTGATAGTTACCTTGCTGAGGATACAGGTTCCTGGTGCTTCCTACCCTGCTATCTTCCTTGATGTCACTTCCTGTCTCCTTTTGACCCAGTCCTAATCTTTGAAAGCTCCCTTATTTTCTGGCACGAAATGTACCAGTCTCCCTTAAACCTTCCTTTTCCCAGTCTTGGAGTCAGGAAATTCTTGGTCTAACTTTTAGCAAGGAATAGAATTAGAGACAAGTCTAGGCTCTAGAGGCACACGTTGTTATTACAGTCACAAATGCTTCGATAGGCTATTTTACTGGACAGAGCTAGAAAAAAAATATATATTTTTTACCTTGTGAATTAGTATAGAATATTTCCTATTTAAATTTAGCATTATTATTATTTATTTTGAGATGGGGTCTCACTCTGTCACCCAGGCTGGACAGCAGTGATGCGATCACAGCTCGCTGCAGCTTCGACTTCCCAGGCTCAAGTGATCCTTTCCACTTCAGCCTCCTGAGTGGCTGGGACCACAGGCGCATGCTACCATGCCTGGCTTGTTTTTTTTTTTTTTTTTTAATTCTTTGTAGAGATGAGGATTCCCTATGTTGCTCAGGCTGGTCTTGAACTCCTGGACTCAAGAGATCCTTCCACCTGGGCCTCCCAAAGAGCTAGGATCATAGGCATGAGCCACTGTGCCTAGCAATACTAACTTATTTTAAACCATATTGCTAAAAATGACATTCAAACAGAAAAGTGAATGTAAGTACAGCTTCTACAAAGTAATGAACTGTTTGTTACAAAGTAAAACCTGTGAAACTGTCACTCAGGTCAAGAAATAGAAGCCCGTCCAGTGTCCCTTTCTTATCTTTCCCCATTCCCTACTCTCTAATATAACCCCATCCTGTTGTCTGGATGTAACTTTTTTGAATTTCCCTATTTCTGACCTGTGATGTTCCTATAACTGCTGCAAAATTTGTAATTGCTTCAAGTTTTTACTTCCTTCCTTCCTTCCCTCCCTCCCTCCTTCCCTCCTTCCTTCCTTCCTTCCTTGAACTCCTGACCTCAAGTGATCCACCCGCCTCGGTGGATCTTTCCCTTTCTTTCTTTCTTTTCTTTTCTTTTCTTTTCTTTCCTTCTTTCTTTCTTTCTTTCTTTCTTTCTTTCTTTCTTTCTTTCTTTCTTTCTTTTTCTTTCTTTCTTTCTTTCTTCTCTTTTCTTTCTTTCTTCTCTTTTCTTTCTTCTCTTTTCTTTCTTTCTTCTCTTCTTTCTTTCTTCTCTTTTCTTTCTTTTCTTATCTTTTCTTTCTTGTGTTTGATTGTTGTTACGTTTTCCCTTGATTTGTAGCAACAATTTTCGGGTGACTTTTTTTTTTAATTGCAATCTTCAATTTCTGTCTTGGTGGTTTATTATCTTGTATGGATATTGTATTTTAAACTTCTCTTTTGGTTGTCATATTTGAATGGATTGTTCTTTTCTGGACCATCCCAATTGAAGAGTGAATAGGAGATGATAGGATAGCTTTATTCGTTTCTCAACTCAAGAGCTCCCTCTTCTATTGCTACAGTAATGGACTTTTTTGTTGCTGTTGTCTTGAGACAGAGTCTCACTCTGTCAGCACAGGCTGGAGTGCAATGGCACAATCTCAGCTTACTGCAACCTCTGGCTCCTGGACTCAAGTGATTCTCCTGCCTCAGCCTCCCAAGTAGCTGGGACTACAGGCACACGCCACCACACCTAGCTGATTTTGTTTTTCTTTTTGAAATTTCTGAGCTCAAGCAATCCACCTGCCTCGGCCTCCCAAAGTGCTGGGATTACCTAGTTGTGAGCCGCTGCGCCTGGACTACTGACAGCTTTTAAAAATATGGTTCTTGGCTTCTATCCTATTTTAAGACCTTCTACCACCAATCTCTTTCTTACCCTTCATGCAAGTCAGTCATTAAGGAAACTGCCCCTGACTTCCAGACAACCCCCATCCCTTTTTTTAAGAAGTGTTTTTTTCACATCTGCCTTTTCCCCATCTCTCCTCCAGTGCTTGATCTCAGACCTGCCCAGGCAGTTCCCACTCAGGGCAGACGCTGTAAATATTTGCAGATGATGTCTAAGTTTTGCCAAAGCCGAGACCCATCTGCAGCCTCAATTCCTTTCATCTCTGTGGCTTTCTGCACCCGTTCTGCTGGTTTGGGATGTTCTTTCACTTTCACACTTATGTATAATTTGGAGTTTGGGCCAGGCGCGGTGGCTCACGCCTGTAATCCCAGCACTTTGGGAGGCCAAGGTGGGCAGATCACCTGAGGTCAGGAGCTCAAGACCAGCTTGACCAACATGGAGAAACCCCGTCTCTACTAAAAATACAAAATTAGCTGGGCATGGTGGTGCATGCCTGTAATCCCAGCTACTCAGGAGGCTGAGGCAGGAGAATCACTTGAACCCGGGAGACAGAGGTCGTGGTGAGCCAAGATCACGCCATTGCACTCCAGCCTGGGCAACAAGAGCGAAACTCCGTCTCAATAAAAAGAAAAAAAAAAACTGGAGTTTGAACATTTTCTCAGTTTTGCTGAAGGTGTAGGTTATGGACTGTTTTATTTGCTCTCTTTGTTGCTTTGTGTGAAATAAAAACCAAAAACATGTCCAAGGGAAGGTGGCATGAGTTACATTTAGGCTTCCGTGGGGCTTGTATCAGCCAGACCGCATGTTAGAAAGCCCAAGCTGGGAAATGGTCTGGAGGCAGGATAATTCAAGCAAGAGATGGAAATAGAGGGCTGGATTAGGATGGGGTCTGGGGATGAAGAGGAGGAACATGTGGAACTGGAATTTGAGCAAAAATCACCTGACTCTTTTTCCCCAAGGATAACGAGAACTCAGCGCCCATCTTGAACATGTCTTCATCTTCTGGAAGCTCTGGAGTGCACACCTCTTGGAACCAAGGCCTACCAAGCATTCAGCACTTTCCTCACAGCGCAGAGATGCTGGGGTCCCCTTTGGTGTCTGTTGAGGCGCCGGGGCAGAATGTGAATGAAGGGGGGCCACAGTTCAGTATGCCACTGCCTGAGCGTGGTATGAGCTACTGCCCCCAAGCGACTCTCACTCCTTCCCGGATGATTTACTGTCAGAGAATGTCTCCCCCTCAGCAAGAGATGACGATTTTCAGTGGGCCCCAACTAATGCCCGTAGGAGAGCCCAATATTCCAAGGGTAGCCAGGCCCTTCGGTGGGAATCTAAGGATGCCCCCCAATGGGCTGCCAGTCTCGGCTTCCACTGGAATCCCAATAATGTCCCACACTGGGAACCCTCCAGTGCCTTACCCTGGCCTCTCGACAGTACCTTCTGACGAAACATTGTTGGGCCCGACTGTGCCTTCCACTGAGGCCCAGGCAGTGCTCCCCTCCATGGCTCAGATGTTGCCCCCGCAAGATGCCCATGACCTTGGGATGCCCCCAGCTGAGTCCCAGTCATTGCTGGTTTTAGGATCTCAGGACTCTCTTGTCAGTCAGCCAGACTCTCAAGAAGGCCCATTTCTACCAGAGCAGCCCGGACCTGCTCCACAGACAGTAGAGAAGAACTCCAGGCCTCAGGAAGGGACTGGTAGAAGGGGCTCCTCAGAGGCAAGGCCTTACTGCTGCAACTACGAGAACTGCGGAAAAGCTTATACCAAACGCTCCCACCTCGTGAGCCACCAGCGCAAGCACACAGGTGAAGGAGGTGTCAGGTGGGGTGGGGATGGAGGAGTCTCTGGGCTTTAGATTTGTCCTGGGCCACTGGTGGGTAATTGTTTGGGATGAGCCTTTCATCTTCCAAGCTTGGAACTAAGCTAGACTGGCCCCCCGACTTGCCATACAGGAGGACTGTGCCAAGATGACTGGGGCGGGCACTCCTGATTGTGTTGCCCCTCCCTGGTTCCCTGGACCTTCCCTTTTGAATCCTCAACCTGGACTGCTCTGCCTCACAGAGTTAGACCCCTTCCTTCCTACTGTATTCTAAATTCCATCTCTCCCTTGTCATTCCCAGGTGAGAGGCCATATTCTTGCAACTGGGAAAGTTGTTCATGGTCTTTCTTCCGTTCTGATGAGCTTAGACGACATATGCGGGTACACACCAGATATCGACCATATAAATGTGATCAGTGCAGCCGGGAGTTCATGAGGTCTGACCATCTCAAGCAACACCAGAAGACTCATCGGCCGGGACCCTCAGACCCACAGGCCAACAACAACAATGGAGAGCAGGACAGTCCTCCTGCTGCTGGTCCTTAGGTCAGTCTCCTCTCCTCATTCTGGGTTTTCTTTTTCCTTTTTTCCTTTTTATTTTTTTGAGACGGAGTCTCACTCTGTCTCCCAGGCTGGAGTGCAGTGGCGCAATTCGGTTCACTGCACCTTCCACCTCCCAGGTTCAAGTGATTTTCCTGCCTCAGCCTCCCGAGTAGCTAGGACTACAGGCACGTGCCACCAGGCCCGGGTAATTTTTTGTATTTTTAGTAGAGACGGGGTTTCACTGTGTTAGCCAGGATGGTCTCGATCTCCTGACCTCATGATCCGCCCACGCTGGCCTCCCAAAGTGCTGGGATTACAGGCGTGAGCCACCGCAGCCGGCCTCATTCTGGCTTTTCTACACAGATCCTACCTGCCTCTGACCAGTTCTTCTCTTTGGTGGGTGTAGGATTAGATGAAGACAGGAAGATTATGGGTCAGTGTTGAAGCCTACACGGAGCTCTGGAGCCAGAGACTCCTCAAACCCTGTCTCGGATGCCCTTAACCTCTCTGGGGCCACCTGCTTCTGCTGGAGTTTAGTCAGATGCGAATGTGGAGCACAGTAGAGACTGGGAGCTTCATTAAAATGCTCTTTATTTCTTGTCGCTCCCCAGCTTAAAACCCTTTAGTGACTCCTTTGCTTGCTACATAAAATCCAGTTTCCAGAGCCAGACTATTTTCAAATCCTGAATTTGCCACTTAATATCCATGTGACCTTGAGAAAGTTCTTGGATCACTATGCTTTGTTTCTTCCAGAAAATGAAAAAACTAGTTTTGTACTGTATTAGACGTGGCACATATACTGCATCATTCTCCCTGGCACTCACTGGCCATGTACCCAGAGTTTCTGTTTCTTCCCACCACTTTACAGACTTGGATGGAATGCCCTGGCATAGGGCATGGGATCTGGCATCCCAAGTTGCTGCTAGCAAACTTAGAAGTGTGGGGAAATTTATTTATTTGAGACAGAGTCTTGCTCTGCCACCATGGCTGGAGTACAGTGGTGTGATCTCAGCTCACTGCAACCTCTGCCTCCCGGGTTCAAACGATTCTCCTGCTTCAGCCTCCTGAATAGCTGGGATTACAGGCAAGCACCACCACACCCAGCTAATTTTTGTATTTTTTGTAGAGACGGGGTTTCACCATGTTGGCCAGACTAATCTCAAACTCCTGGCTTCAAGTAGTCTGCCCACCTCAGCTTCCCAAAATGCTGGGATTACAAGCATAAGCCATGGTGTCTGGCTGGGAGTTAATATTTATGGGATAAAATTTGAGGCCGGGCGCAGTGGCTCACGCCTGTAATCCCAATACTTTGGGAGGCTGAGGCGGGTGGATCACAAGGTCAGGAGTCTTGAGACTAGCCTGGCTAATATGGTGAAACCCTGTCTCTACAAAAAATACAAAAATTAGCTAGGCATGGTGGCGTGCGCCTGTAGTCCCAGTTATTCGAGAGGCTGAGGCAGGAGAATGGCTTGAACCCGGGAGGTGGAGGTTGCGGTGAGCCAAGATTGTGCCATTGCACTCCAGCCTGGGTGACAGCAAGACTCCATCTCAAAAAAAAAATTTTTTTTTTGACTAGTGGAAAATGGGAGATAGGTGAGACTCAGGCAAATCAATTCCCCCTTTTCCCCTGCCTTTCATAAATTGCTGCATGGCACCAACTCTCCAAAACAGTACCATCAATGGGGAGGCCTCCCAAGTAGCCGGTGGACAGAACTACTGTGACCTCTGCAAGGCTTGTCATGAAGCAGTGCCCACCCCAGCCTATTAAATACATCACCTTACGTTACTTCCCATTCTTTCCCGCCTTTCTTCCATTTTCTCACTTCCAATGCCTTGGGTTTGCACCTCTCCAAATAAAACACCAGTACTTAGTTCTTGTTTTCAGGCTCTGTATTCTAGGTGACTGAGGACTAGGAGGGAGAGGAGGACCTAAGCCTGGGGCAGATAAAGATGAATCTCACTGTAACTTCTTCTCCTCCCACCTTCCTTAGGTCCCTGGACTACAAAGCACCAGATATTAAGTGGCCTATCTTTCCTTGCTCTCCCTTGGGGTTAAGGGGATAATGACTATCTTGGCAAACCAGCCAGGTAGTTTAGAACCTCATATTTAGACTCGGCAGGCTGTTTTACTCCAGGAAATTGATAGAGAGAAAGGAACTTGGCCAAGCTATCAAGTGCAGATCTAGAATCCCAACCAGGATCTGTCTGCCCCAGAGGTGGTCTCTTCCGTAAGAAGATGGTGCCTTCTATGGGTGTTTCCTGAACGAGGCTGGTGCCAAGCACAGAGAGATGAATCAGAGCTGGTTTCTGTGCTCAAGGGACCGTCTTGATCTGGGGGCTCAGAGGTCCACCTCGGTACAGTAGCCATGGGGAAGAGGAGCCCCTAATGGAAGGGTCAGAAAGGCTCTCTGGAGGAGGTAATCCCTGGGCCCAGTAAGAGTGTAACACCTAGTAATCCCTCAAATTTTGAAATAAACTGAACAGGTGAATGAAGAAGGAAGAGGATTCCAGGCTGAGAGCACTGGACGTGGCAACTGTTCAGAGGAGAGGCAGTCTTCAAGTTCTACATTCATTCAGAAAAATGTTTTTTGAGCCTACAATACTGAGCGCAACAAGGCTGTGGAGACCCATGGTGAGGAGCATGGAGTTAACTAAAGGATGTGTCAGGGAAGAAAGACTTCTCAAGGAGGTGCCTCCATCAGACCCAAAGGACTCATGGGGGCTAGCTGCACCTCACATTTCTTGGACATATACCGTTGGACATGTCTATCTTCTGGAAACTATGGCATGGACAGTAAGGATTCAGAAGTGCATGAAGGCACCCTGCCTCTGCAGAGCAGAAAGATCATAGACAACATTTATGAATGTGCCCAGTGCTGCCAAGAAGAGAAGCCGGTCCTCTGCAGGCTCAAGCCTATCTGGGCCTCTGGGGAAGCCCCACAGCCTTGGCTGTGCCTGCCCCTGCCCTCTCACCCCTACCCTGACCTTGTCCTACTTCACTGCCTTTGTCTGTGTTACTAGTGGCCCCAGTATACCTGGGATGGACATCCAGGTGCCCTTCATCCAAGCTCCTATGTGAGGGGAATGGACATTATTAAAAGAACAGGGGCAGAAGTGGCTCATTTATGACCCATTCACTAGCCCCAGGGATTGAAGTCTTGGGTACTCAAAGTGTCTTTCTACCAGGGCACCAGATCCCTTCCATGGAGCAGGTCATCTCGGGTTCACTGGGCCAGGGATGGTCTCTGTTCCCCAGCCCACCTGGCTCACACACAGCCTCATGGGTAGGGTCAGCAAACCAGATGGCTTGTTGTTGGAATGTAGGATGAGAGGCCTGCTTGGTGACCTAGCATTTTCACCAAGAAGTGGACGTGGAGAGGACCAGAGTGATCAAGGGTGTATGATGTGCACTACAATGGTGGGCAAAACAGGCTCCTGCTCTTGTGGAGGTCACAATCTAGCGGAGAAAGGATGTTACTAGAAGTACACAAATTGGGCCCGGCGCGATGGCTCACGCCTGTAATCCCAGCACTTTTGGAGGCCGAGGCAGGCGGATCATTTGAGGTTAGAGATTCGAGACCAGCCGGGCCAACATGGTGAAACCCCATCTCTACAAAAAATACAAAAATTAGCCTGGCATATGGCGGGTACCGTAATCCTAGCTACTCGGGAGACTGACGGGAGAATCGCTTGAACCCAGGAGGCGGAGGTTGCAGTGAGCTCAGATCTCACCATTGCACTCCAGCCTGGGCGACTGAGCGAGACTCTATCTCAAAACAATCAAAACAAAAAAGACCTGTGGACTCTAGTAGATTTTGAATCCTGCCTCTGCCATTTCCTGGCTATGAGGTGTCTTGAGAAATTTACTTGTCACTCTTGCTTCTGATAGTAAAGGGGATGGTGCGATAGATTCAAGATGGAGAGATAAGGTTAAGTGTTTTCTTTGGCTGCAACATGGAGATTAGATTAGAGCAAGGATGTAAGGGAGAGGAAGGGACATAGCAGTATTTCAGGTGAGAGTCAAGGTGGCTTTGGCTAGGGTGTGAGAGTGGAGGTAGGGAGAAGTAGGAAAGTGATAGTTAACTGGATTTGTTAGGTGAGGGTGAGGCCAAGGGTGACTTCCAGGTTCCTGACTTGTGTTATAAGTAACACAGAAGAAGAATGGATGAACTTGATTCGTTTTCCATTGATTGTGATATCTATCATACCTGCAAAAAATATTTTGTATATATCCAATTTAATAATAAATGCACTCATGTTAGGAAGGTCAAAAAAAAGGAAAAAAGAAAAATAATAAAAAATAATAAAAATCCTTAGGATAACTTGAGGCCAGGAGTTTGAGACCAGTGTGACCTTGTCTCTGTAAAAAATAAAATTAAAAGAAAAAGAAGGGAAAGTGATCTACTAGTACATTTAAAGCTTTGAATTCCCCATCCTTCTTTGCAGAGGTAACCACTATACTGAATTTTGATTAATCTTGCCTTAGCTATTTATTGTTTTTACCACATAATGTATCTGTTCTTAAATATAGTGATTGATTTTGTATGGTTTTGAACTTACCTTTATTCTGTTTAGGATTCATCAAACTTTTTCAATCTAAATGTTTAGTGGTCTTAATAAAATTTGGAAAAATTTTGGGCATTGTTTTGTCAAATTTTGGGGTTCTCCTCCACCTTCTATTTCTGACACAGTCTGCCTATATGATGGAGCACTTGATATTGTCCCTCAGGTTACTGACACCCTGTTCATTTTTTTCGGTTCTTTTTTTTCTTTTTTTTTTTTTTTTTTTGAGACTGAGTCTTGCTCTGTCGCCCAGGCTGGAGTGCAATGGCACAGTCTCGGCTCACCACATCCTCCGTCTCCTGGGTTCAAGTGATTCTCGTGCCTCAGCCTCCCGAGTAGCTGGGATTACAGCTGTGTGCCACCACACCCAGCTAATTTTGTATTTTTAGTAGAGACTGTTTCTCCATGTTGGTCAGGCTGGTCTCAAACTCCCAACCTCAGGTGATCTGCCTGCCTTGGCCTCCCAAAGTGCTGGGACTATAGGTGTGAGCCACCACACCTGGGGGTTTTATATAATGTGAAATCCTTGGTGGATTGTTAGAATATATAAGGGTTGTAGTGAAATCTGAAGAAATGTTTGGGGTTTTTGGATGGGTTGGGAATATGTTACTATTTTTCATATTTAGGTTAATGAAATAAAAACTTTAGTCTAAAAATTTATGATCTAGCAGATTAGATCTGGATAATGAACAGCTGTATGATCTTTTCTTTTTATAGTTGTTGTACTTCATGTAAGACTCTAGCGCACTCTCAGATTTCTTTGGTCTCTCACTCCCCCACGCCCACCCTGCTGTGTTGACAATGTAGAGAAGTTTTGTTTGGGGTTGTTATGGATTCTTTTTATTGGCCTTAGTAATAACATGGATGAAATCTTAGAGATAATGTGTTGAAAACAAGGGAGTTTCAGAAGAAACTTAGTATAAGTTATATAGCTTAGTATAATATTTATGAAGCTCAAAACAAAAAAACCCTGCAAATTATCTTTGAATACATGCATTTTTGATAAATGTATCAAGGGATTTATATATACAAAATGCAGGGTAGTCATCAATTCTAGAAGATAGACAGAAGGATGGGTAGGGGAGCTCACCAGACTTGGCACATAGCCGGGGCATTGCAGTTTTCTGAAAGGAGCTATAGTCAAGGACTTGGCATCCCCACTGTAAAGCAGGTTCACTGTGCACTGGTTATCAGCTTGTCTGAGTCCAGTGAGATCCAATGACACCCATACACACAACAAGTTAAATAAAATAGGTTTATTACAGGCAGCAAGGGACAACAATCTAGGATTCACTGGGAGTGAGTCCCCCAAGGCTCAGGAAAGCTGCCCAGCGGGGATGGAGTCTTAACTGCATGTATCCCACTTGTACCACAGCTGAAGGACCCCAGAAAGCAGCCAGTGCACAGTTTTATACCCTGGGTTTATGTGGATGGTTGAAGGACGATGGTGCTTCCATGCAGAGGCCTCCTTATTTGGGGTCTTGGCTAAGGCTATCTCCCCCATCTGCTCTGCAGCAGTCAGTAAATAAGGCTTGATCATTCCTTTCCATCTGGCTCATTGTTCCGATTGGCCATATCAACCCCTGATTGCATGACACTGGGTGATGAGCTCTTACAGGTGCTCATTTTTTCTACTTATAACTTAAATATCTTATTCAATATATTTCATATATAATATTACACAATATCTTTTTTTTTTTTTTGAGACAGGATCTCGCTATGTCGCCCAGACTGGAGTGAAGTGGTGTGAATATAGCTCACTGCAACTCCAACTACTGAGCTCAAGTGATCCTCCCAGCTCAGCCTCCCAAGTAGCTGGGACTACAGGCATGCACCACCACACCCGGCTAATTTTTGTATTTTTTTTTTGTAGAGACAGAGTTTCGCCACGTTGCCCAGGCTAGTCTAGAACTCCCAGGCTCAAGCAATCTGCCCACCTTGGCCTCCCAAAGTGCTAGGATTACAGGCGTGAGCCACCACACCTGCCTGAGGTTGAACCTTTGAATAGGCTAAGTACTCTTCTAAGCAAAGTCCATTTAACCTGAGACCACTTTACACTGGACGTGACTGAGCGTCCCCTCCTTTTCACCTCATAGGAATGAAGCTCCAAAGAAACATGGACTCAGCTACAGACAAAAAATGTTTCATTCTTTACCCTCTGAGCTATACACATATCAATCTCAATCACCTACATAGATACGTTTTAAAAGTACACATACAGGTAAATACAGAGTAAGATCTAGAAGGATTCACAGCATGCTGATAAAAGCCGTTACCCTGAGAGAGGGGAATGAATGAAGAGGGCTTCTGGTTTCAAGTTGAAAGTCATCCAGTTTTTACATGAAAATGCATACCTACTTTTTTTGTATATTTTAGAAAACTTATGAATAATATTAAGCACCTACTAGCTACTGGCATAGGGAAATAGGGGAGCTTGTTCAAGGGAAACAACCTCAATAGGGAGAATCTTTTAGCTGTACACATTTCCACATGGGCTGAAGGGTTCATAATCCTGGGCGAATGTTGTGGACCTTTGCATGCTGCTTTAGGTGATCAGATCTTGCAAAATTCTTGCTGCATATTGAACACAGGTAGGGCCTTTCCCCAGTGTGCCTTTTCTTGTGTCTGTTGAGCTCATCTGAGCGGGCAAATTTCCACGTACATCCCTCTACATCGCATACATAGGGCTTCTCCCCTGGACCAGACAGAGAGAGAGAGACCTGTCATACATCAGGGTGAGGTAGGGCAGGGACATTTAAAGTGAACAAGAAAACGTTTTTGAACAAGTTGGAGTGGGAGAGGGAGAGCCAGAAGAGACGGGAGTGGTGGAGGTGAGTGAAGGAGGAGGGGAATGAGGGCCGCAAAAGCTGGAGAGACAAGAGGAAAACTGTGAAGAAGGGAAGAAGAGGAAAGGAAGAAGAAAAAAAACAAACAGGAGGAGAGACAGTTATTGGCAGGCAAGTTAGTGGGGGGAATAAGGAGGATGAGGGAAGTGGGGCCTGGGGGCCCTGTCACTACGAAGTGACGGTCCCAGTAGAAATAGCATCAAGAACATCTACCTGCAAGAGGCCAAAGAAATCCCTCCACTTATTCCCATCAAACCAGCAGTCAACACCACTAAAGGCTATAGCCAGCCTGGCTCTGGTCCAGGACTAGAGCCTGTCCCTGGTCCAGGACTAGAGCCTGTCCCTAGGACTGCTTTATCTACCCTTCTGAAGGTGCCAACCTTTTCTATTATAGAATTTTTTGAATCCCTGGCTTAAAGGAAGTGGCAGCAATCTCAAATGCTTCCGGGCACAAATCTGTAGCCACTTGCCCCTCACCCCTGTTTCTGGGCCCTCACTCACCGGTGTGCTTGCGCATGTGGGTTCGGAGGTGGCAAGCCTTTGAATAAGACATCTTGCAGTCCTCGTAAGTGCAGACATAGGGCCTTGAAACCTCAGGATTCTTCCAGAACTGGCAGCTCTGTGTCTTCTGTTTTGGGAGTTGTCCTTGAATCAAATGGGAACTTGAAAAGCATAGGAATCCTGGGTATGGCAATGATGAGAACTGATGGGACATCATATATCCCCCATAAAGGCTGTGGTCATCAGTGAGCGTTGTCATATTGCCCACCTGAAGAGTCAGCATCTGGTCCCCATAGAGGGTCTGGTTGCCACTATATGTTGCCATCTGGCCTCCATAGAGGGCCTGGTTATCAGTGGAGGTCATATTCTGCCCCCCGTAGAGGTTCTGGTTACCAGTGGAGGTCATCATCTGCCCCCCATAGAGGGCCTGGTTACCAGTGGAGGTCGTCACCTGCTCCCCACAGAGGGTCTGGTTACTAGTGGAGGTCGTCATCTGCTCTCCACAGAGGGTCTGGTTACTAGTGGAGGTCGTGATCTGCCCCCTGTAGAGGGCCTGGTTACCAGTGGAGGTCGTCACCTGCTCCCCACAGAGGGTCTGGTTACTAGTGGGGGTCGTCATCTGCTCTCCACAGAGGGTCTGGTTACTAGTAGAGGTCGTCATCTGCCCCCCGTAGAGGGCCTGGTTACCAGTGGAGGTTGTCATCTGCTCTCCACAGAGGTTCTGGTTACCAGTGGAGGTCATCATCTGCCCCCAGTAGAGGGTCTGGTTACCAGTGGAGGTCATCATCTGCCCCCCATAGAGGGCCTGGTTACCAGTGGAGGTCGTCACCTGCTCCCCACAGAGGGTCTGGTTACTAGTGGAGGTCGTCGTCTGCTCTCCACAGAGGGTCTGGTTACTAGTGGAGGTCGTCATCTGCCCCCCGTAGAGGGCCTGGTTACCAGTGGAGGTTGTCATCTGCTCTCCACAGAGGGCCTGGTTACCAGTGGAGGTCATCACCTGCTCCTCACAGAGGGTCTGGTTACTAGTGGAGGTTGTCATCTGCTCTCCACAGAGGGTCTGGTTACTAGCAGAGGTTGTCATCTGCCCCCCGTAGAGGGCCTGGTTACCAGTGGAGGTCATCATCTGCCCCCCATAGAGGGCCTGGTTACCAGTGGAGGTCGTCACCTGCTCCCCACAAAGGGTCTGGTTACTAGTGGAGGTCGTCATCTGCTCTCCACAGAGGGTCTGGTTACTAGTGGAGGTCGTGATCTGCCCCCCGTAGAGGGCCTGGTTACCAGTGGAGGTCGTCACCTGCTCCCCACAGAGGGTCTGGTTACTAGTGGGGGTCGTCATCTGCTCTCCACAGAGGGTCTGGTTACTAGTAGAGGTTGTCATCTGCCCCCCGTAGAGGGCCTGGTTACCAGTGGAGGTTGTCATCTGCTCTCCACAGAGGTTCTGGTTACCAGTGGAGGTCATCATCTGCCCCCAGTAGAGGGTCTGGTTACCAGTGGAGGTCATCATCTGCCCCCCGTAGAGGGCCTGGTTACCAGTGGAGGTCGTCACCTGCTCCCCACAGAGGGTCTGGTTACTAGTGGAGGTCGTCGTCTGCTCTCCACAGAGGGTCTGGTTACTAGTGGAGGTCATCACTTGCTCTCCACAGAGGTTCTGGTTACCAGTGGAGGTCGTCATCTGCCCTCCACAGAGGGCTTGGTTACCAGTGGAGGTCATCACTTGCTCTCCACAGAGGTTCTGGTTACCAGTGGAGGTCATCATCTGCCCCCAGTAGAGGGTCTGGTTACCAGTGGAGGTCATCATCTGCCCCCCATAGAGGTTCTGGTTACCAGTGGAGGTCGTCATCTGCCCTCCACAGAGGGCTTGGTTACCAGTGGAGGTCATCACTTGCTCTCCACAGAGGTTCTGGTTACCAGTGGAGGTCATCATCTGCCCCCAGTAGAGGGTCTGGTTACCAGTGGAGGTCATCATCTGCCCCCCATAGAGGTTCTGGTTACCAGTGGAGGTCGTCATCTGCCCTCCACAGAGGGCTTGGTTACCAGTGGAGGTCATCACTTGCTCCCCACAGAGGGTCTGGTTACTAGTGGAGGTTGTCATCTGCTCTCCACAGAGGGTCTGGTTACTAGCGGAGGTCGTCATCTGCCCCCCATAGAGGGCCTGGTTACCAGTGGAGGTTGTCATCTGCTCTCCACAGAGGGTCTGGTTACCAGTGGAGGTCGTCATCTGTCTCCCGTAGAAGGCCTGGTTACCACTGGAGGTCGTCATCTGCTCCCCACAGAGGGTCTGGTTATCAATGGAAGTCATCATTTGCCCTCCATAGAGGTCTAGACTGGTTGTCATTTGGCCCCCAGAGAGGGTCTCATCGCTACCGGAAGTCACTGTATGACCATCAGTGAGGGTCTGGTCACTACTGAAGGTCACCTGGTCCCCACAGAGAGTCTGGTTATCACTGAGGGTCTTCATCTGATCTCCAAGCAGGGCTGGTATCTGACTCTCATTGAGGGTCTGGTCACTGCTTGGGGTGTTCAGCTGGCTACTTTCATTGGAGATTGTCATGTTGCTTGCAGTGATGGTTGTCTTCTGGCAATCAGTGGGTGATGACTTTGGGGTGACAGTAACATCTGTCATCTGGGAGCCTGCTGTGTGTTTTACCTGATCAAAGGAAGTCACTTTCTGGCCCATGGAATAAGTCTCACTTAGGTCTTCAAGGGCTTTAAGAGGGTGCATTGTTAAGTCCTGGGTGAGAACTGTCCCAGGGATGTTAGTGCATGCAGAAGTCATCATTGTGGACCCCAAGGGAGGCATCGTCTTGCTCTGGGTTGACTCATGTTGGCTCTCCTCAGCATGGGCAGTCAGAGGCATACAGTTCTGTGGTTCTGGTGCATCTGGGGTTTCTGCCTGTTCTGTATGCCGCTCAGAGAGATGCTGGAAAAATTTCTCAATTTCCTCAATTGCCTGGAGAAGACTGGAATCCATCTCTTTGATGTTGCCTGATGACTGAACTAGATCTTTAGTTATGGGATCCTGCAAAAAAATTGATAGGTCAGGGGTTCATCCCAGCTCAAATTCCAATCCCCACATACCCTCCTTCTCCATCCCTGTTGACCCTATCCTAATCCAGCCCACCATCATCTCTTGCCTAGAAGCCTGTAGTTGCCTTTCAACTGACTCTGGAGTTAACTTCATCCAGTGTCCCCTCCACACACAGAGTAACATTTTAAAAGTGCAAACATTTCTCAAGTGCAAACTTTTACTAAGCTACTCCTATCTACCAATGGAGATGAGAGTCTAGATGGATGTTGTGAATCTCCTATCATCCTCTGAAGAGATCTCACCCCAGAGGCTTTTCCAAAGTCTCCTCTCCAGACATCTTACCGGAGATTCAGCTGATTAAATTTTCAAATAAATTATCTCATTTCATTTCCACCATGACCCCAGAAAATAAGGGTCATAATTAATCCCATTTTAAGGAAAATAGAAGTCCAGGGAGGTAAATTGACTTGGCCCAGGTGGAAGACTCTTAATTTGTACTGGACCTATCTGGCTGTGGGTCCTTACAGTCCCCTAGATAAATGGGATATTTCTCCCAGAGATCTCACTGGGGGCACCCACTGATTCTAGCCTCCTGAGAACCATCCTGGAAACCACCAGCTTCTAGGAACCATTCTACTATGGACTGAATGTTTGTGTTTCTCCAAATTTCATATGCTAAAACTGAATTTCCAGTGTGATTGTATTAGAAGGTAGCGCCTTTGGGAGATGATTAGGTCATGGAGACAGAACCTTCAAGAATGAGATGAGTGTTCTTCTAAGGGGCTGAGGGTCAGAGTTCTTTACTTCTACCAAGTGAGGACACAGCTAAAAGGTGCCATCTATGAATCAGAAAGTATGCCCTTACCAGACACCGAATCTACCAGCTCCTGGACAGAACAGACTAAGATACATTCCAAGAAGCAGTTTCTTTGGAGACAGAGGCGTAACTGTGCATATGGACAAGGTTTATATTTCTGTTCAAAGTGGCCATCCATATGCTTCTAGGCTTCCTTTGTCTCTGGTATCAAGTGTATGTATGTATGTATGTATGTACTTATTTATTTATTTATTTATTATTTTCTCTTTTTTCTCTGCCCCATATGATCTGCAAGAAAAGTGTCAAGTTTATAATGAGCTCCCCAAAGCCACCATCTGGGTAGCCTCACATCTTTTTCATCCCCTGTGCCTCTTCCCTGCTTTTGTCCTACTCTAGCCAGATCAGTCTACTCAGTTTTGCCATGTTCCTATCCAATCCATTGCTCAGTCTGCCTTATCCAGCCAAATTATCTTATCTAATACGTTCTCCTTTCCCATCTCTGCCATCAAAGTCTGGTCCCTCCTGCCTTGTCCTGACTCTCAGAATAGAGAAATACCATAATTCCCCCAGGCTGTATTCAAAATGTGTGACAGGACTGTCATTGAATATGGTGGACTGAGGAGACCCTGAAGTCCTTCCCTTCTATACCAAATCATAGAAATGATAGATGGCTTTAAATATATAGAAATATATATATATATATAATATATGTACATATATTACATATATTTAAAGAAAAATTTTAAAACCCAAAGAATATACATATATAACATATATCTATTTATGATTGGAAATAAGTGGAATTTCCCAAGAACTAGAAGGAGGTACCCTTAAAAGAAGGGAGATAATTGAAGCCACAGTGGAAGCAGAAGCCACTTTCACTTGGAGGTCTGGGCTGATGCCACTTCTTGTGGTGACACCCTACCAAGAGGAGCTCTCAAAACCTAGGAATTCTTTTTATTTTTATTTTCAGAGATGGATTCTCTCCAAGTTACCCCGGCTGGATTTGAACTACTGGGCTCAAGCGATCTTCCTGTCTCAGACTCCCTAGTACGTGGGACTACAGGTGCTTGCCACCACATCCACCTCTAAATCCATAATAGAAATCCATAATAGAAGTAAAACTGGAAGGCTGCGCATGGTGACTCACACCTGTAATCCCAGCACTTTGGGAGGCCGAGGTGGGTGGATCATGAGGCCAGGAGTTCAAGACCAGCCTGGCCAAGATGGGAAACCCTGTCCCTACTAAAATTACAAAAATTAGCTGGGCTTGGTGGTGAGCACCTGTAATCCCAGCTACTCGGGAGGCTGAGGCAGGAGAATCGCTTGAACCTGGGAGGTGGACTCCAGCCTGGGCGACCGAGTGAGATGCCATCTCAAAAAAAAAAAAAAGAAGTAAAACTGGAAAGTTCACAAATTTGTGGAAATGAAAGAATATACTCTTAAGCAAACAATGGATCAAAGAAGAAATCACAAGAGAAGTTATAATGAACACAAAAACACAATAGACCAAAATTTATGGGATGTAGTAAAAGCAATGCTAGAATAGAAGCTATAAACACTTACATTTAAAAAAACAAGAAATAGCTCAAATCAGTAACCTAACTTTACAATTTACGGAACTAGAAAAAGAACTAAACTTAAAGTTTGCAGAAGGAAGAAAATGATAAAGATTAGAACAGGCCAGGCACAGTGGGTCAGGCCTGTCATCCCAGCATGTTGGAAGGCCAAGGTGGGAGGATCCCTTCACCCAGGAGTTCTAGACTAACCTGGGCAATATAGTGAGATCCAGCTCCTACAAATTTTTTTTTTTTTTAATTAGCTGAGTGTGGTGGCACATACCTGTAGTCCCAGCTACTTGGAATGATGAGGCAGGAGGATCACGTGAGCCCAGGAGTCGGAGGCTACAGTGAGCTGTTATTGTGCCACTGCACTCCAGCCTGGGTGACAAAGCAAGACCCCACCTGTAAAAAAACAAAACAAAAAAGAATAGAGCAGAGATAAATGAAATGGAAATTTTAAAAAATACAGAAAAATTAATGAAACAAAAAATCGATCTTTGAAAAGATCAGCAAAATTGACAAACCTTTAAGCTAGATGGACTAAGAAAAAGAGACTCAAATTACTAAAATCAGAAAGAAAAGTGGGGACATTACTACTACTTCTACACCAATAGAAAGGATTTTAAGACAGGACTATGGACAGTTTGTACACCAACAAATTGGATAACCTAGATAAAATGAAGAAATTCATAGAAACACAAAACCTATCAAGACTGAATCAGGAAGAAAGAAAATCTGAAGAGACCTATAACTAATGAGACTGAATCAGTAATCATTATCTCCTAACGAAAAAAAAGCTGTGGACCTGATAGTTTCACTGGTCAATTCTACCAAATTTTAAAGAACTAATATCAATCCTTCAAACTTCTACAAAATATTGAAGAGGAGAGAATACTTCCTAACTTACTCTACGAGCCCAGCATATACCCAATGTCAAAGCCAGATGTGATGCTACAAGAAAAGAAAACTACGGACTCATATCCCTTAAGAACATTGATGCAAAAATCCCAAAAAAGTACTGGTAAACCCAATTCATCAGCATATTACAAGGATTATACAACAAGACCAAATGGGATTTACTCCCAGAATGCAAGGATGGTTCAACATATGAAAATCTATTTTCAATATATTTATTGAAGAAAATATAGTTATAAGTGGACCTATGCAGTTCAAACCTGTGTTGTTCAAGGGTCAAATGTATATACAAACAATGGAATATATAACTGAATATCCAGCCTTAAAATGGAAGGATAGTCTGACACATGCTACAACATGGATGAACTTTGAGGACATTATGCTAAGTGAAATAATCCAGCCACAAAAAAGTGACTCACATAAAAAGTCATGTGATTCCACTTATATGAAGTACCTAAGAGTAATCAAAATCAGAGACAGACAGATGGTTGGGGGGAAAAGGGGGAGGGGGAATGAGGAGTTAACTGTTTAACTGGTACAGTTTCACTTTTATAAGATGAAAGAGTTCTGGAGATGGATGGTGGTGATGGTTGCATAATACTATGACTGTATCTAAATACCACCACTGATCTGTAAACTTAAAAATGACTAAGATGGTAATTTTATATTACATATATTTGAAGATCATACAAATAACTGAGAAAAATTCAAAAAAAAAATTCCAAACAGGAAATCTTTGAAATGATGTCCTCTGAGATTAAAATCAATCTCTAGCTATCACAGCACCTCTAGCTCTAGGTACTCAGAGGCTGTGGGACGAGGTTCCCTTGAGCCCAGCAGTTTGAAGCCAGCTTGGGCAACATAGCAAGAACCCCCTCCTCTCTAAAAAATAAATACATAAAATTAAACTTTAAAAATCAATCTCTAATAGCATCTTACTCTTACACTTAGTTTCCCACCATTTCTACTCATGTAAAAGCTTAACTCCTGTCTACCCCCTCTCCCCACCACTGGACTAGAAGCTCCTCTGAGCAGACAGAACTCTATTTCGTTCTGAGCAAGGCCTGATGGATCCCACTGGGAACCTTAGAAAACAGGAACCCAGTGAGGGACTGATTCCCACTCCACCTGCTCTAGGTCTGCTTCTGGTCCCTAAAGTTTCTGGCCCTTGGAAAAACAGAAGGATTTCAACCCCAGTTTAAGGAATTATTAAAACGATAGTCCCGGCTGGGTGCAATGGCTCAGGTCTGTAATCCTAGCACTTTGGGAGGCCAAGGCAGGCAGATCACTTGAGGTCAGGAGTTTGAGACCAGCCTGGCCAAAATAGTGAAACTCTGCCTCTACTAAAATTCCAAAAAAGAAAAAAAAAATAGTCAGGAATGGTAGTGCACATCTGTAGTCCCAGCTACTTGGGAGGCTGAGGCATGAGAATTGCCTGAACCTGGGAGGCGGAGGTTGCAGTGTGTGGAGATCGTGCCAATGCACTCCAGCCTGGGCGACAGAGCAAGACTCTGTCAAAAAAACAAACAAACAAACAAACAAAAAATCCAAACCAAACCAAAACAAACAATAAACCCTGATAGTTCCAACCACGGGCTATGCCTCCTTCTCTTGATCTCTAATAATTCAACCCAACCCACCCAGGCCCCTCTGACTCATGGGCCTAGCGTTCCTTGTATACTTCCATGAGACTTCGACCAGACCACGATCTCGTCCTGGGCTCCTGCCAACATGATAGAAAGACCTTCGGGTGCCATCGAGAGACCCCCAGGATCACAACCACAGCCTTCTCTGCAGGCCCCGCGTCTGTCTGATGAAAGGGTCTGTCTGATGAAAGGCATGCCCTGCGGAGGGCAGGCTCGTGGAAGTAAAAATGGTCCTCAATAAATGAACCGTTTCAGACACTTCTCTGTCCTCCCCTATTAGCGGGCTCCCTTGCTAGGATTCTGGACGCCTACATCTTTGAATTTCTGACCTACCACTCCATGACACCGACCTTCGCCCTTTCATTTGGAGATAGACTTACCAGAAATTGATCCATATGGCAGGCCGGGCACTTTGCTACTTGCAGACGGAGAGGAACACACTCTGAAACTTCTGGGCGCCTTCTGGGGCCTGGGCTTTTATACAGCCTGGCTCGGATGCACCCAGGTCACTGCTTTGCGTCTTTGGTCGGCCACACCCCTCGGGGCGGAGCCCCAGCGACCTACCTACCGCCTGTATAGGCAGAGTGATTGAGTTACCTACCAGAGGCCTCTGGACATTAATGCAATCACTTCCCCTGTTCTCATTGTGCAGGGAAGCAATTGGCATTAATTAGCGAATTTTACCCTCACCAGTATTAGGAGGTGGATTTTATCATTGTTATCATGTAAAGCGAAAACTGAGACTCAGAGATATTAAGTATTTGCAGGTCACAGAATCAAACACTGATAGTAGATTTGAACTCAAACGGTTTTGCTCTTATGATCTGAGTCCTTAAACACACTAGAGGCATCAGATTCAATCAGCTGTTCACTTATGCAGACTCCACCTCTTTGGCAGCTGTAAACTTAATCAAATTACTTCTACTGTGAAATCCTGATAATTCCATCAGTTTACCCTGGAAACTTAATGGCTTTTTTTTCCTGTGGTTTTGACTTATTTACTTATTTATTATTTATTTATTTATTTTATCTTGCATAATTATCTTGATAATTCCATCAGGTTACCCTAGAAATGATCGTGGTACTTTTTTCTCTTTCTTTCTTCCTTCTTTCCTTTTTTCCTTCCTTCCTTCCTTCCTCTTTCTTTCTTTTTCTTTCTCTCTCTCTTTCTTTTTGGCTGTGGTTTTTACTTACTATTTTTAATTTTTTTGCCACCTATTTATTTTTGAGACAGCGTCTTACTCTGTTCCTCAAGCTGGAGTGTAGTGGTGCAATCATGGCTCACTGTGGCTAATTTTTAAATTCTTTGTAGAGACGGAGTCTCATCATGTTGCCCAGGCTGCTTTCAAACTCCTGGACTCGAGCGGTCCTCCCACCTCAGCCTCCTAAAGTGCAAAGATTACAGGCATGAGCCACCATGCCCGGCCTTCATTTTGAATGTAAAAAAAAAAAAACCAGATAATTTCATTTTACATACATAGCACGTTCATCCACTCATTGTTGATAAAATTTTAGAAATATTTGCTATACAAATTTAGTATTTGATTGGGAATGAATTTTTGTTTTGTTTTGTTTTGTTTTGTTTTGAGATGGAGTCTCGCTCTGTCGCCCAGGCTGGAGTGCAGTGGTACGATCTCAGCTCACTGCAACCTCAGCTTCCCAGGCTTAAGTGATTCTCCTGCCTCAGCCTGCCGAGTAGCTGGGATTACAGGCTTACGCTGCCACGCCCGGCTAACTTTTTATATTTTAGTAGAGACAGGGTTTCACTGTGTTGCCCAAGCTGGTCTCGAACTCCTGAGCTCAGGCAATCCACCAGCCTTGGCCTCTCAAAGTGCTGGAATTACATGTGTGAGCCACTGCGCCTGGCCGGGAATGAATATTACAGCATGATTTCTACAGGTACAGAGTTCCCATCCTCACCCTCATTCCTACCAATTCTGAGAAATTTTAAAAACATGGAAAAGTATAAAAAATAAGACTAGAGATCCATATACCACAGTACAGAATTAATCAGTATCTTCCTCTATTTACTTGTAGTCTTTTTTTTTTTTTTGACACGGAGTCTCGCTCTGTCGCCCAGGCTGGAGTGCAGTGGCATGATCTCGGCTCACTACTTGCAGTCTTTTTAAAGAAAAGATGTTTAGATACAAAGCTGAAGTCTCACACTCACTCTCTTCCCTTCTTCACTCTTTACAGGTGACCACTAGCAAGTATTGGGCTATATTCTTCCAAACCATTTCAGAAACATTTACGTACATACATGTATAGTATGTGTATAGTACTGAATTTTGTGAGGGAAATTTTAATTCAAATTTACAAAAAGTGGCTGAACATGGTGGCTCATGCCTATTACCTCACCCTTTGAGAGGCTGAGATGGGAGAATTGCTTGAGTCCAGGAGTTCCAGACCAGCCTGGGTAATGTAGCAAGACCCCGTCTCTATTTAAAAATAAATTAAAAATTAGGTCGAGTGCAGTGGCTCACGCCTGTAATCCCAGCCCTTTGGGAGGCCGAGGCGGGTGAATCACTTGAGGCCAGGAGTTGGAGACCAGCCTGGCCAACATGATGAAACACTGTCTGTACCAAAAAATACACAAAAAATTAGCTGGGCGTGGTGGCACGCACCTGTAGTCCCAGCTACTCAGGAGGCTGAGGTGGGAGAATCGCTTGAACCTGGGAGGTGGAGGTTGCAGCGAGCCGAGATCACGCCACAGCACTCCAGCCTGGGCGACAAAGTGAAATCCTGTCTCAAAAATAATTAATTAATTAAACAAATAAATAACACAAAACAGCAACACATTTACAGAAAGTCATTGTACTATATGCATCATTCTGCAACTTGATATTACCCCCCTCAACATGATTCTGAGATCTTCCTGTTAATACATGTGAATCTCAGGTGTTGCACTTACAGACATATATTATTCCATCATAAGGATTTCTTCTTTTTGATGTTTCCAATTTTTGGCTACTACAAATCAAACCATAGTAAATATCCTAGTACATATTTCCTGAGCATACACATTCAAAAGTAGAATTGCTAAGTATTTCTGAAGTTGTTACAAGGAATGTTTCCCTACTCCCAAAGTCATATAATTTTAATACATAGCTTTTTCAATGCCTGCTTTTCATCTCTGTGGATTTTACTTTTGTGTATGGTTCATGGTCTATTTTTCCCTACTTGGAGAACAGATTACCTCCAAACCATTTTTAAAAATCGTCCCATATTTCCTCCTATCCTGATTCACTTCTATCGTATTCCAAATTCAAATAATGCATAGGTCTCTTTCTGAAATCTGTTCTGCTCTGTTCAGTCAACACCACAAGAGTCTTATGTATTTATAGATGATCATATCTAATTTTGTGTCTTCCTTTCCAATGCTTACAACTTACTGCACTGGTGAAGATCTCCAGATCAATGCTGACAGCAATGCTAACAGGCATCTGTTTTCTGTTCCCAATTTTAGTGGAAATGTGTCTAAAGTTTCAGCATTGCCTTTGCTGTGGGTTTCTTTGTTGGACCCAGGCTTTTTTTGTTTTGTTTTATTTTGTTTTTGAGATGGAGTCTCTGTCGCCTAGGCTAGAGTGCAGTGGTGCCATCTTGGCTCACTGCAACCTCTGTCTCACGGGTTCTTGTGATTCTCCTGCCTCAGCCTCCCAAGCAGCTGGGATTACAGGCACCCGCTACCACACCCAGCTAATTTTTGTATTTTTGGTAGAGACAGGGCTCGCCATTTTGGCCAGGCTGATCTTGTACTCCTGACCTCAGGTGATCTGCCTGCCTCAGCCTCCCAAAGTGCTGGGATTATAGGCATGAGTCACTGCACCTGGCCAGACTCAGGCTTTTTATCATATGAATACCCTTCTCTTCAGAAGGACATTGAATTTTCTGATGTCCCACAAGTTACATACATAAAGTATCTGTTAAAATTTACCTTATTTGTGGTGCTTTGCTGCAAAATGATTATTTCTGATGCATTATGAGGTGTACATTCCTGATAAAAGCACTCCCATTTTCAAGGTTTTTATTAATTTTTTTTGTAGAGGCGGAGTCTCCCTGTGTTACCCAGGCTTGTCTCGAACTCCTGGGCTCAAGTGATCCTCCTGCCTCAGCCTTTAACGGTGTTGGGATTACAGGCGTGAGCCGTCATGTCCTGCTGGAGTTTTTAAACGAGTATGACTTTTCTGGAGTCTGATGTGGTGTGACTTCTGGCTGAAAGCTTCCCACATTCACCATACTGATAAAGCTTCCTACCTGTGTGTATTCTTACATACAGAGCAAGAGTTGAGAATTGGGAGAAAGCTTCCCCACAGCCATGGAAACCATAGGGCTGCTCACCTGCGGGGCTGCTCACACACACAGTAAGCAATGAACTGAGACAAGGCTTTTCCACAGTGAGTTCATAGGGTTGATCATCTGAAATCTCACATCTACAATAAGTGGTATTTGCTGACAGAAGATGTTTCCACATTCCTTACACTCATAGGATTTCTCTCCAGTATGGTTTCTTATGAGGTACTTCTTCTTCTGGCCAATAGCTGTTCCACATTCACTACATTTAAAGGGTTTCTCTCCAATATGAAATTTCTCTTGCTCAGTAAGGTTTGATTTTCCACTAAAGGTTTTTCCACACTCCTTATACACAAAGGGTTTCTCTTCTGTGTGCATTCTCTGGTACTGGATGAAGTTTGACTTCTGAATGAGAACTTTCCCACAGTCTTTACTCTCAAAAGGTCTCTCTTCAGTGCGAATTTTCTGACTGGTAGGGAGACTTTCCTTCTGGCAAAAGGATTTTCCACATTTGTTATATTCACAAAGCTTCTCTGTGGTTATGAGCGTTCAGATGGTTAATGACATACTGCTTTTAGTAAAGGCTTTTCCACATTCATTACATTCAAAGGGTTTCTCTCTAGTGTGAAAATGCTCATGCTCGGTGAAACTGACACGCGGCTGAAGACTTTCTCACATACCATGCAGGCAGAGGGGCTTTCCCCACATAAACCCTCTGCTGACTGAGAGGGATATCTAAACAAAAGCTTTCCTGCATTCACGAGGTTTCTCTCCAGTGTATATATTTTTTTTTTTGAGCAAGGATTTACTTTTGGCTGAAGATATTTCCACATTTCTTACATTTATAAGGTTTATCTGTGTAAGACCTTTCAAATGCAGAGTAAGGAATAAGGTGTGAGAGAAAATGTTCTCATATGTAGTACATTCAAAGCTTCCTCTGCAGTATAAATTGAATATTAATTCAATGACGTTTTTGCTGCTTTCACTGGCTTCTCTCCAGCATGAATTTTCTGCTGCTTTATGAGATTGGTAATCTAGCTAAAGGCTTTTCAGTATTCCTTAGAGGCACAGGGTTTCTCTTCAGTGTGACTTCTATATTCCATGAGATGGCATGTGAGTAAGTTTCCCCACATTTGGTAACTTCATAGTTTCTCTTCATTATGAATGCTCTGGTCTCAGATAGGGTACAAACTTTTTTACCCCATCAGAAGTAAAATGCCTTTTTAAACTGAAGACATTTTCACACTGATGTATGCTTAAAGGAGGTTAATATCATAAGGAGTAAACTGTGGTGGAGGGGTTCCAAATTAATTAAATGAATGATTCTTTCCTACACAACATCCCTCGTGATTAAGTCCAAACTGTGTTTCAAACTCAAAACTTCAAAAGTATATTTCCTTAAAAGAAATAAGGTCTGAGATCAGAGGAGGGAGCTTTCCACTTTTCTTTTTTTTGTTTTTATTTTTTTTGAGACAGGGTCTTGCTCTGTGGTGGAGTGCAGCGGCTTGATCTTGGCTCACTGCAGCCTGGACCTCAGGGGCTCAAGCAATCGTCTCACTTCAGTCCCCAGAGTAGCTGGGGCTACTGGCACACTCCACCACATCTGGCTAATTTTTAAATTTTTTTGTAGAGCTGGAGGTCTCACTATGTTGCCAAGGCTAGTTTTGACCTCCTGGGCTTATGCGCTCCTCTTGTTTCCGCCTTCTAAAGTGTTGGGATTACAGGCATGAGCCACCATGCCCAGCCTGCCTCCTAAGTCTTGTTGCCTCTCCATCTGCTAATCATGTTTTCAGGCTTCTGGATAGATTTCTTTTTGACTTCTTGCTCCACCATCCAGTTTGTCTTCTTGCTTCAGTAGGGGATCATATAACCTACTATTGGGGAAATGACACAGCACTCCAATGTTAATGCTAGGGCTGAAGTACCATCCTAGAGCTCAAGATGAGCCCTGGGGCCACCCTGCCTTCTCCAGGATGAAGATGACACAGTTTCCAAGTTTGCACAAGGAAGCAGCCCTATTGGGCAATTCCACTAGTAGCAATAGATTTTAGAGATACTCCTACTTTTTTTAAAAAATTAATTAATTATTTTTTGATTCTTTTTTAAAATTATACTTTAAGAAGTTCTAGGGTGCATGTGCACAACGTGCAGGTTTGTTACATATGTATACATGTATACATGTGCCATGTTGTATACATATGGCATATGTATACATGTGCCGTGTTGGTGTGCTGCACCCATTAATTCGTCATTTACATTGGGTATATCTCCTAATGCTATCCCTCCCCACTCCCCACCCCACCACAGGCCTCGGTGTGTGATGTTCCCCATCCTGTGTCCAAGTGTTCTCATTGTTCAATTCCCACCTATGAGTGGAGATACTCCTACTTTTACACCACATGGACCCAGGGGCCATACTGACCCTGCCAATAAAGATCAAAGTGTCTACCCATAATGGCATTTTTTTAAAAGCCAGCCAAATTTCGCAGTGGGGGGTTGTATACCAACTTTAGCAACACTAATGTTGATAAGTTCTGATAACCCACTACCATTGGGCCAGCCATGATAATGGTATTTTTTGATGTCCATTTCCTCCCTGTCCCCAGGTCCAGAGACTATTCTACCCTAGCAGGACCCGACACACACTTGGAGTCACGCAAGTGACTTCTGACTTCATTCCGACTCCACTCTAAGTCTCTGTTGGGTCCTCATCACTTCTGGCTCATCCATCACCAACAAGCCCTGGGCTTTACCAATTTTTAGAACAAACAGTCCCGCCCAAGGCCACCCCTCCTGGCCCAGGGTTCTATAAGAAAATTTTTCACCAACGTCCCCTGGAGAGTGAGGAGTTTAAAAAATGGTCCATGGTATGAGTCCATGATTTTACCACTGTGAGAAATAAACATGCAATATATCATTTTAACAGATCCAAGACTGGATTTTGTTTAAATAAAAAGGCCAAATTAATCACCTAAATTATTTAGAATTGCTTATGAGTCTTATAGTTTATTACTATTTACACTATTTTAAAGAATCCTAAATGTAAACATGGATATACAATTAAGTTGAATCCTAATTTAAATAACCAATGTTTTATAAATTCTGTTCTTGTAAATCTGAGACAAAACTGAAACTTATGTGAATCTGTGCAGCTATTCCATCTGCACTAACTGGGGAACATTTTTATTTGTTTAGTTTTTAGAGACATGGTCTTGCTATGTCACCTAATATTCTTGGCCTCAAGCTATGTACCGGTCTCTGCCTCTCAAAGTAATGGGATTATAGGCCTGAGCCACTGGGCCCCGCCCACCTGAATAGTTTTAAGGGGTCATATTTCACTGTCAGATTCTTAAGATTAACAGTGATTGCATCATTCTTTAATGATAATTTGATTATGTTATCCAAAATGAACTGACTTAAGGATCTTGGACTCATACAACATTGAAATAATTAGTAATCACTGTTTACCTGGAAGCCTTCAAAGAAATTAAAATTCGGGGAAGAGAAGTAAATAAAATTCATAATAGCCATAGACTGTTCAAATGAATTTTAATCTGAATATATATTTTAATAATTTGAGCTTTATTCATAAATAAGACTCCATAAAGTTAAAAGCAGGACCAGTTCCTGTTTTAAAAAGGGAATATATAAATGCAACATGCCATTTTATTTATAATTGCAAATTAGGTTATTTTAGATGGATGAGAATTGAGATATCATTAAATCCCATTCCTGCCTCTCAGATCCCACAAAATAATAGAGCACCAAGTCCTCAGATCTAAGCAATCATAGCAGATTCCAAATGGCCTCTGAATATTGGCGGGAACAGCCCAGTTTCTTCTCTTGCAATAAAGGTGCTTCATTTGGTAAACAAGGGAACACGGCATTCAGATTCCTACATGATTATGTCATAGAAGTAACTTCCATGTCTTCATTCGCAGTGTGTATTCTCACCTTTATTTCCCATTCAGTAACACTGCCAGTTTCATCATCTTTCCTTTCAACTTTATTTACGAGACGATGCTGATTGCAGACAGCATATAACAGAGGCATTTCAAATCAAACAGTAGAGTTACTTGAGATATACTCGATTTTAGTTTTAAGCTGAATAACTTCCTGGAGAGTTTTAGTTACAATACCACAGTAATGATGATGGTAGAAAAATTTACAATAAACATTTGGCAAAATGTTAGGTTACAAGGCAGTCATCACCTAAAAACACTTCATCAGGTGGCATACACGAATTGTGAAATATCGTGGATTTAAGCCTGGCATAGAACCAAAACTGGGTGGGTTGGACTTGAACAGCTGCTCAATCCCCAGCACAGGTCGATATCAAGGAGTGAACCAGAAAGAGTCCTTTTAACCCCAGGAAAGTCTTCATTTGCCGAGATTGGAAACTGAATCTTACTCAGAAAACAGTTACGGGCCGTACAGTGACTCACGTCTGTAATCCCAGCACTTTGGGAGGCAGACACAGATGAATCATTTAAGGTCAGGAGTTTGAGACCAGCCTGGCCAACATGGTGAAACCCTGTCTCTACTAAAAATACAAAAATTAGCTGGGCGTGGTGGCACATACCTGTAATCCCTGCTACTCCAGAGGCTGAGGCAAGAGAATCGCTTGAACCCAGGAGGCGGAGGTTGCAGTGAGCCCAGATTGGACCACTGCATTCCAGCCCGGGCAACAGAGCAAGACTCTATCTCAAAAAAAAAAAAAAAGAAAAGAAAAGAAAAGAGAAAAAAAAAGAAAACAGTTATGTATTTTTGACTATGTATTTGTTCTTTATGATGTTCAAATTAAGATAATAAAGCCAAGTCTTAAAATCATTGCTCCAAAATAGTACCTTTGGGCTGGGGGCGGTGGCTCACGCCTGTAATCCCAGCACTTTGGGAGGCCGAGACAAATAGATCATCTGAGGTCAGGAGTTCAAGACCAGCCTGGTCAACATGGTGAAACTCCGCCTCTACTAAAAATACAAAAAAATTAGCTGGGTGTGGTGGCACACTCCTGTAGTCCCAGCTACTCTGGCAGCTGAGACAGGAGAATCGCTTGAACCTGATAGTGCCACTGCACTCCAGCTGGGGAAGACAGAGAGAGACTCCATCTCAAAAAACAAAACAAAACAACACAAAACAAAACAAAACACGAAATAGCACCTTTGCATTAACTTTAGCGTTTGTAAGCACCACCTGGAGAATCTATTAAAATACAGATTTGTGGGCCTGGCCAGCTGGGCACAGTGGCTCACGCCTATAATTATAGCACTCTGGGAGGCCAAGGCGGGTGGATAACCTGAGGTCAGGAGTTTGAGACCAGCTTGGCCAACATAGTGAAACTCCGTCTCTACTAAAAATACAAAAATTAGCCAGGCACGGTGGCTGCATGCCTGTAGTCCCAGCTACTTGGGAGGCTGAGGCAGGAGACTCACTTGAACCCGGGAGGTGGAGGTTGCAATGAGCCAAGATCACGCCACATTCCAGCCTGGGCGACAAAGCAAGACTCCATCTCAAAAAAAAAAAAAAGCTTTCAACAAATAATCATTTAAGCATGTTGTTTGGTGTGACTATATAAATGTGTAGATGTACACACTTATCTACCAATGCATAATAAAATTATTGAATATAAGGAATGTATAAAAGAGATACTGGTAGCTCAGAGAAAAAGGAATTGGGCTCTGGGTATATGATCTGTCTTCAAAATTCTGTACAAAAATATTCTTTATTTTTCATCTCTTAAGACAGGGATCTCACTCTGTCACCCAGGCTGGAGTGCAGTGGTGCAATCATAGCTCACTGCAGCCCGGAACTCCTGGGCTCTAGAGATCCTCCCACCTCAGCCCTCAGAGTAGCTGGGACTACAGGCATGCACCACCATGCCCGACTAATTTTTGTTTTTTTGTTTTTTTTTGGTAGAGATGAGGTTTTGCCATGTTGCCCAGGCTGGTCTCGAAGTCCTGGGCTCAAGCTCTCTGCTGGCCTTGGCCTCTCAAAGTGCTAGGATTACAGGCGTGAACCACTAACCCTGGCTCCGCTAATTTTTAAAATAATGTTTTTAGGTTGGGAATGATTGCTTGTGGGTGGAGTCAGTGGAGGGAAACTATGGTCAGGCACAGTGTGGCTAATCCCTGTAATCCCAGTGCTTTGGGAGGCTTCGGCAGAAGGATTGCTTGAGGCCAATCAAAGTTGGAGACCAGCCTGGGCAACAGAGTGAGGTCCTGTCTTTAAATAATAATAGCTATATATATATTTTTTTATTTTATTTTATTTTATTTTTAAACTGAGTCTCGCTCTGCAGCCAGGCTGGAGTGCAGTGGCACGATCTTGGCTCACTGCAACCTCGGCCTCCCAGGTTCAAGTAATTCTCCTGCCTCAGCCTCCCGAGTAGCTGGGACTACAGGTGCATGCCACCATGCCCAGCTAATTTTTGTATTTATAGTAGAGATGGGGTTTCACCATGTTGGCCAGGATGGTCTGAAACTCTTGACCTCATGATCCGCCTGCCTTGGCCTCCCAAAGTGCTGGGATTACAGGCGTGAACCACCGTGCCTGGCCTAATAGCAGTAAATTTAAAAAGCAAATTAAATCAATAATAATTTTCTAAGGACATGGCCTCACTCTGTTGCCCAGTCTGATCTGGAGCTCCTGGCCTGGAGATCTACAGCCTCAGCATCTTGAGTAGCTGAGATTACACGCATGAGCCACCACAGGCTTTTATCCCTTCTTCCTGTG
This sequence comes from Homo sapiens, assembly GCF_000001405.40. Lineage (NCBI taxonomy): Eukaryota > Metazoa > Chordata > Mammalia > Primates > Hominidae > Homo > Homo sapiens. The sequence continues at coordinate 44,157,651 of NC_000001.11, forward strand.
CTGTCTCATGAAGCTACTCTCTGAGAGTGTTAACCTTTGGGTTGACTTGCATTACATTTTTGGATAGTCCAACTTGGGACATCTTTGAAACCATAAGGCATCTTCCATTTGAAGGAATATTTCTAATAATCCTCATGTAACTTTCTGTTGATATGTAATAAAAATATTCTCACTGATTAATAACATAGGCAAAAGTGTGGCTGTTGCTCATTGTCAAGTCACCTTTGGTCTTATCTCTGTGAACTGACCAGTTCTTTCTCGCCACTTTTCCTGATACTGCCTCTCTCTATGATCATGGTTTCTCTTGCACCCAGGCTCTTTTTGCCTGTGTCCCACCCAGATGGCCACTTAATAGCATCAAAGATTTGCTTCCTCATCTTGCTTGGGCATCCAAAGGCAATGTGCCCTCAAAGGCATTCTAGAAACAATTTGCTACAATCCAACTTCTTCTGTAGTTGTTCAACAGTACACTAAAAACTGCCTTGTCATTTTTACAATGTGGGAAAAACTGGCAAGACAAAGAGAAAAACATTAGGGGTGCCATAAGGTTGTTTCTACCCAGAAAAGTACTAAGTTATCTTCATATCATATTCCCTGGGTAAGGCACTTCACCTCTGTGGAATTCTTCCCCCAAATCTATAACCTCAGGCTAATCATGAAAAACCCAAACTGAGGGACATTCTAAAAGAATATGTGACCATGGCCAGGCATGGTGGCTCATGCCTATAATCCCAGCACTTTTGGAGGCCAAGGCAGGTGGATCACTTGAGGTCAAGAGTTTGAGACCAGCCTGGACAACATGGAGAAATCCCGTCTCTACTAAAAATACAAAAATTAGCCAGGCATGGTGGTGCACACCTGTAATCCCAGCTACTGGGAAGGCTAAGGCAGGAGAATCGCTTGAACCCAGGAGGCAGAGGTTGCAGTGAGCCGAAATTGCACCACTGCACTCCAGCCTGAGCGACAGAGCAAGACTCTCCATCTCAAAAATAAATTAATTAATATAATATAATATGATATGTGACCAGCACTCTTCAAAAATGTCCAGGTCATGAAAGTCGAGGCAACACAGAGAAACTCATAAACTGGTGGAGAGTGAGGAAACATGCCAGTTAATGCTATGTGGTATCTTGGCCTGGATTCTGCAAAAGAAAAAAGAGGCTAGTGGACAAACTGTTTTAAACCAAATATAGCCCTCTTAGTCAATCCAGTTAAAGGTTTGTCAATTTTGTTAATGTTTTAGAACAACCAGTGTTAGGTTTCCTTAATTTTCTATTTCTGTTTTCTATTCTTTATTTCATCTCTGCTCTAATCTTTGTTATTTCCTTCCTCTTGCTAGTTTTGTGTTAGTTTGCTGTTCTTTTTCTAACTATTAAAGTCTAAAGTTAGGTTGTTGATTTATGATCTTTCTTTCTTTCTTTCTTTCTTTCTTTCTCTCTCTCTCTTTCTTTCCTTCTTTCTCTTTGTTTTTCTTTTCTCTTTCTTTTTCTTTCTCTCTCTCTCTTTTTTTTTTTTTTTTTTGGAGACAGGGACTCACTCTGCTGCCCAGGCTGGAGTGCAGTGTTACAATCACAGCTCACTACAACCATCCAGGCTCAGCCAGATCCTCCCACTTCAGCCTCCTGATAACTGGGACTACAGGTGTGCACCACCACACCCAGCTAATTTTTGTATTTTTTGTAGAAACAGGGCTTTGCCATGCCCAGGCTGGTCTCAAACTCCTGGACTTAAGGAATCCACCCATCATGGCCACCCAAGTGCTGGAATTACAGATGTGAGTCACAGCACATGGCCTGATTTGAGATCTTTCTTCTTTTTTAATGTTAAGTATTGTCAGCTATATATTACTCCCTTCGCACTGCTTTTGCTACATCACATAAGTTTTCATATTGTCATTAGGTATTTTCATTTATTGTGCAAATGAAAATAGTGTGTTCTTAATCCCATTTGTCTCTATCTCCTAATTTCTCTAGGCTTTCTTGTTTGACACATTGATTATTTAAGAGTGTGTTTTTTAATTTCCACAGATTTGTGCATTTTTCAGTTTTTATTCTGTTACTGATTTTTAACTTACCTTTGTGGTCAGATAAGGTACTTTGTATCATATTTATTTTTAAAAAATCTACTGAGAATTGATTTGCGGCCTACTCTATGGTCTATATTAGAGAATGCCCATGTACGCTTGAGAAGAATGTGTATTGTGTTGTTGTTGGGTTGGGTGTTCTGCCTATGTCTGTTAGATCTAGTTGGTATATCGTGTTGTTCAGGTCCTCTGCTTCTTTCCTTATTTTCTGTCTGATGGTTCTATCCATTATTGAGAGTGGGGTATTGAGGTCTCCGATTTTTTCTTTCTTTCTTTTTTTTTTTGAGAGGGAGTCTTGTTCTATAGCCCAGGCTGGAGTGCAGTGGCACCATCTGATCTCATCGGCTCACTGCAACCTCCACCTCCTGGGTTCAAGCGATTCTCATGCCTCAGCCTCTGAGTAACTGGGATTACAGACATGTACTACCACGCCCAGCTAATTTTTGTATTTTTAGTAGAGACAGTGGTTTCTGCCATGTTGGCCAGGCTGGTCTCAAACTCCTGGCCTCATGTGATCTGCCCATCTTGGCCTCCGAAAGTGCTGGGATTACAGGCATGAGCTACCAGGCCCAGCTGATGTCTCTGACTATTATTGTAGAGCTGTTTCTTTCTCCCTTCAATTCTATCAGTTTTTGCTTCATATATTTTGATGGTCTGTTGTTAAGTGCATAAATGTTTATAATTGTTTTATCTTCATGCTTTATTTTACCTTTTATTAATATGTAATCCCTTTCTTTGTCTTGTGTAAACTTTTTTGATTTAAAGTCTGTTTTGTGTGATGTTAGTATAGACACCCCACTCTCTTTTGTTTACTATTTGTATGTAATATCTTTTTCCATCCTTTTACTTTCAACCTATTTGTGTCTTTATCTAACATGATTTCTTGTAGACATCATATACTTGATTCATGTTTTTTATACATTATGCTGATTTCTGTATTTTGATTGGAGAGTTTAATCCGTTTACATTTAAAGTATCTACTGACAAAGAGGGATTTAATTGTGCCCTTTTGCTTTTGTTTTCTATATGCCTTATACCCTTTGTGTTCTTCATTTCTTGCATTACTGTCCTGTGTTTAGTTAAGATTTTTGTAGTGAAAAGTTTTAAATGCTTGTGTGTGTGTGTGTATCCTTTTGTACATATGTTATGGATATTTTCTCTGTGGTTATCATGAAAATTACATTTGACATCCTAAAATTATAACACTAATTTGAATTTATTTATTTATTTATTTATTGAGATGGAGTCTTGCTCTGCTGCCCAGGCTAGAGTGCAGTGGTGCAATCTCAGCTCACTACAACCTCTGCCTCCCGGGTTCAAGCGATTCTCTTGCCTCAGCCTCCCGAGTAGCTGGGATTACAGAAGTGTGCAACCACGGCTAACTTTTGTATTTTTAGTAGAGACGCAGTTTTGCCATGTTGGCCAGGCTAGTCTTGAACTCCTGACCTCAGGTGATCTACCTGCCTTGGCCTCCCTAAGTGCTGGGATTACAGGCATGAGCCACCGTGCCCAACCTAATTTGAATTTATACCACCTTAACTTCAAAGGCATACAAAAACTCTGCTCCTATGCAGTTCTGTGCCCATCCCTTTCAGTTACTGATGTCATAAAATTACATTTTTGTGCATTGTATGTCCAAAAACACAAGCTTCTTAGTGATTTTTTTAATGCTTAGTCTCTTAAATAATATAAACAAAATGTGGTGTTTTAAATCAAAGTTACAGTAATACTAGCTTTTATAATGGTATATGTATTTTTTTTTTTTTGTAGAGATGGGGTCTCACTATGTTACCCATGCTGGTGTCAAACTCTTGGGCTCAAGTGATCCACCTATATTGATCTCCCAAAGTGCTGGGATTACAGTTATGAGCCACCATGGCTGGCCTCTTAATTTCTTCTTCATTTTTGATGGACAGTTTTGCCAGGTAAAGGATTCTTGCTTGACAGTTTTTTCCTTTCAACATTTTGCATATATTGATCCACTGGCTTCTGGCCTCCACAGTTTCTGGTAAGAAATCAGGAGACAATCTTATTCAGAATCTCTTGTATGTAAACAGTTGCTTCTTCCTTGCTGTTTCCAAGATTTTCTCTTTGCCTTTGGCCTTTCACAGTTTGACTATAATATTTCCTGGTGGGACCTCTCTTGAGTTTATTCCACTTCAACTTTGTTGAGCAACTTGGATGTTTGTATTCATGTTTTTCACCCAGTTTGGGGCATTTCTAGCCCTTATTTCTGCAAAAAAAAAAAAAAAAAATTCCTTTTTCCCTTTCCCTCTTTTTCTTTTGAAACTCCTACAGTGCATATGTTGGTCTGAATCTTTCTTCTACCTACTCACATCTGCTTTTGGAATCCCTTTAGTCAAATTTACATTGTAGTTATTGTACTTTTCAGCTCCAGAATTTTTTGTTCCTTTTTATGTTTTTTCTTTATTTTTCAATAAATATTGAAAAATTTTTTCATTTTATTCATATATCATTTTCTTGACTTTGTCCACTTCTTCGTTTAGCTCTTTGAGCATCTTTAAGACAGTTGCTGAGGAATGTTTTCTGTTGACATTTTTTTCCTTAGATGGGCCATACTTTAATGTTTCTTTGTATGTCTTGTGATTTTGTTGTTGTATTTGAAAACTGGACTTTTGAATCTTATAATGTGGTAACTCTGGAAATAAAATTCTCTCCTTCCCCAGGGTTTGCTTTCTTTTTTGGCACATGGATAAAAAAGGCATGCTGTTTTATTTTATTTTATTTTCATGGTTGTATGGTGTCTCTAAGCTGGGGATAAGATTGAGAAATAAATTGAAGGTCTTCTCTGAGTCTATGCCTTTCCCTGGACATGCATGGTGACTTTCCCTATTCCCTTGTGTATGTAGTTACTTCGGATGTCCTAGTCCTTAAATGTCTGGCCCCTAAAAGGGGGAAAAGGGAAAGATGAAGGGGAGGAAAGCCAGTCATTGGCTTTTTAAGTCTCCTGGAAGTCACTTTTCCAGTGTGGATTGTAAAAATGACAATGGGGGTTACAACAATGGCAGCTCACTTCTGTGACTACACCTCTACCATCAGAAGCAGCAATCAGGGATCAAAACATAGATCCCAGATACATGGAAGACAAGGTTCTTATTGCCTACCCTGGCTCCTGCAAGCCAAGTCCAAGTTGCTCCAAAAGTGTGAGAGCTGAAATTGACTGAAATTAGCCACAGTCTTCCCCTGGAAGTTGCAACCCTTGTGATAGATTCCAGAGTTCCAACATAGTTATATTAGACAGATTCTGTCAGTACAATTGACTAGGTAGAGAGATTGATTCCTGATGTTTTCTACTCTGCCACCTTCCCTGATGTCATTATGATCTTATTATTTTATTTTGAGACAGGTTCTCACTCTATCACCCAGGCTGGAGTGCAATCACAGCTCACTGCAGCCACAATCTCCCGGGCTCAAGTGATCCTCCCACATCAGCCTCCTGAGTAGCTGAGACTACAGGCACCGTGCAACCAGGCCCAGCTAATTTTTTTGTTGTTGTTGTATTTGTGTAGAGACAGGGTTTTCACACGTTGCCCAGGCTGGTCTTGAACTCCTAAGCTCAACCGATTTACCCACCTCAGCCTCCCAAAGTGCCAGGACTATAGGCATGAGCCACTGCACCCAACCCTTATTACTTTGTATTTACTCCTTTCAATAGTTATTTCTCACTTGTCATTTATTTGGTTTTTATTGTTGTTGTTGTTGTTGATTTGTTTTTGAAACAAGATCTCACTCTGTTGCCTAGGCTGTGCAATGGTGCGGTCACAACTCACTGCAGCCTCAACCTCCTGGGCTCAAGCAATCCTCCCGCCTCAGTCTCCCAAGTAGCTGGGACTAGAGGCATGTGCTACCATGCCCAGCTAATTTTTAATTTGTTTTGTAGAGACAGGGTCTCATTATGTTGCCTAGGTTGGCCTTGAACTCCTGAGATCAAGCAGTCCCCTCACCTTCGCCTCCCAAAGTGCTGGGATTATAGGCATGAGCCACTGCATCCCACCCGCTTGTCATTTCTTATTTGTTTATGCTATATAATTGTTTTCTATAGCTTTGATATTTTTCAAAGAATTAATTTTTAATTGCTTGATTAGCATACTTTTTATTATGTAGACTTTTCTGTTTTCTGATCAATATTTCCTGTTTTCATATTTAGCAATTTCATCCTTCTGTATTTTTTCAATTTGCTTCACCATTCTTTTCTTTTTTGAGTTGTGTGTTTAATCCATTTATTTTAATCCACTTATCAATCATTTATTTTTGTTTTCTTCTAATAGGTCTTTTAAGCTCATTTGCATTTATTGATACAATGGATTTGTTTAGTCCCTGTTATATTATTTTGTATTATCTTTTCTGAATTTTCTATTTTTACTATACTCTGTTGTGTTTCCTTTGCTCATTTTCGTTCTTTAAAAAAAAAATCAGAGCAGCTGAACCACCGCAAATGGTACAAATAACAGATTTATTATAGGTACTAGGCCTTATATAACTTTAGGATTTAGTGAATAAGTCTTTGTAAGACTTGCCTCTGTGACTGATGCTGGTCTGAAGTCAGCAGGGCCAGCAGTAAGGAAGGGAAGATGGATGTGAAGTTAGGAAATCAGGGACGGGCAAATGGGAACTTCTGAGGACAAACTAGAATGGCATTAAATCTCATGTCTCAGGTCTCAGTGTTGTAGGTGACCTGCAGGAGAAACTGGTTCTCTTCCCCATTGGTAGCACACACACCTGGCCCAGGATTCAGAGAAGCTGAGAGAGATCGGACAGGAGCTGGGGTAGCAGCTGGTCTGGCTGTCCCACTGCAACAAAGTGAGCAGTATATCAGGAACAATGCAACTGTAATTGTATCTTGTGGCCAATCCTAACTCAGAATGATACAGGGAAGGACATTTGGAGAAACCGTTTAAATGGATTTAGCTAAACTGAAACATCACAAAGTCCGTGTGTGTGTGTGTGTGTGTGTGTGTGTGTGTGTGTGTGTGTAAACTGTAATTGTATCTTGTGGCCAATCCTAACTCAGAATGATACAGGGAAGGACACTTGGAGAAACCGTTTAAATGGATTTAGCTAAACTGAAACATCACAAAGTCCGTGTATGTGTGTAAAATTTAAGGTTTTAATTTTTTCTAATTGTTGTATTTTATATGTTCAGTTCCCACTTTCCTTTAGGCAATGGCTTAAACAAAAAATTTTTAAAAAAATATTTCCTGTAAGTTGTTACTTTTTTTTAGAGATGGGATCTCACTATGTTGCCCAGGCTGGTCTTGAACTCCTGGGCTCAAGCAATCCTCCCACCTTGGCCTCTCAAAGTGCTAGGATTACAGGCATGAACCACTAGGCCTGGCCTCCTTTAGACAATGTCTATTGTTATAAAACTAACTTGTGCTGGGCACAATGGCTTATGCTTGTAATCCCAGCACTTTGGGAGGCTGAGACAGGCAGATTGCTTGAGGTCAGGAGTTCAAGACCAGCCTGGCCAACATGGTGAAACCCCATCTCTACTAAAAATGCCAAAAATTAGCTGGGGGTGTGGTGGTGTGCGCCTGTAGTCCCAGCTACTAGGGAAGCTGAGGCAGGAGAATCGCTTGAACCCAGGAGGAAGAGGTTGCAGTGAGCTGAGATTGTGCCATTGCACTCCAGGCTGGATGACAGAGCAAGACTCCTCAAAAAAAGAAAAAAGAAAGAAAAAAAAAACTAACTTGTAACCTCTTCCTCAGTCTTCCCTCTTTTTCCCCCACCATCCAAAGTTTAGTTTTTCTTTGTACTTTCAAATAAACCTAGGCTTCCATTTTTTGATTTTTCAGCTTTATGTAGTATCTTGTGACATATAGCTGTTGCCTCTGAATCAGTTAATGAGTGTCTGGGCTTTCTGTCTTCTCCCACTTTTTTTTTGTTTGTTTTGTTTTGTTTTTTGTTTTTCATTTTTGTTTTTTTTTTGAAGTGGAGTCTCTCTCCGTCCCCCAGCCTGGAGTGCAGTGCTGCGATCTCGGCGCCCGCTGCATGCTCTGCCTCCCGGGTTCACGCCATTCTCCTGTCTCAGCCTCCCGAGTAGCTGAGACTATAGGTACCCGCCACCACGCCCGGCTGATTTTTTTTGTATTTTTAGTAGAGACGGGGTTTCACCGTGTTAGCCAGGATGGTCTCGATCTCCTGACCTCGTGATCCGCCCGCCTCGGCCTCCCAAAGTGCTGGGATTACAGGCAGGAGCCACCGCGCCCGGCTTCTCCCACTTTTTAAGTGATATTATTTCCATTTTGACAGAGTATATCAGATTTTCATATTAGTTACTATCCTTACCTCCACATTTGTTTTAGCCTCACATTTTCAGCTAAACACAGTCAAGGTTTGCCACAAATATTTTTGCCAAAGTTTTCCCAATTATCTTTTCTAGCCCATTCCCTCTTAGGTTCATCAAGAAGAGGCAATGGGAACAATATTCTCCAAGTTCTGTCATGTTTAAAATTGCTCTCCTACAGCCTTGATATTACAAGTTAACTTATCCACAGTGTCTTTCCTATGTTTTCTTGTATTGAACGTTTATGTCAAGAACATAATGTCAATATATGTATCATGGTCCATGGCTATTCCTGCACACTTTTGGTTTCTGTTTGTGTGGATTTTTTCCCCATCCCTTCATGTCTTGTTTTGTTTGTTTGTTTGTTTTTGTTCTTTTGAGACTGAGTTTCGCTCTTGTCACCCAAGCTGGAGTGCAATGGTGTGATCTCAGCTCACTTCAACCTCCGCCTCCCAGGTTCAAGCGATTCTCCTGCTTCAGCCTCCCGAGTAGTTGAGATTACAAGCATGCACCACCACGCCTGGCTAATTTTTGTATTTTTAGTAGAGATGGGATTTCACCACATTGGCCAGGCTGGTCTCGAACTCCTGACCTCAGGTGATCTGCCCATCTCGGCCTCTCAAAGTGCTCGGATTACAGGCATGAGCCACTGTGCCTGGCCTCTCATCCTTTCATGTCTATGTATGTCTTTTTTTTTTTTTTTTTTTTTTTTTGAGACAGAGTCTTGCTCTGTCACCCAGGCTAGAGTGCAGTGGCGTGATCTCTGCTCACTGCAACTTCTGCCTCCCGGGTTTAAGGGATTCTCCTGCCTCAGCCTCCCGAGTAGCTGGGATTATAGGCACCCGCCACTGTGCCCGGCTAATTTTTGTATTTTTAGTAGAGATGGGGTTTCACCATCTTGGCCAGGATGGTCTCAAACTCCTGACCTCAAGTGATCCACCCGCCTCAGCCTCCCAAAGTGCTGGGATTACAGGCATGAGCCACCACACCCAGCCCTATGTATGCCTTTACAGGTGAAGTGAGTTTTCTGCAGGTGGAACAGGTGGGTCTTGTTTGGGTTGTTTGTTTTTTTTTTAAATCCTTTCAGCCAGTTTATGTTTTTCAATTGAGGAATTTAAATCATTTACAATCAAGGTTGTTATTGATAGGTGAAAGTAAAATACTCCTGTCATTTTGTTAGTTGTTTTCTGATTGTTTTGTATATCTTATGTTCCTTTCTTCATCTTTTATTGTTTACCTTTATGATTTGGTGTTTTTTTATAGTGATAATGTTTGAGTCCTTTCTTTTTCTCATTTGCCTATCCTCTCCACCAGTGAGTTTTATACTTTCATGATAGTTATTGTCCTTTTTCTTTCAGATGTAGGACTTCCTTAAGCATTTCTTGTAGGGCCAGTGTAGTGATGATGAATTCCCTCAATATTTCTTTTTCATTTTTGAAGAATAGCTTTGTTGGATATAGTACGCTTGTCTGAAAATTCTTTTCTTTTTGCACTTGGAATATATCATCCCATTCTTTCCTGGCCTGTACAGTTTCTGCTGAGAAATCCACTGTTAGTCTGATGGAGATTTCCTTATATGTGACTTGATGCTTTTTGCTTGTTGTGTTTAGAATTCTCTGTCTTTTACTTTATTTTTTATTTTTTTGAGATGAGGTCATGCTGTGTTGCCCAGGCTTGAGTGCAGTGGCTACTTTACAGGCACAATCATAGCACACTACAGCCTCAAACCCCTGGCCTCAAGCCTCCCAAGTAGCTGCCTCCACTTCCCAAGTAGCTGGGATTACAGCTGTGTGCCCAACATCTTTGACTTTTGATAGTTTGATGACAATGTGCTTTGATGAAGACTATTTTGGGGTTGAATCTATTTGGGGATCTTTAAGCTTTCTGTATTTGGTTATCTATATCTCTTACAAGACTTTAAAAGTTTTCAGCTATTATTTTGTTAAATAGGTTTTCTATGCCTTTGCCCATCTCTTCTCCTTCTGAAATTGCCAAAGTTTGAATATTTGGTTGCCCTATGGTATCTCATATGTCATCCATGCTTTCTTCATTCTTTTTTCATTTATTTTTTTTCTGACTGGCTTATTTCAAATGACCTGACTTCAAGTTCTGAAATTCTTTCTTGTGTTTGATGTAGTTTATTGTTAAAGCTCTTGAATGAATTTTTTTATTGATTCATTGAACTGTTTGGTTCCAGGATTTCTGTTTGTTTTTTATATCTTTGTTGAATTTTATTTCTTTGTTGAATTTCTCATTCAGATCATGAATTGTTTTCCTGATTTCTTTCTATCATTTATCTGTGTTCTCTCGTATCTCACTGAGTTTCTTTAATATCATTATTTTGTATTCTTTTTCAGGCTATTTTATAGATTTCCTCTTCTTCGTGTTGCTACTGGAGAATTATTGTCTTCATTTGGAAGCATCATGTTTCCTTGCTTTTTCATGTTTCTTGTGTCCTTATATTGATATCTGCACGTCTGGTGTAACAGTTACTTATTCCAGTTTTACAGATTGGCTCTTGTAGGGGAAGGCTCTTTCCTAGAGCTGCTTCTACAGTTGGTTGGCAGGGTACTTTGGCTTTGACTCTGGGTGGATGCAGTAGTGTAGTCTCCATGTGATGTCTTCATCTATAATCAGCATCAGTGGTGGTTGTGGGTTCCTCGGTGGCTTAGGATGTGGTTATTAGTAGGGGCTGTGACAAGACTTTCCTGCGGAAGGGGATACCAGTTGAGCCAATTCTCAACTGCCAGTGGTGGCAGTGGTGGGCCAAGTGTGCCAGTCCTCAGGCCCTTGATGGTGTATGTAGGTGCTGGCAGTGGTGGGTATGAGCAGACCAGTGTTTAGGCTTCCAGGTGGCATGCTTAGGTACCAGCGGTGGCAGTAGTGAGCTGAGTGGGTACGCCCTTGCACCCCCAGGTGGTGTGCGTGGCATTGGTGGTGGTAGTAGCAGCAGTGGACAACCCTTAGGCCCTGGAGCAGGATGCATAGCAGTCAGTGCTGGTGGTGAGCTGGGAGGGCCAGTCCCTTGTCCCCTGAGAGGTACACATGTAATCTGGTGGTGGGCGGGCCTGTCCTTATGCCCCTAGATGGCATACACATGCACCAGTGGTGGAGGGCAGGGTGGCCAAATTATCCCCAGGCCCCTGGATAGTGTCAGTGGGTGGTGGTGGCAGCAGAGACAGATCCATCCTGAGATCCCTGGATGATGCACGTGGGTGCCAACCCCCCTCCTCCAGCATAAGGACAGTACACAGGTGGGCTGTTCCCCAGGCTTCCTGTAAAGGCACATGCGGTGCATGGTGGCCCTTCTTCGGAAAGGAGTGGGGTTGCTGTCAGTGGCAGTGGCCCTGGGGCAGGCAGCACTCAGGCTCTGGGAAGTGCATGCTTTGGCTCCCTCTGTCCCAGGTCAATCTTCCTGGTGCACTGCTTTGCCTGTTCCCTAGGGTGTAGAACACTACGTGGGCTAGAGTGCCGGCAATGCAGCAACACTGCTGGCGTCTCAATGCTACAGCCTTCTGAGGATGTGAGGGGATGTCACTAGGGTCCAGGGATGTGGAAGTGCAGGGGCTGTTGGGCCCCAGGGCAGGATGCAGTCTGGTGGGGGCTGAGCTCTCAAGCGGCCCTATGCTGCAGCTGCTTGGGTTTCGGGGGGGATGCAGGACTGAGCGTGAACTCCCTCTCTGAAACAATGTCATCACGTGTCTCCAGGCAGCTCCCTATTCTAGTCTCAGGGCTTGCAAGAGCCAAAGGGCCTTCCCATGGCTAGGCTTGCAGGAGTCTGCAGTGGGAACGTAGCTTGCTGGGGATCTCTCAACGTCTCCCTGCAATTGGGAGCTGTGAGCCGATCCTGGCAGGCCCAGCTGCTTTACTTCTCTAGCTTTCCGTGCCTCAGAGATTCCCTGCGACTTCCCTGATGAATTCCAGTGTTCTCTCTTAGAAGCTCTATTTGACATGTGGTTATCTACTTGCTGTGTTGGTCGTTCTTTGTGGAGGAGGCGGGTGCCTGGCACCTCTAGTCAGCTATCTCGAATCCCCTCTTCAGGGTTTTTATAATCTCTTGGAGTCTAGTAGCAAGCTAGTTCTCAAAGGAAGAGTGTACCGAAGAGGACATGCTTTCCAAATGATGCTCTATCCAATAGAGGAAAGCTGGGCTCCACTGGAAATTTCAAATGAATTGTCCTGTAGCCTTAATGTACTTATGTTAATATCAAACCAGAGATTCTCAAACCAAAGGCCCTAAAGCTCTCATAGTTTCATTGTTTTAACTAGTCAAATAAGAGATTACTTCAGGCTTCAATGTTTTCCCCCATTTTCTCCTATTGATTAAGAAGAAGAAGAAAAAAGAGGAAAGGAGTATTAGAGAGCCTGTGATACAATAAGAAATACACATCTGGTCTTTGTCCTCAGTTGCTGACACAGAGTTTCCAAAACTTGGAATTTTCTGAGTCATGGGGGTGATAGGGCATCTTTTGTTATTCATAAAAAGCCCTTTTCAACCATACTTGAGTTTATGCTGGTAAGGTGACTCTTGGTGGCCCCTGGTAGCTAGGGGGCTGGCGGTCAGAGGAACCAGTCTTGTGATTAGAAGGTTGGAACTTTCAGCCCCATCCCCAGACCTCTAGGGGGAGGAGCTGAGCTGGAGATTGAGTTAATCACCAGTGGCCAATGATTTAATCAATTATGCCTTTGTAATGAGGCCTCTGTAAAAATCCCGAAACAATGGGGTTCAGGACCATCTGGGTCAGTGAACGCATCCCTGTGCCAGGAGGATAGTGCATCTCAAACTCCACGGAGACAGAAGCTCCTGAGCTCAGCACCCTTCCAGACCTCGCCCTACGTGCCTCTTCGTTTGGCTGCTCACTGGTATCCTTTATAATATCCTTTATAATAAACCAATAAACCAAGTAAAGTGTTTCCCTGAGTTTTGTGGGCCATTTTAGCAAATTATCAAAAGTGAAGAGCGGGTCGTGGAAACCTCCAATTTATATTTGGTTGGTCAGAAGTACATGTGGTAACCTGGGACTTTCAACTGGTATTTGAAGTGGGAGCTGTGTTGTGGGACTGAGCCCTTAACAGGTTTGGCCTGCATTAACTCCAGGTAGTTTGTATCAGAATTAAATGGAATTGTTGGACACCTAGTTGGTGTCCAGAGAGTTGGAGAACTGGTTGTTGGTGGTGTGTGAAAAATCCACACACTGGTGTTTGAAGTGTTGTGAGTAAAAACAGTTCAGAGAGCCCTTTGGGAAATTTTCCTATAGTGGGCCCTGGATCCCATAAAACTGCCATATAACTATTTATCCTTCTCATGGGAAGCATATGGGATTAACAGACTATGACAGTGGTCTTTTATTTTTTCATAATATTTTAACTTTTATCTGGTAAAACACGTCCAAGACCAAAGAAAGCAACTTTTTTCCCCCCTCAAAACAAGCCAGATGCTTTAATGGCCTGCCTCCGGGGCCCACAGGCTCATCACAAATCCTTAAATAAGGCCCAGAGCTTGCCAGCCTCTGGCTCCGCCCAGCACCCCACAGGCAGGTGGCCCACAGCAGGCCTAGCTGGTGGGTTCTGGCTTAGGGAGTACCAGGATTCCCAGTCCAGATCTTCAGAGACCTTCCAGGACTGAGCTGCCACTCAGCCTGCCTGCACCAGTCCCTGAGTCCCAGCAGCTGCTTAGCTTCCAGAAAACATGTTTCCAGTCATAATGCCTGGGGTGGGAGAGGCAGTTCAGGGAAGCCACTGAGGACAGGCCTGGGGCGTCCTGAGGCAGGAGCAGCAGGCCCAGAACAAGGATGCCAGCCCCAGGCTGCATCATTGCACCAATAGCGGGGATTGGGAGTGGGCAGTGCAGGCTCCCTCAGAGAGCTCCAGGCTCGGGGATTGGGCCAACCCAATTCCAAATGCTTGTGGCAGGGGTGACTCTAGAAAGTGTGAGCCACATCTACCGCACAATGTGCCACTCTCAGATAGCCAGTCCTAAGACACATGAAGACTTTCTACAGGAAGGCTCTCAGCCTCCGATTCCGGGCCCTGTGCCGGGGAGGAAGCAGAGACCAAACCTTAATGGGATGTGTGTCAGGCAGCATCTCCACAACTACCCTGTGAGGTAGGTTGCGTTGTTCTATTGTACAGATGGGGGATGAGGGCTCAGCAGAGGTGAAGAGTCTTGCCCAGGTCATGCAGCAAGGAACACCAGCCAGGATTCAAGCCCAGGTCTGTCGGGTTCTGAAGCCCACGTGTTTTCTCTAGGGAAGATATAAGAAGCGGTCCTATCCAATAAAGACCCTCAGGTTAAAAGCTCAGGGGCTCTCAGCCCACCCTGGATGGGCCCCCAGGGTCAAAGCTGAAACCCCTCCAGGGGAGTAGCCACAGCCCCAGCATCTACTTCTGGCCCCGGGCAGCCAGGCAGGCAGAAGTGGGGCTTAAGAGTGATTGCTACCCACAAAGCACCAGCAGCCAGTGCCACAGGTGATGGCTCTGGCTGCCCAGAAGCTGTGGGTGGGGCAAGGGCTGGTCTTGTCCTGAGGCCCTGTGGCCCCAGGTGGGCAGAGCCAGGCCATTGAGCCAGGCAGTCTCTAGCAGGCTGCAGAAGCGGGACTTCAGTGTGGGGCCAGATGGGTTGACACTGGCAGCAGGGGTAGGTGAGGCACCACAGGACTCTTCCCCAGCGGCTGCTTTTGTTCAAAGAAAGCAACTTACAGAAAGTAATTTATATTAAAATTTTTATTTGATATAACACTTGACCTTTTTAGCTCAAAGCTTCACTTGGGGAGACAGGAATGAGGGAATTAATACCTTTTTATTATGGAAAATGTCAAACACACACAAAGCAGAGAGAATGGTATAAGAAGTGTCCATGCACCTATCACTCCATTTCAACAGTGAGCAACATTCTGTTGCTCTTAGTTATACTCTATCCTCCCCACCACTTTTTGTTCATTTACTAGAGTATTTTAAAGCAATCAAGGATAAAATATCCTTTTACTTGTAAATTCTTTAGGAAAAATCTCTAACATAGACAAATTGAATAACCATAACACAAACACAATTTTATGACCAGATCCAGAAAACTTAACAATAATTCCTTATGAACACAAAATATCTGAGACAGGTCTCAGTCAATTTAAGAAGTTTACTTTGCCAAAGTTAAGGATGCACACCTGTGACCCAGCCTCAGGAGGTCCTGACAACATGCGCCCAAGGTGGTGGGAGCATAGCTTGCTTTTACACATTTTAGGGAGACGTGAGATATCAATCCATATGGGTAAGTTGTACATTGGTTCAGTCTGGAAAGGCAGGGACAATTCAAAACGGGGAGGGGATTTCCGTTTCCAGGTCATAGGTAGGTGAGAGACAAACTGGTTGCATTCTTTTGAGTTTCTGTTAGCATTTCCAAAGGAGACAGTCAGATGTGCATTTATCTCAGTGTGCAGAGGGATGACCCTGAATAGAATAGGAGGCAGGTTTGCCCTAAGCAGTTCCCAGCTTGACCTTTCCCTGTAGCATAGTGATTTGAGGGTCCCAAGATTTATTTTCCCTTCATATTTCCTCCTTTTCTTTTTGAAATCTTTCAGAGAGGGCATTTTAGAAGAAAATGAGTCTCCGGTCTCAGGTTTCCTGTGATTTCTCATTGTTAGGATGGTTTATTCCTAGACAGGTAGGTCTCATGTTATTAGGAAAACTCATTTTTAGCAGGAGTTTCATATCCCAGAAAGAGAAAATAGAGGGAGGAAGGGAGAAAACAACAAACAAAAAAGAACAATCCTGGAAAACTGATAAAGGCCATATTACTCTGAAGTCCGTACATCAGTAGGCAGGTATGAAAGTGGCTTATGTATGTAAATATGTTGCTGTTATTTGCTTTGGAAATTTGTTGTCTAGCTTCAGTTTGCAGGTCTTTAAGAAAGCACAGCTTAGTTTTCAGTGATTTCAAATTAGGAAAAGTGGGGCAGGGGAGGAGAAAAGAGAGAAGGCAAACAATTGAAAATGTTGTTTTGGAGACTGGTAGCCGGGAAAAAATAGAATTCAGTTCAAACTGTGGAAAATAATAAAAACGGAAAAACATTAGGCAAGATTAGAATCTAACAACAGGTGTACTATAGTTTTTGAAACATTTTTCTCTCTCCAGTTTTCAATTTTTACTAAAGACCAATCATGGTAGGACCCATTTGCTTGACTATTCTTGGCCTGATTATAAAACAGTGCAGCAAGAATGATTATTTTTCACATAGGCTTTTAAAATCAGCTTTGATGGAACTTTGTTCCATAGAAGGAATCTCAGATAAGACTTTTTTAAAGCTGAGCCCAGCCACGGCTTTATACCATCAAATATCTATGAGTTGGGTAACTTCCTCGCCTCCTGAGGTCTCAGAATAACTTGGGGCTTCTGGGCCTGTCAGAAAGTGACATTCTTTACTCACCACAGGTCAGGAATGCTGTACAGGGGCTGTGTAGACAAGGTATGAGGCCAGTTTTCTCAAGGTGCTTTTATTGGCTCTATAAGTCAAGTTTAATTCTTTAAAGGAAAGCATATCATTCCAGTCAAAGCCTTGATAAAATAAACAGTTCCTCCAATTATGTCCTGTTACAAAACAAAACAAAACAAAACAGATTCTTATTGCACTTATGCAAATAACTATATTGTCATAAGTTAAGAATACTCACAGTTTCCAAATTCTGAAGAAATCAGATAGAGATAAACAAATATGTTCCAAATTTTGTTTACAGGAGTGTGTTTAAGAAAATTTTTCTTGACTCTGAAAAACAAAACGAAGGATCAGCAACATTTTAAGCAAAAAGTCAAAAAGGATTACTTCAGTCTTCTGCTAGCTCAGTCCATGCAGTTAACTCCTGTTCTGTTTGATGTTCATGAATATTTCAGCTCTCCATGAGAGTCCTGAAAGTTTTTTTCCTTTGTTCTAATGTCACAATTTCCAAAGTTATTAGAAACCTGCATTCAAGAGCACCTATCAAAGTCCTATTGCTAATTACAAACCACCTTTTGAAGAGGATCAAAACAAGACAACAATTGTCTGTGGATGACAAAAAGTCATAAGACAGCCATTATTAAAACCACAATTGGGCCAGGAGCAGTGGCTCACACCTGTAATCCCAGCACTTTGGGAGGCCAAGGCAGGTGGATCACGAGGTCAAGAGATCCAGACCATCCTGGCCAACATGGCGAAACCCTGTCTCTACTAAAAATACAAAGAAATTAGCCAAGTGTGGTGGCACACGCCTATAGTCCCAGCTATTCGGGAGGCTGAGGCAGGAGAATTGCTATAACCTGGGAGGTGGAGGTTGCAGTGAGCTGAGATCATGCCACTGCAGTCCAGCCTGGGTGACAGAGTGAGACTCTGTCTCAAAAAAAAAAAAAAAAAAAAAAAAAACACAATTGACTAGGAATTTTGGTTACTTACTTCTATAGCATTGAACAATTTTATGTAACAATTATAATTATTAATAATAACATACACTAAGTCATATCAGAATTATAGGAGTTTCCCATAGTTTTGGAATACATACCAATAACATTTATACAAATATAGTCCAAAGAATACTAAACAGCATTTCATATTTGACAAGGCTTCTTGTATGATTTTTATACCAAATAAGCTGAATATGTCTCTTTTGGACATCAGGGGGCTAATATCAAAAAATTAATGAGAACCCAAGTTAGAATTTGACTTTGGAAAGTTGGTCAAATATAAAAAATTTAAAATGCTTGATATAACAAATAGGATCACAGGCCATTATAAAATAAGTCATTCATTTAACTGAACTGATAACTCAAAGATTTTTTTAAAAAGGTGAAAACCATTATTCTTTGAGAGAGGAGACTTAATTTCCCAAACAATAAGCCCTAATAAAAATAGCATGAGGCTGATTACATTTGTTTTTCAAAATTTTATAAACAACCTATACAATTTTAATTATCTTGACCATAATATATAATTTCCATAAGCCTTTTATAACTTTTATACTTTTTATTAAGGAATGGGTTAATGCTCCAAGAAAACCTTGTTAATCTGACACAGGGGCTCATATACTGGTCTTGCATCAGTGTGCCTTTGACATTAATGGTTTATTTATAGAGAACTTGAACTTATTTTATCTCTCAAAATCGGCCCTTACAATCTCATGTGCCCATCTCTTCTGTGATAGTACCTGAATCTTGAGGAGTTGAATAGTTTTAATTTGTGGCCCTGAGTCTCACGAACGCAGTTTATTTTGATTGGCATCTTCTACCAGGCTTGAAGATGAGGATTTAATTGCTGTTAGTGTTTAAGATTTAGAAGGACTTGGTGTCTTTTTCAGACCCAGAAGTCAAAGCCCTGTAACTTAATGGCACAAGGACTTTAAAAGTACATACAAGGCCAGGCGCAGTGGCTCATGCCTGTAATCCCAGCACTTTGGGAGGCTGAGGCAGGTAGAGGTCGGGAGTTTGAGACCAGCCTGACCAACATGGAGAAACCCCATCTCTACTAAAAATACAAAATTAGCCAGCCATGGTGGCACATGCCTGTAATCCCAGCTACTAGGGAGGCTGAGGCAGGAGAATCACTTGAACCTGGGAGGTGGAGGTTGCGGTGAGCTGACATTGTGCCATTGCACTCCAGGCCCAGGCAACAAGAGCGAAACTCTGTCTCAGAAAAAAAAAAAAAAAACATACAGAAAGATATACTGATGTAATAAACTTAATTAAAAAAATTTTTTTAATCTCAGTTTTTTTCCTAAGCATACCAAAACTTTATAGTAGTGGTATAGGAATTGTTTTGATAAAATATAAAATCTGTTGGACCAGTTACTAAAATGCAAAAGAAAAGACCTTCTGCAGTGCACAAAATATTATATTGGAAGAAAACATTTCCTTTAGACTTTTAAGAAAACATTTTTAGCATCAGGCACAACAAACAGAACCCAAGGCAAAAAATATTTATATGAGCTGAAAATGAGTTGAAGGAGAACATTATTATTTTGCGCATTTTAAAAAGGGAAAGGAAACCAAAAATGGTGAGACGTAATAAAAGTTGAACTTTGGGTTAAAAAAAATTAAAGTCTCAAATAATTTATTAAGAGTAAATGAATCCCTAAAGAAAATTTCATTGTTCTAAACAATTCTCGGCTGGGTGCAGTGGCTCGTGCCTGTAATCCCAGCACTTTGGGAGGCCAAGATGGGCGGATCACAAGGTCAGGAGATCAAGACCATCCTGGCTAACATGGTGAAACCCTGTCTCTACTAAAAATACAAAAAACTAGCTGGGCGTGGTGGTGGGCACCTGTAGTCCCAGCTACTCGGGAGGCTGAGGCAGGAGAATGGCATGAAGCTGGGAGGCGGAGCTTACAGTGAGCCGAGATTGCACCACAGCACTCCAGCCTGGGCAGCAGAGTGAGACTCTGTCTCAAGAAAATAAATTTAAAAATACATAAATAAATAAATAAACAAGTCTTTAGTGTATATGTGTTTTTTTTTAAACATCAAGACCCCATCTCTAGAAAAACTATTATAAATAATTTCTCTTTAATTATAGACAACTTGACACAAATCATTTATGACATGCTTGGACTTCCTGTTTTATCCTAGATATCCTTCTTTCTTAAATAACCAATTATTTTATTTTAGGACAAAAATTTACCATGTAAGATTCTTTCCCATAGAAAATTATTTTTCTTTTAACATTTCTTGCCCAAAATACCTCTTTATGTTTTTAACTTTCTTTACATTGTTCTTATTCATTGATTACCTTTACCTAATTTCTTAAGTAACTCTTAAATACCCTTTGAATTAGATAAAAATTATTTTCCTTTAAATAAGAGCACCTTTCTTTTTTTTTAAGAAAAAATGTTTTCCTATAATTAAAAAAATTGGAAATAGCCCAGACATTTAATGAATATCTATTATTTAGCTTAATATAACTTTAGACTTTAAATTATATGATAAGATTATCTACAAGCATATATTCCATTTACCTAAGTAATTTTTAAAAAATAGTTTACTCAGTTTACTTACTAAAACTGTGATAGTTATAATTTAAAGATATTTCCTTGTTAACCATTTTTATGACCTGTGAATTTCAGCTTTTCATGAGTAAGAAATTTAAGGTTAAATAGATGGGTTTGTTTTTTTGCCAATAATTCAGGATTTAGCTGTTTTCATTAACCAAACAATATTAACTATGTTATTTATTACATTGCCCATAAACAAAGAAAATTCTCTTTTGAGCTGCATTCACAGCTTTATAACCCTCATGCCAAATTTTGACATCTAGCAGAGATAAATAATGTATGTTGACAATTCCAAAGCCATTTCTATTTCACCAAAAATTTTAAAACCAATTTATTTATTAAAGTTTACTTAAGTCTTGTGAACTTGAAAAAGCATTTGGTTTAAAGTCTCTCTTTTTTTGATAAAGTATTTGATTTAAGTGCTTTTTTAAGCCAATTAATTAGAGCTCCTTTATACATTTTTAGTACTAAAACATCATATGCATGACACATACATATATAGATATATTAACCACCAAATAGAAGTCAATCTTACAGACTCACAAGTCCTCTATTTTTTTCTCCTATTTTAGACTTTCAATTTCTTGATAACCTATTTTATTACCCTAGGCAATTGTCAGCTAGACAGCCCTAAATTTGCATATTAAAGGAACTCTCAGGTCAAAAAAAAATCAGATAGCAAAATTTACATCTCAAAGTAGAGAGAGAGAATCTGGTGGTGGTAGAGGGAGATTAAAGATGGATACCAAATCAAACATAAAATTATAGAAATGTATCATAGGATTGTATAAGGAGACCAATTTTATTTAGATAGGAACTACTTATATTTAAGTGGATCCCAGAGCTCTGGGCAGAGTCCACACTGAATCCTGGGTCTCCAAAAAGAAAGAATTAGTATGAAGCTAGACCATAGGATGCTTTTAACGTGCACTTAAAAACAATTTTTTTTTTTCCTAAATGAAGACACTTCTGAGTGTCTAAATTACACTCTTCCTTGGCCAGGCATGGTGGCTCGCACTTGTAATCCCAGCACTTTGGGAGGCTGAGGTGGGCAGATCACCTGAAATCAGGAGTTTGAGACCAGCCTGGTTAACATGGTAAAACCCTGTCTCTACTAAAAATACAAAAACTAGCCGGGTGTGGTAGCATGCGTCTGTAATCCCAGCTACTTGGGAGGCTGAGGCATGAGAATCACTTGAACCTGGGAGGCGAAGGTTGCAGTGAGCCGAGATCATGCCACTGCACCCCAGCCTGGGTGACAGAGTGAGACTTGGTCTCAAATAAGTAAATAAATACATAATAAATAAATAAGTAAATACACTCTTCCATAAAAACCCATGAGTAGCCTCCGTTGTAATAACTATTTTAGTCAAAAAAAAAAAAGCAAGCAGTTTAAGATCTGAGACAAGCTTGTCTGTTTACATTCTTGGGGTTCCATAAGAAAAAACAGAGGTTACTCCCCAAAAGAAAGTCTGGTCCTTCTTCATTTTCCTTAAGGAATCCCAGGCTATTATAAACTATTTTAGGTTCCTCATGCAGCAGAGGGTGGCAAGAGAAAGGAGAGATGGCAGAAGTAGATGAAGGAAACAGAAATCAGTCAACTGAGAAAAAAAAAAAAACTTTTTTTTTTTTTTTTGAGATGGAGTCCCGCTATGTCACCCAGGCTGGAGTGCAGTGGTGCGATCTCGGCTCACTGCAAGCCCCGCCTCCCGGGTTCACGCCATTCTCCTGCCTCAGCCTCTTGAGTAGCTGGGACTACAGGCGCCCACCACCACGCTCGGCTAATTTTTTGTATTTTTTGGTACAGACGGGGTTTCACCGTGTTAGCTAGGATGGTCTCGATCTCCTGACCTCGTGATCCGCCTGCCTCGGCCTCCCAAAGTGCTGGGATTACAGGTGTGAGCCACCACCCGGTGCAATAAAGCTTTTTAATCACCTCAGCCTGCCTGCACCCAGGTGATTAAAAAGCTTTAATGCTCACACAAAGCCTGTTTGGTGGTCTCTTCCCACGGACGCGCATGACACCCACCTTCCCTGTTGGAAGCGAGCTCAAACTCCAGAAAGGAGTTACCTGCCTTCCATCGTTATGGAAGCAGGAAAACTTGCCTTCCCTGTTGGAAACAAGTAAAAACCCAGAAAAGGGAGTGTACAGCAAAACAAAGCAGCTATCTGGGATTCTCTGGAGGGCAGGGAGCTTCCAGGCCTCGGCAAATTGTCCTATAGGTTTGAGCCATAAAGATATAGCTCAAGCAGGCCGGGCAGGGTGGCCACGTCTGTAATCCCAGCACTTTGGGAGGCCGAGGCGGGCGGATCACGAGGTCAGGAGATCCAGACCATCCTGGATAACACGGTGAAACCCCGTCTCTACTACTAAAAATACAAAAAAAATTAGCCGGGCATGGTGCCGGGCGCCTGTAGTCCCAGCTACTAGGGAGGCTGAGGCAGGAGAATGGCGTGAACCCGGGAGGCGGGGCTTGCAGTGAGCCAAGATCGCGCCACTGCACTCCAGCCTGGGCGACAGAGCGAGACTCCGTCTCAAAAAAAAAAAAAAAGATATAGCTCAAGCTGGTACCAAGCACCAGTAGGAGATTTATCAAAAGTCAGGGCCACCTCCACTCAGGGTCCCTTCGTGGTTGCCAAATGTGAACACACAATATCTGAAACAGGTCTTAGTCAATTTAAGAAGGTTATTTTGCCAAAGTTAAGAATGCACACCCATGACACAGTCTCAGGAGGTCCTGATGACATGTGCCCAAGGTGGTCAGGACGCAGCTTGGTTTTATACATTTTAGGGAGACATGAGACATCAATAAATAGACGTAAGTTGCATATTGGTTCAGTCTGGAAAGGTGGGACAACTCGAAGCGGGGAGGAGGGGAGGGGGTTCCAGGCCGTAAGTAGGTGAGAGACACAGTTACATTCTTTTGAGTTTCTGATTAGCCTTTCCAAAGTAGGCAATCAGATATGCATTTATCTCAGTGAGCAGAGGGATGACTGAATGGAATGGGAGGCAGGTTTGTCCTAAGCAGTCCGCAGTATGACAGTGATTTTGGGATCCAAGGTTTATTTTCCTTTCACATCCCTGGTATAACGACCAGTCTGTGTTCAATTTTCCTAATTGTCCCTAAATGTCTTTTAAAGGTGGTTTATAAAAATCAGGACTGAAACAAGACTACATATTTCATTTGGTTGATAAGTCTCTCTCTCTCTCTCTCTTTCTCTTTCTCTGTCTCTCTCTCTCAAGTTAAATACATGCTTTTCTATTGAAATAATTAATATTTTTCCTAGTTTCTAAAACAGAAATCAGATTTCTTTACTTTTTCTTTCTTTTTTTTTTTAGACAGAGTCTTGCTCTGTCGCCCAGGCTGGAGTGCAGTGACATCATCTCAGCTCACTGCAACCTCCGCCTCCCAGGTTCAAGCTATTCTTCTGTCTCAGCCTCCCAAGTAGCTGGGAATACAGGCATGTGCCACTGCGTCCAGCTAATTTTTGTATTTTTAGTAGAGACTGGGTTTCACCATGTTGGCCATACTGGTCTCGAACTACTGACCTCAAGTGATCTGCCCACCTCGGCCTCCCAAAGTGCTGGGATTACAGGCATGAGCCACTGCACCCATCCCAGAAATCAGATTTCTAAACAGAAGAAAAGGCCTTAGCCAAAGAGATGAAGATTAAACATTCAGATTGGCCTAAAAAAAACTGACAAATTGAGTAAATTAACTTGAATAAATTGAACACACATTCAGAACAGAATTGTGTCTTTTGGTCAGCAACATGTAAACCAAAGGCAAATGCCAAGATTAAAGCAGGCTTTCTTCTTTTTTTTTTTTTTTTTTTTGAGATGGAGTCTCGCTTTGTGCCCAGGCTGGAGTGCAGTGCCATGATCTCAGCTCACTGCAACCTCCGCCTCCCAGGTTCACACCATTCTCCTGGCTCAGCATCCCAAGTAGCTGGGACTACATGCGCCTACCACCACGCCTGGCTAATTTTTTGTATTTTTTAGTAGAGACGGGGTTTCACCATGTTAGCCAGGACGGTCTCGATCTCCTGACCTCATGATCCACCCGCCTCGGCCTCCCAGAATGCTGGGATTACAGGCGTGAGCCACTGCACCCGGCTGCTTTCTTCTTTTAAAAAATATATACAGCACGATGTATTTTCTTTTTTCCAAGTTCATTTAAAGTTCACTTTGACATTAATGTGTATTGCTAAATTAGAATGCAAACTTTCTAGTTAAAAAATACATACATAGAATAGAAAGTTCCTTTTATTTTAGTCTTCTTTATACTTTTTAAAAACATTTTTGACCTCGCATACTTAGTGTAAGAAATTACTGCAATAATCATATGACTTGAGGCAAAGGTTTGGGCACAAACATGCTGATGGTGATAACTCTTGTGGTAGTTTAAATAACAAGCAGAGAGGCTTTTTGTTTGTTTGTTTGTTTGTTTTTTGAGACGGAGTCTTGCTCTGTCGCCCAGGCTGGAATACAGTGGCACGATCTTGGCTCACTGCAAGCTCCGCCTCCCGGGTTCATGCCATTCTCCTGCCTCAGCCTCCCTAGTAGCTGGGACTACAGGCGGCCGCCACCACGCCCGGCTAATTTTTTCTATTTTTTAGTAGAGACAGGCTTTCACCGTGTTGGCCACGATGGTCTCGATCTCCTAACCTCGTGATCCGCCCGCCTCGGCCTCCCAAAGTGCTGGGATTACAGGTGTGAGCCACCGCGCCTGGCCCAGAGAGGCTTTTTAAAAGAAAAAGATATTTACATGGGACTAGAGTATTGTAATAGTAATATGTTATAGTATAACTATAAGACACTGTATTGTGTGAAACCATGTGTATATTTATGGAGGTAAAGGAAGACAAATTTTTAAAGAAAAAAATGAGGATTTATACAATTGTTTTGAAATAATTATCTTTGGCTATAAAGATCAATAACAAGAGTGACACCATTTGTAGTTGTTGGGCAAGTGTCCATGTAGAAGTATTTTTTTTTTTTGTACAAAATTGTGATAGTCTTTGTGTAAGGTTGTAGTTTTTGTAGTGTTTTGTGATAGTTTTTGTTATTAGGCATGCAAGAATGAGAACTCTCACTTTATCGCTTAAGTCTTATGAGTTGTTTTCTTTTTTTTTTTTTTGACAGGGTCTTGCTCTGTCACCCAGGTTGGAGTGCGGTGGTATGAACCGAGTTCACTGCAGCCTCAACTTTCTGGGCTCAAGCGATCCTCCCACCTCAGCCTCCCAACTGGCTGGAACTACAGGTGCACACCACCATACCTGGCTACTTTTAAAATTTTTTGTAGAGACAGGGTCTTGCCATGTTGCCCAAGCTGGTCCTGAACTCCTCGGCTCAAGCAACCTGCCCACCTCAGCCTCCCAAAGTGCTGGAATTAAGGCTGGAGCCACTGCACCCAGCCAGTTTGTTATCATTTTAAAAATATTCCTGATTTTATTATGATTTTACCAACTTTTATATATTGTTTTCTATTAAAATTTTTTTAAAGAATTAATTTAATTTAAAAAAAATGACAAAAAGACAAG
This sequence comes from Homo sapiens, assembly GCF_000001405.40. Taxonomy (NCBI): domain Eukaryota; kingdom Metazoa; phylum Chordata; class Mammalia; order Primates; family Hominidae; genus Homo; species Homo sapiens. The sequence goes on from NC_000001.11 coordinate 44,183,591, forward strand.
AGTCTTGCCATGTTGCCCATACTGGTCTCGAACTCCTGGGCTCAAGTGATCCACCTGCCTTGGTCTCCCAAAGTACTGGGATTACAGACATGAGCCACTGTGCCCGGCCAAAATCTGTTTTTGAAAGTATTACTGATCAATTACTTTGTAGTTAGGCTTTGATGTCCTTTGGTGTCAGGATTAACCTGTCTTGGTTGTTGGTCTCATCTCTTGTTTCGGGGAATAATTGGCAACTGAGAGTCAGTGTCAGAATGATTTTAGTCATGTTTGAGTAACAATGGAGTTTGAAGAAAATGGCCCTTAGGCTGTTTATCTAGTGTGTATTATTAAGTTTATTTTTATTTGTTTTTCAGTCTCTCTTTTTTTTTTTTTTGAGATGGAGTCTCGCTCTGTTGCCCAGGCTGGAGTGCAGTGGCGCGATCTTGGCTCACTGCAAGGTCCGCCTCCCAGGTTCATGCCATTCTCCTGCCTCAGCCTCCCTAGTAGTTGAGACTACAGGCAACCGCCACCACGCCCGTCTAATTATTATTTTTTTTTTTTTGTATTTTTAGTAGAGACAGGGTTTCACCGTGTTAGCCAGGATGGTCTCAATCTCCTGACCTCGTGATCCGCCCGCCTCGGCCTCCCAAAGTGCTGGGATTACTGGCTGTTTTTCAGTCTTTTGTTCTTATTTTAAAGTTTTGGGGCAGTATTATTTTGTTAAGAGCTGTATTTTTGTGAAAATGTAACAAGCAATAGATATAAAGTTTTAAAAGGGAAAATTAGAGTAAATTATTAGCAATATGACAGTTTTAGTTTGTATAATGGTTTTGGGCCATGAACTGAGACTTAAAGACTACCAATTGAATAAATTAAATGACCATAGGGAATTTAGTTACACTTGTTGTAATTATATGACCCGTTTTGTTAATTTTCTATAAGTGGATCTTAGCTTTTTTAGAGGAATTTATTTAGGTATAGCATGTAATATTAGTAATAGTATAGACTTTTAAAATTTATTTATTTTAAATTTAAATTAAATTTTATTTTATTTTGAGGCAGGATCTTTCTCTGTCACTCAGGCTGGGTCATGCTAACTGCAGCCTTGATCTCCCAGGCTCAAGCCATCCTCCCACCTCAGCCTTCCGAGTAGCTGGGACGACAGGCCCGTGCCACCACAGCTGCCTTTTTTGTTTGTTTGTTTGCTTGTTTGTAGAAATGGAGTCTTCCTATGTTGCCCTGGCTGGTCTCGAACCATTGGGTTCAAGCAACCCTCCCACCTCATCCTCCCAAAGTGCTGGGATTACAGGTGTCAGCCACTGCACCTACCACTCTAGCCTTTTAAAATTTTAACTAATGGATATTAAAGGATTTTTTTTAAGTTCTTCTTCTTCTTTTATTTTTGGTCAAGAGACAGGGTCTTGCTCTGTCATCTAGGCTGGGGTCTAGTGGTGCCATCATAGCTCACTGTAGCCTTGAACTCCTGGACTCCAGGGATCTTCCTGCCTCAGCCTCCTGAGTAGCTGGAACTACAGGCCTGCACCACGAAGCCTGACTCGTTTTTTTTCTCTTTTGTAGAGACAAGGTTTCATTATGTTGAACAGGCTGGTCTCAAACTCCTGGCCTCAAGTGATCCTCTTACTTTGGCCTCCCGAAGCACTAGGATTACTGGCATGAGCCACCACACCTGGCCTAGGTTAGCTTTTATGTTACTAGCAGAAGTTATTGATTGTGAAATTTTAATTATATCTTTTTGTTCAATGAAAAAGGTAGGCATTAAGAGGGATAAAAGTTTTATTATGATATAGACTCTTGCTCTGATATCTTGGAAAAAGTTGTCTATAACATGAAAACATTAACTTTTTTTTTTTTTTTTTAACCAAGACTTCCTTCCACAAGTAAAAACCATTAACTTTTTCTGGGGGTTGCAGTTTTAATGTCTTTGGTCATGACATTGGATGGTTTGGTGAATCTTTTGTGTGGCCCATATATCAGGCATGAGACTTGGTTTTTAAAAGTTATCTCGTTTTAGTTTAGAAACAGAGTATTTTTTGTTTTTCATTGGGGAGTTGTAGCCAAATTTTGGACGAAATTGGAAAAATTTAGGATTTAGTATAGTGTACAGGTAGATAAAAGGAATTTGAAAATAATGGATGGGGTTATAATCTAATAATAGGTGTTTTATAGGCTTTTTAGAAACATAATTTTTTTAAAAAGTTGATTATATAGAAATCTCAGATTTAAGAACTTTTTTCAGGCTGGGAAACCAAATCAAAGCAGATTTCAGATTTTTTTTTATAGTCTTATGGTTTTTGAGCCTGTAAGAAAGTAACAATTTTTATTTATTTATTGTAAGGTTGAGAACTCTTGAAGTTAAGCATTTTATGTGCATTTAAAAATATGACAATTCAGTCAAAATCTTAGTAATATAACTAATATTTTTAATTGTTTGTTTATAAAGAGAGTAGATTTTAACTGAATTTGTATAAATAATGTTGTTATAAAAATGATACAAATAGTTTTTGAATTTTTTAAGAAATTAAGTAGGGAGAAGAAGCAAATGTTTTTTATCATTGTTTATAAAAGTATAATTATTAAATTATTAATATTATTATTTTTGAGACAGGGTCTCACTCTGTCACCAAGGCTGGAGTACAGTGGCACGATCAAGCTCACTGCAGCCTCAATCTCCCAGGCTCAAGCTATCTGTCCACCTCAGCCTCGTGAGTAGCTGAGACCACGGGGCATGTACCACCATGCCCGGCTCGTTTTTTTTTTTTTTTTAGTAGAGACGAGGTCTCGCTATGCTGCTCAGGCTATTATTGTAAACTATAGATAGTATATGAGAGAAAATTTTCCTTATTTTTATTTTTTCTTTTATAGAAATGGGGTCTCACTTTACTGCCCAGGCTGTAGTGCAGTGATGCAGTCATAGCTCCACTGCAGCCTCTGAACTCCTAAACTCAAGCAATCCTCCTGCCTCAGCCTCCCAAGCGGGGACTACAGGCATACGCCACCACACCTGACAAAAAATTTTTTTTGTCTCTACAAAAAAATTTTTTGTAGAGATGGGGGTCTCACTTTGTTGCCTAGGCTGGTCTTGAACACCTGGCTTCAAGTGACCCTCCTGCCTTGACCTCCCAAAATGTTGGGATTACAGGTGTGAGCCACCATGTCCAGTTGAAAATTTTTTAATGGAAAAGGAAACAGTACTTAAAGCATTACTTAAAGAAATAACAGTATTTTATTTTATAATTGTTTAAAAAGTAATAGAGACAAGGTCTCATTATGTTGCCCAGGCAGGTCTCCAACTCCCAGGCTCAAGCAGTTCTCTCACCTTGGCCTCCCAAAGTGCTGGGATTATGCTTAGCCAGAACTAACAGTATCTTGAATAACAGTTATAAAACGTTGTTTTTATTTTTTTAATTAGTTAACTTTCTGTTTTGTTTGATCTTGTTTAGTAGTTTTGATGAACCTATTAGTTTTTATTAGAGTTTTAATAATTTTCATTTAGTCGATTGATTTTAAAGTTATCAGAAATTTGTGTCTAAGAGTATTTGCTAGAGGCCTTTTTAGTGAAAAGTAATTTTATATTATAGCTGGTGGCAAATGTTTTTAGGGAAGAATTGAAAATAGTATCTGTGGATTAAACAAAGCCTTAGAATAGCCATGGTTAAAATTTGATGAGAGTTTTTTTGCCCAAAACCATACAATTGCAGGGAAATTAAACAACCTGCTCCTGAATGATTTTTGGGTAAACAATGAAATTATGGCAGAAATCAAGAAATTCTTTGAAACTAATGAGAACAAAGATACAACAAAGCAGAATTTCTGGGACACAGCTAAAGCAATGTTAAAAGGAAAGCTTATAGTTCTAAATGCCCATATCAAAAAGTTATAAAGATCTCCAATGTGATAAAGCCTCCTGTGTGTCTAGGACTACAGGTGTGCCCCTGTAACTTATTTTTTATTTTTTAGGAAGGCAGGGTCTTGCTATGTTGCCTGGGTTGGTCTTGATCTTTTGGCCTCAAGTGAGCCTCCTGTCAGCCTCCCAAAGTGCTGGGATTACAAGCATGAGCCACCATGTCAGGCTGAGTTTTTTTAATATAAAATATTTTTAACCTTTTTAAATTAAAAATATATTTTCAAAAATATGTATTTTTTCATATTTATAACTTTTAATATATATTTTCCATTTATTGTTTTTTTAATTTTGTTTCCTATTTTGAAATAACCATTAAGTTAGATTAAAAACATTTTTTAAAATAAAGAGCATATTTTAAAAGTCTTTATAATTTTTAAATTAAAAACATATTTTATTTGGAAATAAGCTATATATTTAATGAGTACTTATTATTTAATTTAACATAAGGAATTACTTTCTTGCTCCACTGATGTCAATTTGAATGTTGGCAGTTTCCAAGGAGGAAGTTGAGGGTTTTGGTGAAGATTGTCATCCATCTCCAACGCTAAGCCTAAAATAACTATTTAGGAGAGCATCACAAAAGGAACGCAGGTTGGAGAGATGTTCCAAATGTTCTTGTAACTGAACTTTAGGAAAGTGCACTTCACGCAGAGGTGCAAGGAAACCAAACACATAGGTAACCAAAGTAGAACGCGTATCTCCAAGGAAAAGCTGAGATGTTCACAATCTATCTGCCAGAAGATTTAGGCACTTCTTAGCATCTCTATATCCATGATTCCACTTCTCACAGGCGGTAAAGGAGAGGCTCTCCTCTGGTCAGGATAATCCGATCAGTGCTGTTGCAGACATTTTTCCAGGCAGGATCAAACCCAAGGGAAAAGGAATCTATGAAGCAAACCAACACCAAGGCTTTGTTACAGTAGAGTAATTGTGGCTTTCAACCCAGAACGTGTGAAGCGCTAGAGGAGGCAGCTTCTATTCAAGGAGAGCATTGAAAGCCAGTGTGTCTGCCCTTTGGCTGGAAATTCATAATAAACATTATATTTCTGTTTTCCTTAAAAGTTTAATATTTTTACCAGCTAAGAAACAATGTTGTCTTCAGTTGTCAAAATTGATATATCTTCCCTTGAACCTCTCCAGTGGCTATCTATGACATTAACTTTCTTTTCTTTTCTTCTCTTTTTTTTTTTTGAGGCAGGGTCTCTCTGTGTCACACTGGCTGAAGTGCAGTGTCACAATCTCTGCTCACTGCAACCTCTGCCTCCTGGGCTGAAAGGTTCCTCCCACTTCAGCCTCCAGAATAGCTGGGACCACCGGCACGCACCACCACACCTGGCAATTTTTTTGTATTTTTAGTAGAGATGGGGTTTTGCCATGTTGCCCAAGCTAGTTTCAAACTCTTGAGCTCAAGCGATCGGCCGTCTGGGCTTCCCAAAGTGCTGGGAGCCACAATGCCTGGCCCAACATTAACTTTCAAACATGCAACAGATAATTTGGCATAAGCCATCACCACCACATACTCACTGTGTACCAATAGGAGCCCCTAGCCACCTCCCAGCCACTGAGCTCCAAGGAGCCACCATCTTGACAGGGCTGATGGTTACTGCTCTTAAGTCTCTTTTAATCAATAGAATGGCTTGTTGTTGTTGTTGTTCATTGTGTCATTTAGTTTTAGTTTTATGCCATTTATTTATTGAAGAAACTGGGTGATTTGTCATGTGTGATTTCCCACATCCTGGATTTGAATTTGTAACCTTGGAATGTCATTTAATATATTTCTCTATCCTCCATGTAAACTGATACTATATTTCTCAGAGTTCTCCAAAGAAACAGAACCAATAGAATATATAGAAATATAAGAGGGAATTTATTATGGGAATTGGCTCATGTGATTATGGAGGACAAAAAGTCCCACAATATGTCATCTGCAAGCTGGAGAACCAGGAACGCTGGTGGGTGGTAATTCAGTCTCAGTGTAAATGTCAGAGAACCGGGAGTGGGGAGGAAGGGGGAATGGGAGAGGATGAGTGTCACAGATCACACACATTTCTTTTTCTTATAAATTATAGCAACACAAATGGACTAAAACACACCGAAGATCTTGGTTCCTATTTTATCCCATTACATAAATATAATAGTTTTTATCCCATTACATAAATATAATAGTTTTGAAATACCAATACCAGTATTATTACCAGCAATAAGTCTACTGAATACTGCTTAAGATTTCTTTATATTTGTTTTCTTCAGATATATCTCACTATATATTGTACAGCCTGTATACACTGTCCCACTATACACTGTACACAATTATACTGTTGCAAAATTATGTGAAAGAATTCTCTGTGTGGTTATGACACAGCTTGATAGACCAATGGGTTTTTATTCAGTTTTTTATAGTGATTACTTTTTTGTAAAATTTATTTTTAATTTTGTATATATTTTTATCAAAACTATAAAACAAGGCACATCAGAAAGTTATAGCTTCCATCCTTATCCTTTTTCCAATAGGTGATTATTTCTATTAGTTTTTAACACCTTTAAATTTTGAAAATGGAAGCAAATGTATATGCATATACTTGTATTTTTATTCCACTCATACACAAAAAAATGCAATACTATAATACTCTTCTGTATGTTACTTTTTCTCATTTTCATTCTCTAACAATTTATAGAGATGTTCTTTTTTTTTTTTTTGAGACGGAGTCTTGCTCTGTTGCCCAGGCTGGAGTGCAATGGCACAATCTCTACTCACTGCAACCTCCGCCTCCCAGGCTCAAGCAATTCTCCTGCCTCAGCCTCCCAAGTAGCTGGGATTACAGGCGCCCATCGCCATGCCCACCTAATGTTTGTATTTTTGGTAGAGATGGGGTTTCACCATGTTGGCCAGGCTGGTCTCGAACTCCTGACCTCAAATGATCCACCCACTTCGGCCTCCCAAAGTGCTGGGATTACAGGTGTGAGCCACCGTGCCTAGCCTTATAAAGATACTATTTTTTTTTTTTTTTTTTTACAGCTGAATAGTAGTTCAGTGCATGTATGTACCATTCATTGTGTATTCACCTGTTCTCTGCAGATAGAGATGTGGGCTGCTTATAGTCTTTCATGATTACAAAATGTGCTGTAATAAATAGCCTTGAGCAGTCATCATTTTGTGGTTTTGGCATTGTATTCTCAGATGTAGATACTTGGAAGAAGGGTTGCTTGGGCAGAGTAAATACATATGTAATGTTGCTAGATGTTGTTGAATCCCCCTGCGTAGTTGTACCATTTACATCTCCATCAACAATACAGGAAAGTACCTATTTCTCCACCGTCTCACCAACTCAGAGTGTCAAGTTTGGGATTTTTGCAAAACTGATAGATGAGCAATGGTATCTCCATTTAGTTTTAATGTGCATCTCTCTTATTATTTCTCTTAATATGAGCAAAGTGAACATCTTTTCACATATTTAAGAGCCATTTTCATTTGTTTTTATGTAATTTCCCCATTTTTCTAATGGGTTGTCAGAATAGGATTTTACATATTAGGGATGTTGGTATTTTGTGATATAAGTTACAAGTATTTGGTCTCAATTGTTTATTTAACTGTTGACTTTCCATACAGTATTTTGTGCATACAATTTTAAGAATATTTAGGTAGACAAAGTTACCCATTTTTCCTTTATTAAATCTGAATATGGAATCACAGTTAGGAAAGTCCTCATCATTTCCAGATTGTGAAAAAATTAACCTATAGTTTTCTCTAATTTTTAAATTATATATACTTTTTGACAATGAATACCTAAGAAGTTTTTCTCTAATATTTTATGACTTTACTATTTTTATGTTTAGATATTGACTGATTTGGAATTTATCCTAATATAAAAATGAGGAATTAATCCAATTTTATCTTTATCCACACGATTATCAGTCATCCCAACACCATTTGTGTTAGGTCATTCTTTCATTGCTATAAAGCAATATCTGAGACTGCGTAATTTATTCTTATTTTTATTATTTTTGAGATGGGGTCTTGCTCTATCACCCAGGCTGGAGTGCAGTGGCACGATCTTGGCTCACTGCAACCTCTGCCTCCTGGGCTCAAGCAAATCCTCCCACCTCAGCCTCCCGAGTAGCTGGGATTACAGGCACCCACCACCACACCCAGATAATTTTTGTATTATGTGTTAGAGATGGGGTTTCACCATGTTGCCCAGGCTGGTCCCGAACTCCTGAGCTTAAGTGATCCACCTGCCTCAGCCTCCCAAGGTGCTGGAATTGCAGGCATGAGCCATGGCACCTGGCCTCTCATCTGCTGGTTTCTGATGGTTTTTTCACTTCATTCCTGGAGACCAGGAAATAAGTCCTGCTGGTCTCCTCCATCGTAGTGCTAGTCAAACTGTGGTTACAGACTGGTGCCATTCCATGAACTGTGCTACCAGATGCAACAAGGTAGATGCTTGCTCCAGAATATAAATCAATGCATTATTTCTTTCACAGAGAAAATCATGCTTTTTTTTAAACAAGGTAGCGGAGTCTAAATGTGTGCTCAGTGACACAGGAGAATGGCTACTTTGAGTAGCACTGACCTACACATCACAGTCAATATGGAAACTTACAAATACATATAAAACTCGGAATTTCAATACGGGAAAATACACTTTTTGAAGTGCGCATGGAATGTGCGTAAAAGTAGATATTTTAGGCCAAAAGAAAAAACCTCAATCAAATACAAATAACACAAATAGCATTTTCTGACTACAATGCAATAAATTGATAATTGATAATAATAACAAAGTTTTTTCCACTGGGAAGTTTTAAAAAATGCACATATTTTAAAATAATTCCCACAATAAATGGAAAATTAAAAGTTTAGAATTATTGAAAATGAGAAGCCGGGCGCGGTGGCTCACGCCTGTAATCCCAGCACTTTGGAAGGCTGAGGCAGGTGAATCACCTAAGGTCGGGAGTTCAAGACCAGCCTGACCAACATGGTGAAACCCCGTCTCTACTAAAAATACAAAAATTAGCCATGCGTGGTGGCCGGCACCTGTAGTCCCAGCTACATGGGAGGCTGAGGCAGGAGAATCGCTTGAACCTGGGAGGCAGAGGTTGCAGTGAGTTGAGATCGCGCCACTACACTCCAGCCTGGGTGACAGAGCAAGACTCCGTCTCAAAAAAAAAAAAAAGAAAGAAAGAAAATGATACTACTGGCTGGGCACAGTGGCTCACGCCTGTAATCCCAGCACTTTGGGAGGCCGAGGCGGTCAGATCACCTGAGGTCAGGAGTTCGAGACCATCCTGGCCGACACTGTGAAATCCCGTCTCTACTAAAAGTACAAAAATTAGCTGGGCATGGTGGCGCATGCCTGTAATCCCAGCTACTCAGGAGGCTGAGGCAGGAGAATTGCTTGAACCAGGGAATCAAATGTTGCAATGAGCTGAGATCACACTACTGCGCTGCAGCCTGGCGACACAGCAAGACTCCGTTTTTTTTTTTTTTTTTAAAGAAAATGATACTACTGACAATGAAAACATCACATATGAATAGTTACAGAAAAAGCAGTTATGAGAGGAAAATTCATAGTATTAACTACCTATGTCAATGAAAATGAAAGTAAATAAATGAAACACCAATGTCACAAAGAAAAGGTCAAAGAAAGGAATTAATACAGTAAGAGTAAAAATTGGTGAATTAAAAAATAGTAAAAGTAATACCGAAATAAAAATAATTATTTGAAAACACCAACTATTAGATAATTTTTTTGGGGGGGGTGGATGGAGTCTCACTCTGTCACCCAGGCTGGAGTGCAATGGTGTGATCTCAGCTCACTGCAACCTCTGCCTCCCGGGTTCAAGTGATTCTCCTGCCTCAGCCTCCCAAGTAGCTGGGATTACAGGTGCTCACCACCATGCCCAGGTAATTTTTGTATTTTTAGTAGAAACGAGGTTTCACCATGTTGGCCAGGCTGTTCTCAAACTCCTGACCTCAGGTGATCTGACCACCTCGGCCTCCCAAAGTGCTGGGATTACAGGTATGAGCCCCTGTGCCTGGCCTAGATAATTTTTTTAAAAAAAGAATTTTCTGGTTAGTTGAGAAGAATCAATGGTTGATGAACAGAAGCAGAAGGGTAAAATGGTTGAACAAGCAAGAAAGCACAAATGTACCAGGGAAACATGGCTATCCATCAAAACGGAGCCTACTAATTCGTACAAGTCTATGCAAATAAATTTGAAAATCTAGATGCAATAGATAATTTTCTAGAAAAATATAATTTATCAAAATTGATCCCAGTAGAGACATAAAGTTTAAACAGACAGATTTCTGTAGAAATACACATTTATAAACAGAAACCCAACAAAAAAGCCCCAATTCCAAATGCCCTAACATACCCCCATCTCCACCCATACCTGTCTTCATCTGGCTGTTTGTGTCCTTTATCATAAAATGGTAATCATAAATATAGCACTTTCCTGAGTTCTATAAGTTGTTCTTAATGCATTGTCAACCTGAGGGGGTTGTAGAAAGTCCCAGATTTGAAGCCAGCTGGACAGAAATGCAGGTGGCTTGGGGATACCCAGCACTTGTAAGTGGCCTCAGAAATGGAAGCAGTCTTGTGGAACTAAGCCCCTTAATCTGTGGGGTCTGTGCTAATTGCGGATAGTTAGTGTCAGAATTAAACTGAATTCTGGGACCCCAAGTTGGTGTCAGATACTTGGTGTTGAAATGTACTGCCAAAATCAGAAACAAGATACGTACGCCCACTATTTTAATATTAAGAGAAAGAAATTAGAGGGATAAAAATTGGAAAAGAAATAAAATCACATTAATGTACAGATGATATATTTCTGGGAAACTTACTATCGTCAATGGAAAACTTCTATGAACAGTAAGTGTTTTGTAAGTAGCAAGATATAAAATTAACGAACAGAAGTAAGAAGTCTTTATATATACACATTAACTACTTGAAAAAAATAATGGAAGAGATCCCGAACTCCATTGACAATAGCAAAAACAAACAAAACCAAATACAATCCCAAGTTTAACAAGAATTATGCAAAACGACACAAGGAAATCTACACAAGACTCTTATGGGGCTGGGTGTGGTGGCTCACGCCTGTAATGCCAGCACTTTGGGAGGCCGAGGTGGGCGGATCACTTGAGGCCAGGAGTTTGAGACCAGCTTGGCCAACATGGGAAACCCCACCTCTACTAAAAATACAAAATTAGCCAGGCATTGTGGTGCTTGTGCCTATAATTCCAGCTACTTAGGAGATGAGGCAGGAGAATCGCTCCTGCTGAACCCAGGAGGCAGAGGTTGCAGTGAGCTGAGATTGTGTCGCTGCACTCCAGCCTGGGTGATGAAATGAGACTCCGTCTCAAAAGAAACAAACAAACAAATACACAAAAACATCTTATGGGACCAAAAGTAGACTTGAATTAATGGAAAAACACACCATGTTCTTGATTAGAAGATTTAATATCAGGGCCGGGCGCGGTGGCTCATGCCTATAATCCTAGCACTTTGGGAGGCTGAGGCGGGTGGGTCACAAGGTCAGGAGTTTGAGACCAGCCTGGCTAACATGGTGAAACCCCGTCTCTACTAAACAAAATACAAAAAATTAGCCGGGCGTGGTGGCGGGTGCCTGTAGTCCCAGCTACTCGGGAGGCTGAGGCAGGAGAATGGTGTGAACCCAGGAGGCGGAGCTTGCAGTGAGCCGAGATCGCGCCACTGCACTCCAGCCTGGGGGACAGACTCCGTCTCAAAAAAAAAAAAAAAAAAAAAGAAGATTTAATATCAGAAAGATACCAATCCAGTTCTAAGTTAAAATTTATAAACTAAATGTGATTTCCATTTAAAAATCTGCAGTTTTTTAAATTTTCTGGAACCAGAGAAATTGATTATAAAATTCTTTGGAAAATAAATAGGGCCCAAGTGCAGGGTGGCTCATGCCTGTAATCCTTGCTCTTTGGGAGGCCAAGGAGGGTGGATTGCTTGAGCCCAGGAGTTCAAGACCAGCCGAGGCAAAAGGGCACAACCCCATCGCCACCAAAAATACAAAATATTAGCCGGGTATGGTGGCGTGTGCCTGTATTCCCACCTACTCGGGAGGCTGAGGCAAGAGAATCGCTTGAACCTGGGAGGTGGAGGCTGCAGTGAGCCCAGATCGCACCACTGTACTCCAGCCTGGGTGACAGAGTGAGACCCTGTCTCAAAAAAAAAAAAAAAAAGAAAGAAAGAAACAAGGAGATGAGGACTAAAACGATCCCTAGCTGCCCTCATTTCTCATTAGCATAAGACATTCATACTAGTGCCCTGACAGCTTATAAATGCCATGGAAATGACCTGGAAGTTACCGCCCCTTTCCTAGAAAGTTCTAAATAACCTGCTCCTCAATTGGCATTAGTCCACCCCTTAATTTGCATGTAATCGAAAGTGGGTATAAGTGAGTATAAATACAATTGCCAACAACCCATAAGTTGCTGATTTTGGGCACACTGCCTATGAATTAGCTTTGCTCCCAGAGGAGCAGTACCATTCAATAAAAAATTGCTGTCTAAGACTACCTTCTTGTCCTTGACTTTTTTCCTGGGGAAAGCCAAGAATCCTCCTGGGCTAAGCACAAATTTTGGGGCTCGCCTATACTGCATCAAAGAGATTTGATTTTCTAAATTCTTATTCACTTTTTTGTCCACTTGATTTGTCTTGGAATTAGTGTGTATTAAAATTTTCTCTTGCTAACGTGTTTCTACTTTGTCTATAGCTCTTGTAGTTTTTACTTTATGAAAGTTGATTGTTGTGTTGAGTATATATATACATTATATATGTGTAATATATATATATGTAGCATCTCCATTGTTAATTTATCCATTAACATTATGAAAAGTTCTTCCTGGCCAGGCGGGGTGGCTCATGCCTATAATCTCAGCACTTTGGGATGCTAAGGGGGCGCAGATCACCTGAGGTCAGGAGTTCGAGACCATCTTTACTAAAAATACCAAAAATTAGCTGGATGTAGTGGCGGGTGCCTGTAATCTCAGGAGGCTGAGACAGGGGAATCACTCGAACCTTGCACTCCAGCCTGGGCAACAAGAGCAAAACTCTGTCTCAAAAAAAAAAAAAAAGTCCTCCTTTTTATTTTTAATGCCCTTTGGTCACAATTCTATATTGACAGGTATCAACATCATAACCTCTGCCTGTATTTTACCTTTTGCCTAGTATGTGTTTGTCCTTCCTGTTATTTTTAAATGTTCTTAATTTATTTGTTTTAGGTGTATCTTGTACATAGCATAGAGCTAGACTTTGCTTTGACAACTTGAAAATACTCTCATATAATATGTGAGTTAGCCTCGTTTATAATATAGATACAAATCAATCCATGTGCTTGTTTTTTCAATCATGGAGTATTTTACTACATGGTCATCTATCTTCTGTCTCTCATTCTCTAGCCCTTAAAAAAATATTGCTCTTGGGATTTAGGGAGTTTAATATTTTGTTCTGTTACCTTTAAAATAATACATTTGCAGGACGGGCACAGTGGCTCACGCCTGTAATCCCAGCACTTTGGGAGGCTGAGGTGGGTGGATCACTGGAGGTCAGGAGTTCAAGACCAGCCTGGCCAACATGGTGAAACCCCGTCTCTACAAAAATGCAAAAATTAGCTGGGCATGATGATGGGTGCCTGTAATCCAAGGTACTCTGGAGGCTGAGGCAGGAGAATCACTTGAACTTGGGAGGCAGAGTTTGCAGTGAGCCAAGATCAAGCCATTGCACTCCAGCCTGGGCAACAGAGCAATTCTCCATCTCAAAAAATAAATTAAATAAAATAATACATTTGCAAAATACCATTTTCCATCTTCTTAAAGATAATGGTCTGTTGGTTCCCTGTAGAGATGGAGTCTTGCTATGTTGCCCAGGCTGTTTTTGAACTCCTAGCCTCCAGTGATCCTCCCACCTTGGCCTTCCAAAGTGCTGGGATTACAGGCATGAGCTACTGCACCTGGCCTTCCCCCGTTTGTCATGGTTGCACTTTATCTACATTGTCAGCACATGTAACAATTATATACCATTCTGTCACCTTTCTCCTCAATATTTACTTTTAGTTTTACAATTAAATATATTCAATATTTACCACTAATCCTCATTTTGAAGCATATCCAGGTTTTTCTTGATGTCTGAAGCTTGTTCTCTAGTAGATTCCTCAGAAATAATCTCATGGGAACAATCTTTCCTGAGTTCTTACATGTTCATAACAGTTTATCTATGGCCTTTGTACTGTATGGTCAGCTCAGCTGGATAAAAATGCATGGCTTACATTTTCTTGAATATTTTAAGCATGTCACCTCATTGTCTCCTGGCATAAAGTGTTTCCATTGAAAACTCTGATGAAAATCTCATTTTTTTTTTTTTCTGAGACGGTGTCTTGCTCTGTCGCCCAGGCTGGAGTGCAGTGGTGTGATCTCAGCTCACTGAAACTTCGGCCTCCTGGGTTCAAGCAATTCTCCTGCCTCAGCCTCCTGAGTAGCTGGGATTACAGGTGCCCCCAACAATACCCAGCTAATTTTTTGTATTTTTAGTAGAGACGGGTTTTTACCACGTTGGCCAGGCTGGTCTCGAACTCCTGACCTCAAGTGATCTGCCCACCTTGGCCTCCCAAAGTGCTGGGATTACAGGTGTGAGCCACCATGCCTCGCCTCTTTTCTTTTTTTTTAAGTTCTTGCCCAAAGGTCAAAAAGTTCAGTAATTTTTTTTCCTGTGATTAAGAGCAATGGAGAGAAGTTCAATACTTTTATTAGTATATGTCTCAGCATTGATCATTCTGGGCTAATTTTATCAGCTATGAGATATGCCTTTTCAATGTACCTTCTTATATTGCAGGAATGTTTTCTTGAATTACAGTTCTTAGCATCTGCTTTGTTTTATTGCTTTGACTTTCTTTTTCAAGTTCTCCTGTTACATGCATTCTGAATCATGTTTCATGTTTGCCTGCCCTCTATATCTACCATTTCTCTCAAACCTTTTCTTATTTCTCCTTTAATTTTCATTTGATTCCTTTTTTTTTTTTTTTTTTTTTTGAGACAGAGTCTTGCTCTGTCACCCAGGCTGGAGTGCAGTGGTGTGATCTCGGCTCAATGCAACCTCTGCCTCCTGGGTTCAGGTGATTCTCCTGCCTCAGCCTCCCGAGCAGCTGAGACTACAGGCATGCACCACCACGCCCAGCTAATTTTTTTGTATTTTTAGTAGAGACGGAGTTTCACTGTGTTGGCCAGGCTGGTCTGGAACTCCTGGCCTCAAGTGATCCGCCAGCCTTGGCCTCCCAAAGTGCTGGGATTACAGACGTGAGCCACCGGCGTGGGCCTTGTTTCCTTTCTTTTTTCTCCTTTCCATCCTCTATTTACTGTAATTTTTAGTGCTATTTATTATTCTCTCTTTTGTTCCTTCCAGTTTAGTCTTTATTTCTGAAACATTTTTCTGTTATTTCTAATTCTTTTCTAAGCTCTGTTTTCTCTTTATGTCTTCTTATTGCCTACCCATTCTATTTCTGAGTGAGCTTTAAACTGTTAAATTTGTATCACTCTTTCATAGCTTCTATTATTTTCTTAATTTCTTTTGTTCATTTAAAAATCTTACATTACAGGCCGGGTGCAGAGGCTTACGCCTGTAATCCCAGCACTTCGGGAGGCCAAGGCGGGGTGACTGCTGGAGGCCAGGAGTTTGAGACCAGCCTGGACAACATATTGTCCTGTCTGTACCAAAAATTTTTTAAAATCAGCCAGTCGTGGTGGTGCATGCCTGTGGTCCCAACTACTTAGGAAGCTGAGGTGAGAGGATCCCTTGAGCCCTGGAGGCCAAGGCTGCCATGAGCTGTGATTGTGCCACTGCACTTCCAGCCTGAGTGACAGAGCAAGACTCTGCCTTTAAACAAAATTACATTACAGTCTTCTGCTTTGTGGCCATATTCTTCTGGTTGCTTCATTTCTGTAGGCATGTTATTATTGCTATCCTATTTTTTCTTACAATTTCTATGAGGTTTAACCAAAATATTTTTCTGTTGCTCATGTTTAAGTGAGATTGGTTTCCCTGTGCTTTCAGGAGAATGTTCCCGTACTGGAGTGGCGTTGGGCCAGGATAACTTCCCCAGCTTCATGGTGCTACAGATCCCTTTTCTGTTGTTACCTTGAAGTCTTAAGAAATATGTTTGATCAGGTGGCTCATGCCTGTAATCCCAGCACTTTGGGAGGCTGAGGTGGGCAGATCACCTGAGATCAGGAGTTCGAAACCAGTCTGGCCAACATGGTGAAACCCCGTCTCTATTAAAAATACAAAAATTAGCCAGGTGTGGTGGCACACACCTGTAATCCCAGCTACTCAGGAGGCTGAGGCAGGAGATTTGTTTGAACCCAGGAGACAGAGGTTGCAGTGAGCCAACATCACGCCACTACACTCCAGCCTGGGGCATGGAGCGAGACTCCGTCTCAAAAAAAAAAAAAAAAGAAATATATTTGCTCAGCGTAGCCACCTTGGCAATAGTCTTGGATATGTATCCCTCTTGTTCTGTTTCCAACAGGTACCTACACCTCCTTTTTTTTTTTTTTTTTTTTTTTGAGACAGTCTTGCGCTGTCGCCCAGGCTGTGGTGCAGTGGCACAATCTTGGCTTACTGCAAGCTCCACCTCCCGGGTTAACGCCATTCTCTTGCCTCAGCCTCCAGGGTAGCTGGGACGACAGGCGCCCGCCACCACGCCCAGCTAATTTTTTGTATTTTTAGTAGAGACGGGGTTTCACCGTGTTAGCCAGGATGGTCTCGATCTCCTGACCTCGTGATCCACCCGCCTCGGCCTCCCAAAGTGCTGGGATTACAGGCATGAGCCACCGCGCCCGGCCTCTACACCTTCTTTCTCCTTCATCTCCAGACTATCTGTCCGGGTCTATTTGTACACTATTCACTTAGATTTTCCTCAGTGAGTGAGGGCTTCAGGTTTCTCTCTAGAGATTTTCTGGAGCACCGAGGACCCAGGCTGCCCCGCTTCCCTCAAGCCTTCCAGCACTCCCATTGTACTCACCTGAAAACCAGAACCTGCATAGCTGCCTCCAGCTGTGACTGTTCTCAGTTTCACCAGCCAAGGTCTCCAATCTGAGTGGGCTCCTTCCTTTCGCAGGTGAATACTTGCTGGTGTTTTCTAAATTCAGCCTTCGGCTTCTCTGTGCCTCCTCCTTCACTGTTGATGATACTCCACAGGTCCTTCTGCAGCTTGGTTGCACCAGCTCATATTCTAAGGTTTGTGGGGGATATTTTGTCCCCTGGTTTATTGAAACAATCACTTGCATCTTTTTTTTTCCTTTTCTTTCCTTGTTACTTTGCTTGGTGGGTTCTATGCCACATGGATCTGTCTCCCCAGCAGCTGAAAGCTAAAATTGTTTCACTGACTAGAGTTACCTTACTTAAGAATAGCCTCCTTCTCAGGATTGCTCACATCTGATGACTGGTTGACATGGGAAGATAAGGGCCTGGGCTCCTCATCACATCTGGGGACAATTGTGAAGGGTCAGTCTACCCATGGGATCAAGTAAGGCCTTATTGGGACTTCAGTCACTGTCACACTTCCCCCTTTGCCCAGTCATGCTTTTCTCTTTCCCTCCACAGGTGTTGATACTGAGAGTACGCCCTAATAAACTTTCACCACGCTGATCTGTTTCAGAGTCTGCTTCCAAGGAACTCAACTGGTGGCACTCTTCTTTTTTCCTTTTTTTATTTAGAATCTCATCCCCACAACAATTTTCTTTAAAGATCTCAGTTGGCTTTATTTGTCATTCTAGAATCAGGTAACACTTCATTTTATAAAATAGAAAAAGTCTCTCCGGTACTCAGTTTCCATGAGGGGACATGGAGGGATATAAGCAACTCCCCTATTCTCTCCAGCGTACTCTGGCCTTTCGCTCTAGAATAAGGTGTGTGTGCTCTTGCCTAGAGACGGGAGGAAAACATGTAACTTCAGGTCACCCCCTGCTAGAAAGACCCCCAGACAACTTTGTTTAGAACCCATCTCAGTGCTTTTGTTTGTTTGTTTGTTTTTAAAGAATAAGCTGGTCAGGTGCGGTGGCTCATGCCTGTAATCCCAGCACTTTGGGAGGCTGAGGTGGGAGGATCACTTGAGACCAGGAGTTTGAGACCGGCCTGGGTAACATAGTGAGACTCTGTTTCTATGAAAAAAAAAAAAAATTAAATTAGCTGAGTGTGGTGGTGTACACCTGTAGTCCTGGCTGCTCAGGAGGCTGAGGCAGGAGGATTGCTTGAGCCCAAACATTCAAAATTGCAATGAGCTATGATGGCCCCACTCTATGCACCCTGGACAACAGAGCTAGACCCTTTCTCAAAAAGAAAAAGAAAAGAAAAAAGAACAAGCCTAGCTCATAGTGTACAGAACAAGGTAAGAGTGACAGGATTTCAAAACGTGCCTACAATTTCTGAGCGTGAGAAAGTAATCACAACCTCATCCCCATTTTTTTGGCAGCTGTTTGTGCCCACAGAATTTTTTTTTTTTTTAAGACGGAGTTTCGTTCTTGTTGCCCAGGCTGGAGTGCAAGGCCGTGATCTCGGCTCACCGCAACCTCCACCTCCCGGGTTCAAGCAATTCTCGTGCCTCAGCCTCCTAAGCAGCTGGGATTACAGGCGCGTGCCACCACACCCGGCTAATTTTGTATTTTTAGTAGAGACGAGGTTTCTCCATGTTGGTCAGGCTGGTCTCAAACTCCCAACCTCAGGTGATCCACCCGCCTCAGCCTCCCAAAGTGCTGGGATTATAGGTGTGAGCCACCACGCCCAGCCTATGCGCACAGGTTCTTAGCTGCATTTCAGGCACCCATCTCGCGTCAGACCCCACTGCCACAGAAGCAAAAGCAGCTCTGGGTCTTAGGACTTCTTGGACAATTAAACATTCTTTCCTTCAATCAGAGGACAAGAGCAGTGTGAGTGCTTGGCAATGGCTTTGATAGGGAAAAGGAGGAAACACCCTTTTGATCAGCCTCAGTCTCTGGGTGAAAGGTGAAATTTCAATTTCCATCCTATGTGGAATATAAAATCAAAGTAGTCTTGTTTATAGAGAGGACACGTGGCAAACCCTGGAAAAGTTTCTATTATATGAAGCTTTTATTCCCCTTGTCAAATCCTCTGTTCCATTTTTACACAAAACAGTTTTGAGGGATGGTGATGGTCCCTGCATTGTTTTTGTCTTTGATAGCAATGCCTTTAATATTTAGCCAGTTAATACGTTTTTTTCTTAGTGTCTGAAAACAAAACCACACACAAAACTCTTTATCATGATTAGGAAATGTTCTTTTTCTCCTGTTTTACTTAGTGTTTTTACTAGAAATGGTTCTGGAATTTTCACTACTGCTGTAAAATATAATTGTGTGGTTTTCATTTTTTTTTTTTTTTTTTTTTTTGAGACAGGGCCTGGCTCTGTCACCCAGGCTGGAGTATAATGGCACAATCTCAGCTCACTGCAGCCTCTGCCTCCTGGGCTCAAGTCATCCTCCCATCTCCGCCTCCCAATTAGCTGGGACTACAGGTGTATACCACCACGCCTGACTAATTTTTGTATTTTTTGTAGAGATGGATTTTCATCATGTTGCCCAGGCTGGTCTTGAACTCCTGGGCTCAGGAACTCCTCCCACCTCGGTTTCCCAAAGTGCTGGGATTAGAGGCGTGACCCACTGCACCCGGCCTGTGGTTTTCAATTTTATTTTATGGATGTGATTAATTAGATTGTTGGGTTTCCTAATGTTGAACTATTCCCAAGGGCTTCAAATAAATTCTATTTTCAGGTTTATTCTTAGGTGCTTAATAGTTTTTGTTGCTATGGTGAATGGGATCTTACTTTCGATTACATTTTCTAATTGGTTATTGCTGTTATATAGGAAAGCTATTGATTTTGTACATTGATCTTGTATGTGGTCACCTTGCTGAATCCTCTTATTAGTTCTAATGGTTTGTCAATTGATTTTTTTAGGTTTTTCTATATAAGCGATAGTGTCATCTGCAAATAATCACAATTTGCCTCTTCTTTTCTAATGTTTATGCTTCTTAGTGCCTTCTTTCTCTTCTTGAATTAGAGAGAACATCTGGTACCATTCTGAACAGTAGTGGTAAAGGACATTCTCATCTTACTTCTAACTCCAGTTGGAAAGCTTCTATTGTTTCACCATTACCTATGGCATTTGCTGTAGGTTTTTTATCATTGTTTTATTAAAAACAAAACATGTATCAATTAAGCATTTTTCCCTAGTTTGCTAGGATATTTTTTCTTCTTTTATATTATTAATGTGCATTTAATTTATTCAGATAATTGGGTTTTTTATGTTTACATCATTAATAAGTATATATATTCTAATGCTGAACCATCTTAGCAAAGCTGGGATAAATCCTCCTTAGACTTCATGAATTGTTCTTTTTTTTTTTTAGACAGAGTCTCGCTTTGTCACCCAGGTTGGAGTGCAGTGGTGCGATCTTGGCTCACTGCAACCTCTGCCTCCTGGGTTTGAGTGATTCTTCCGCCTTAGCCTCCTGAGTAGCTGCGATTACAGGCACACACCACCATGCCTGGCCAATTTTTGTATTTTTAGTAGAGATGAGTTTTCACCATGTTGGCCAGGCTGGTCTCAAATTCCTGACCTCAAGTGATCCACCTGCCTCGGCCCTCCAAAGTGCTGGGATTACAGAAATGAGCCATCGCACCTGGCTAAATTGTTCTTTTAATATACTGTTATATTTAATTTGTTGTTGTTGATTTTTGGTACAGGGTCTTGCTCTGTCACCCAGGCTGAGTGCAGTGGCACAATCACAGTGCACTGCAGCCTCCAATTCGTAGGCTGAAGTGATCCTCCTGCTTCAGCCTCCCAAGCAGCTGGGACTACAGATGTGTGCCATCGTACCAGGCTAAGTTTAAAAAAAAAGTTTTGTGGAGGTGGGCTCTTGCTATGTTGCCCAGGCTGGTCTCAAATGCCTGGCCTCAAGCAATCCTCCCTCCTCCCAAAGTGCTGGCCTTACAGGTATGAGCCACTGTGCCCAGCCATGCGAGATTTAATTTATTAACATTTTATTCAGGATTTTTGTTTTATTGTTCATAAATGAGATCTTTTTTTTTTCTGTTGTCTGGCTTTGGTTTCAGTATATACTAGTCAGTAAATTGTGTTGGGTGGCATTCCATCTTTTCTTACATTCTTTTCTTCTTTTTTTTTTTTCGACAGGGTCTTACTTTGTTGCCCTTGAGTGCAGTGTCCATGTCCTGGGCTCAGGCAATCCTCCTGCCTCAGGCTTCTGAGTAGCTAGGACTACAGGTGCATATCACCATGCCTGGCTAATTTTTACTTTTTTTTTTTTTGTAGAGACAGGGTCTTGCCTTGTTGCCCAGGTTGGTCTTGAACCCCTGGCCTCAAGTGATTCTCCTGCCTCGGCCTCCCAAAGTGCTGGCAATCCATGTGTGAGCCACTGTGCCCAGCCCTTACTTTCTTAAATAATTTACATAAGATGAGAATTACATATTCTTCAAAGGCTCTCTTGATAGGCTCTGGTATTTATATTACGCTATTTTCATAAGTTGAGAACAATTTTAACTAATATGCTCTAGAGCTGGGGTCCCCAACCCTCAGGCCATGGACTGGTACCAGCACTTTGGTAGGCCGAGGCGGGCAGATCACTTGAGGTCAGGAGTTCGAGACCAGCCTGGCCAACACGGTGAAACTCCGTCTCTACTAAAAATACAAAAATTAGCTGGGTGTGGTGGCAGGTGTCTATAATCCCAGCTACTCGGGAGGCTGAGGCAGAAGAATTTCTTGAACCTGAGGTTGCAGTGAACCGAGATCGCGCCACTGGTCTCCAGCCTGGGCAATGAGCGAGACTCCATCTCAAATAAAATAAAATAAATAAATAAAATAAAGTTGACGTGAATTAACAATAATCTGTTACTTGAAGGTCAAATAGAACTCACCTACTTATAATTTTCAGCCTGTTACCTTTCAAAATTGTAGCTCATTCTTGTTTTTCTATGGTTATTGCTCTATCTGGTTCTCCAACTCTTTTTGGAACAATTTTGGCTACTTGTACTTCCTAGAAAATATAACTAAGAACTATGACTTGTAGCTGACACAGGAATTGGTATCAGAAAGGCATGGATTTGGTATTTAGGTTTGGGCAGTAAAAATCTAGCTGAACTTAAAGATAGCCCTTGGCTTGCAGAGAATAGATTATCACCTGCAATTGATTATTAACTGAATGACAGATTCCTTGAAGGCAAAACTTTGGGGGAACCAAGCAATTTTTCTCAGAATTTGATGGGGGGTGGGGGCAGAGGGAATTTGTGAACTGTGCAGTGAAGAGAGGTTTCTTTTAACTATTCTGGTCAGACTGAAAAAAAAAAAAAAGAGCTCAATACCCTAAAATTTGGCTCAAGATAAGTCTCAGATCATTGACTTTCTATGTGTATGATAAAAATAATTTATCTCTTGCAGTCATGGAGCTGATTATAGCTGGAATTGAAATTCAAAATGTGATACCAATAATTGCTGTAGCACAATATGAGTGAAATTCACACACTTCCAGGTCTCTCATGTGAATGCTGGGGGCACTGATCAGAAAAGAAGGCATTTAGATAACTCAGGCCATCCCAGATTCTACCCTCTTGAGCCTCTCTCTTGCCAGCAGAAATGGCTCCTCTTCCCCTGATGTGGCTAATGGATGACTTCTTAAAATCACTGTCAGCAGGAGGAAATAGAGGTGATAGTTCTGACACCTTCCGGTAAATCAAGAACGCACTAGGGTCAAAGCAACTTAGATTCACTGAGATAAAGTACAGTGGACCCTTGAACACACGGGTTTGAACTGTGCGTGTCCACTTATGCACGGGTTCTGCAGGGCCAACTGCAGGACTTGAGTATGCATGGATTTGGGTATACATGGGGGTCCTGGAGACAATCCCCCAGGTACACTGAAGAACAAACTGCAAATCCCATGAAAACACATCTCAGTGATGTTTCTGGAGGTCTAGTGTTATAGGATATGTCACAATGTTCCCCCATGAGAACAAGTTGCTTCACCTTACAAAACCCAAACATAAAAAGAGAAATACTACTATATACATAGTATTATGTAATACTAATACTATGAACCTGAGGTTGAAGTGAACCGAGATCGCGCCACTGGTCTCCAGCCTGGGCAATGAGCGAGACTCCATCTAAAATAAAATAAAATAAAATAAAATAAAATAAAATAAAATAAAATAAAATAAAATAAATAAATAAAATAAAGTTGACTCGAATTAACAATAATCTGTTACTTGAAGGTCAAATAGAACTCACCTATTTATAATTTTCAGCCTGTTACCTTTCAAAATTGTAGCTCATTCTTGTTTTTCTATGGTTATTGCTCTATCTGGTTCTCCAACTCTTTTTGGAACAATTTTGGCTACTTGTACTTCCTAGAAAATATAACTAAGAACTAAATACTAAAGCAGGCGGATCGCTTGAGCCCAGGAGTTCGAGACCAGCCTGGGCAACATGGTGAATCCAATATCTAAAAAAAGTTAGCCATGGGTGGTGGTGCGTGCCTGTAGTCCCAGCTACTCAAGAGGCTGAGGTGGGAGGATCACCTGAGCCCAGGGAGTTGGAGGATGCAATGAGCCAAGATCATGCCACTGCACTCCAGCCTGGGCAACAGATACCCTGTCTCAGAAAAAAAAAAAAAGAAAGAAGGAAGGAAGGAAGAAAGGGAGGGAGGGAGGGAAGGAAGGGAGGAAAGGAGAGACAATTCCACAATCATGTTGGAGACTTTAACCCCCCTCAGCAACTGATAGAACAATAGACAAAAAAAAAAAAACAACCAATAGAGACATAGATGATATGAATAATATTATCAATCATTTTGACCTCATTAACATTTACAGAACCCTACACCAAACAATTGCAAAATACCAAGATACACATTCTGGTTTTTTTTTTTTTGAGACGAAGTCTCGCTCTGTTGCCCAGGCTGGAGTGCAGTGGTGCAATCTTGGCTCACTGCAGCCTCTGCCTCCTGGGTTCAAGCGATTCTCCTGCCTCAGCCTCCTGCGTAGCTGAGATTAGAGGCATGCGCCACCACACCTGACTAATTTTTGTATTTTTAGTAGAGACGGGTTTTCACCATGTTGGCCAGGCTGGTCTTGAACTCCTGACCTCAAGGCCCACCTTGACCTCCCAAAGTGCTGGGATTACAGGCGTGAGCCACTGTGCCTGGCTGATACACCTTCAAGTACACTTGGTATATTCACTAATGAACCATATGCTGGATCATAAAACAAGTTTCCATAAATTTAAAAGGATTGAATCAGGCTGGGTATAGTGGCTCATACCTGTAATCCTGGCACTTTGGGAGGCTGAGGCAGGAGGATTGCTTGAGGGCAGAAGTTTGAGACCAGCCTGAGTAACATAACGAGATCTTATCTCTACGAAAAATGTTTTTTAAAAATTAGCTTGGCATGATGGTGTGCACCTGTAGTCGTAGCTACTCAGGAGGCTGAGGTGGGAGGATCACTTGAGCCTAGGAGTTCAAGGTTGCAGTGAGCTATGATCTTGCCTCTGCACTCCAGTCTGGACTGTCAGAGTGAGACCCTGCTCTAAATAAAAATAAAATAAACAAAGAAGAAGGCACACGGAAAATTAGAATGATAATGAAAATGTAACAATTTGCAAGGTACAGCTACAGAAGTGATTAGAGTGAAATTTATAGCTTTAAATATTAATAATGGAAAGGAAGGAAGGTCTCAAACATATCTCTTACATTTAATAATGGATTGTTGACTTACACCCCCAACTTCATGGTTCAGTGAATTGGATAATTCTCAGTTCATGCTGGGCAGTTCCAGTTAGTGTCTCATGGTCAGGCATTCAGTTTCTACAAGAGCCCAACTGTAAGCCAGAGACTGCCTGTTTGTTGTTGTTGAGACAGGGTCTTGCTCTGTTAACCAGACTGGAGTACAGTGGAGTGATCATAGCTCACTGCAACCTCAAACTCCTGGGCTCAAGTAATTCTCCTGCTTCAGCCTCTTGAGCAGCTGGGACTACAGGCACATGCCACCACACCTGGCTAATTTTTCTTTTTCTAAAGTAAAGACAGGTCTCACTATATTGGCCAGGCTGGTCTTGAACTCCTGGACTCAAGCAATCCTCCTGCCTTTGCATCCCAAAGTGCTAGGATTATAGGCATGAGCCACTGCACCAGGTAAGAGAAACTGCTTTTTAAGCAGTGGTAGTTGTTTATAGGTGAGATTATAGCCTTCAGAACTCTGGGTGGCTGTGCTGTGATTCTGCTATTAGGATTGCCAGAGACTATACATGAGATCTTTGTCACCAGATACTTCCAATATCATTGGGTCTGTTGGATAATCAGTCCCAAATGGCAGCATATCTTGCACGGTGACCTGGATGTCACACAGAACCCCTTCTTGAGCCAGGCCCCTCTCAAAACTGATAGGTTACCTTGTAAATGAGTCAGAGCATGATCAAATATTGTTCATATGCCTCCAAATCCAAAGAGGACCACCAACTTTTGTAATTCTGTCTTCAAGGTGGGTGGAGCAAGGTGCAGCACTTTATCTCTTACTTTAATTTTTATTTACTTAGTTTAGTTTGGAAAGCAAAATAATTGACTTGCAAAAAAAAGTCTGTAAGAAAGTCCAGACTTTAGAAGGACTGGTTAACCAAATAATAAATACAACATAAAAAAGATAAGCAAACTTACCAATTTGTTCATGGCGGAAAAACAGCAATTCTCTCTCAAAATTATGAGAGTTCTGTTGGAGATCAGCATTGCAAAAATCGGGAATAAAGTTGTCTTTGCTACAGCATCAGTAGTAAGGTACTGGAAAGAATTAAGCTTTCATTTATTTTGGGTTTAGAACTATTCAGTGTGGCCCTGTTTTTGTATTGTTTTGTTTATCTCCAGGAACAAAGTGCTTGTTTTTTTTTTTTTCACTTCTTCCCTGATTGAGGGATGTGATTTGCAAGTCTACTCAAAATACAGGCAGAGAAAGATGTCAGTCTTGCTCCAGTCCCTCTTTGGGGTCTATTACCATTCATAAGCACAGATTTGCCCATCTAAGTTTGTTTAGTGATTTCTGATTTGATCAGATGTTTTGTTGCTGTCATTGTTTTGAGACGGTGTCTTGCTCTGTCACCCAGGCTGGAGTTCAATGGCACCATAACGGCTCACTGCAGCCTCAACCTTCTGGGCTGAGGTGATCCTCCCACCTCAGCATCCCAGGTAGCTGGGACAACAGGTGTGCGCCACCACACTCAGCTAATTTTTGTATTTTTTGTAGAAATGAGATTTCGCCATGTTGCCTAGACTGGTCTTGAACTCCTGGGCTCAAGCGATTCACCCACCTTGGCCTCCCAAAGTATTGGGATTACAGGCATGAGCCACCACACCTAGCCTGATTTTTGTTTTATTTGTCAAGTTTTATTCACATAGGTGTAATGGAAGGTATTAATTTATTCACAGAGACCTCCTTGTTGTTTGGTCAACAAAACACTAAATTTTAAGATTTAACTTCTGTTAACCCTAGGGTTGTAACTTACCTTTATATAGTCAAATTTATCAATTATTTCCTATATGCTTAATACTTGCTTCCTTTTTATTGAGGTATAACTTTCATACAATAAAAGGCACATTCTTAAAGGTGCCAGCTCAATGATGTTTACATAGGAATGTATGTAACCATATACCATCACCCAGATCAAGATGTAGAACATTCCCAACACTCCAAGAGGCTCATGCCTTCTCCCCCTTGGTGCCCCTCCCACTGTTTTGATCTCTATCATGATAGATCAGTTTTGTCTAGTTTTGAACTTCATATGAATGGAATTATACATTATGTATTCATTTGTGCCTTTCTTCTTTCATACAACATTTTGTCAGTGAGATGCATTCATATCCTTGCATGTAGCAGTATTTTTTTCTTTCTCATTGCTTGTGGTATTCCATTGTATGACTATACTATAATTTATTTGTACTTTTGAGAGACTTTTGAATTGTTTCCAGTTTGGGACTATGATGAATAACAGTGTTATGATCATTTCTGTATATGTCTTTCTGTGAACATAAGCACTTATTTCTCTTAGGAATATACCTAGGAGTAGAACTGCTGTGACATCAGGGATATGGATGTTTGACTTTAGTAGATAGTGTCAATGTTTCTATGTGGTTGTAATAATTTTATTTCCACCAGTAATGTATGAGAGTTCTGTTGCTTCACATCCTCACCAACACTTGGTATTGTCAGTCTTTTCACTTTTAGCTATTCTTGTGAGGAAAATATAAACTACTAATATTGAAATCAAGAAGAGATAGACTAATAAGTGTTTAAAATAATCCTTAAAGACTCCCTTTGCCCCCAAACAAAAAAAGGCCTGAGGGTTTTTAGGTCATTTCTACTAAACTAAAATGTATGTGTGTGTGTGTTGCGCATTGTTCAAAGGGTAGAAAAAGAATGAAGGTTCCTGACTCATTTTAGAAGACAAGCATAATTCTGATTCCAAAATCACATCAGGATAGTTAAAAGAAAAGAAAATTATAGGCCCATTTCAGTTATAAATTGATTTTTTAAAAATCCTAAATAAACTATTAGCTAGCTAAGCCCAAAAGTATACCTTCTTTACATATGTATTATGATCAGATGGATTTCATTCCATAAATGTAACATCACAAAATCTGTTAATACACTTCAGTAGTAGACTAAAGGAGATAATTCTTATAAATATATCAATTGATATCAATTGATGAAAAGCATTTTTTTTTTTTTGCTAAAGATGATCACCTTAAGGAATAAATAACTCTTAGAAAACTAAGAAGAATGTTCCTTAATTTGGGAAAGAGTATATACAAACAACCTGGAGCAAATGTTATGTTTAATAGAAAAAATTTAAATGCGCCCCCCTTAAGATCTGGAAAAAGACAAGGATGCCCACGACCACACCTGCTGTTTAACCAATTACTGGAGGTACTGGAAAATGCTAAAAGAAAAAGAAATAAGGGGTATAAATTGAAAGGAGGGGATAAACTTGTCATTATTTGCAGATAACATGGTCATCTTTCTCTAAATATCTGGAATCCATTGCCACTGCTACAACCTTAGTTCAGTTTCCCAACACCTCTAACCTAGATAGTCACAACTGCCCTCTAGTCTCCTAAACTCTGGCCTGGTCCACCTTCCACAGCGCACAGTCTGCCTGTCTTTCCTTCTTCCTTTCCTTCTTCCCTTCATTCCTTCCTTTTATTATAGAAGAGGTACACATTCATTATAGAAAGTATAGAAAATATAAATTGCCAGATAAAAACAAGTGATGGAATCATTTCAGTTTAGTCCTTTCCAGAATTTTTTCTATGTATATACACATTTATAAAAAAAAGAGAGACCACTAACTTTCCCTGACCAGATTATGGAAAGCAGTTCTCCATCCCATCGCTCTATTTCATTTCCTTCCTAGCTCTTGTTACCATCAAAACTTACATTATCAATTTTATTGTCTATTTCCTTAGTGTTTCTCCTTCTCCACTAAATATAAGCTCCACCAGTAGCTATTTGTATCTCGTTCACCCACTGCATGCCCAGAGTCTAGAATAGTGCCTGGCACATACATTCCTTTATGTACTGTGATCCCTGTCTTCACAGAAATGAGTCTATTAGAGATATATATTAAACAAGTAATTACACAATTAATTAACTACAACTAGGGTCAAGTGTTTCAGGCAGCCAATTGCTCTCTCCCTTTCTGGCTCCAAGGACCATTTCCTTACCCTGTGGACAATTTCTGCTGTAAGACTGTGACTTCCTCCGGCAACTGTTTGGAGCTCAGTGGATCCATCCAGGAATCAGACCCAGGAACAGGTTTGTACCTCCAGGCCTAGTTCTCCAAAGTTTTGGGGACTAGTCAGGCTTGTGGCTACAGCTGTTGTATCCCCTTGTCTTCTCCAGGCCAGAACAGGCTACACCACTTATAGCTAACTTGCGCAAACTGTCTGCTCCTCTAGTCCCTGCTGGTATCTTTGGCAGGTCTCGACTTGGGGTCTGGCCTTCTTAATGCCTTAACAAGCCCCACCCTATCCCACAGGCTATGTGTCCTTCAAATTGACAGGCTGGTTTGCAGACTGCTGAAGCTGGGAGCTGCTTTCCTTGTCCCTTGTGCCCTTCCTCAGGACCTCCTGTCTCTCTCTTTCCAGGAAGATCCCCAGGTTTATTCCCTTGAGGGATACTTCTAAGCTGGTTCCTGCTTGGGGCTGTGTTTTGGGCTTCTTCGTAGCCCAAAGAGTGCAGCTAGCTCCTGTACTAGTGAAGTGCCACGAAGCTGGCCTCCAGGAAATCCCCACGAGGCCACAACCCACAGCTATCTCCATCAGAGGAGGTGCAAATGAGGGCCCACACCTTACTCCATTTTGGCAGCCGCCCTAGGAAGCTCTGCCTTTATTTCTTCATCTTCAAGCTTATCACAATTTGAAGTTTATCTCTTCACCTCCAAGCTTAGCACAGTGCCTAGTACATATTAGCACTTAATGAAGAGGGGGCAATTCAAATCATTAACTCATTTAATAAAAAAATAGTAAATGTCCCACGCACCGTGCTAATGTTTTACAAGGATTCTTGGTATTTCATTTACACAGGTGCCATTACAATTTCCATTCGGCAAATAAAGAAAAAGGTCCAGAGAAATTAAGTGACTTCCCAAAGTCACAAAGTTCTGGTATCTCTTCACTGCCTGAGACGCAACGGAGCATCGTAGAGGGAAAATGCCAGAAAGCAGGCAGTGCACCAATGAAAACAGGCTCGCGGGAGAACCAAAGGGTGGCAAGCTCAGCACGGCCAGTAGCTTTCACCCTCGGTTGCCAGTCGGCTTCGTTTCCTACAACACCGACCGGAAGTGTTTCTGTCGGCCGCGTTCCGAATGAGCACCGCCGGAAGTTTCTGCCGCGGCTTTGCGGGGACGGGGGAGTGGTAGTGGGGGCTGCAGCTGCCGGACCCAGGTGCGGAAGTGCGAGGGCCCAGGTGGCTGAAGGGGCCGTTAGGAACATCCAAGCGGTGGGGCACAGGCAGATCCCCGACCTGACCTGGACCACCCTTCTCCTCTTGGCCCGCCCCTTCAACTCGCCTCCGCTTAGGTCTGGATTGGCCCCGCCCCCTGACCTGAGCCTGGTCCTTCTTCAGGCACTGACCCTTGACCTCCGGTGGCTCCCCCATCTCTCAGGCGCGATGGCTACGGGCGCGGATGTACGGGACATTCTAGAACTCGGGGGTCCAGAAGGGGATGCAGCCTCTGGGACCATCAGCAAGAAGGACATTATCAACCCGGACAAGGTAGCAGGGGCACCTGAAAGCGTTGACTAGGGGAGGGTAGGGGAGTGAAGATGGGGAGGAGTGACAACGGGCAAGGGATGGGTGCTACACTTACAGTGAGTTGGGCGATAAAAGGGGTGACATAACAGGACAGGGAATATGTGTCATCCTTGATGGGAGGGAGGAGATGGGACATCGTGGGAGATGGTGGGACCAAGAGGGTATGACACCTCTAAGAGCTGAGAGGACCAGGCAAGTGTGATTTTTGCAAGATATTGTTGGGGAGAGATCAAGACATTGTAACAGTCTGAGAGTTGGTGGGATGGGGAGGGGACTGCTCTGATTTGGGCGTAGGATGGTGTTCCTGGGAGTGGGTTTCTGTGCCTTTACAGTGTGTCAGTTTGCCTGTCATTGACCCTGTAGGTGCTGCTTTGTTCAGGGATTGAGCTGGACTAAAGAATTTTCAGGAAAGGGTCTAGGTTGTGGTTCCTTTCTGTGGTTTCCTTCCTCAGAAAAAATCCAAGAAGTCCTCTGAGACACTGACTTTCAAGAGGCCCGAGGGCATGCACCGGGAAGTCTATGCCTTGCTCTACTCTGACAAGAAGCAAGTATTGGAGTCCCAAGTCCCCCAGGTTTTGGCCCCTGATTCACCTGCCATGCCCCTAACTCCTAGTTTTCTCTAACAATTTTCTCCTCCCCAGCAAGGGCTCCTGCTTGCTTAGCAGGATGCAGGAGGACCTGAAGTCTTTTGCTCCAGGACATGACTTTCTTGCTATAGGGTAGGGTAGATCAGCTCCCTGGGACAAAAAGCTCTTTAACACACCTTCTGATTCTAACCTCGCATCTCCCTAAACCTCCCTGCCAGGGATGCACCCCCACTGCTACCCAGTGACACTGGCCAGGGATACCGTACAGTGAAGGCCAAGTTGGGCTCCAAGAAGGTGCGGCCTTGGAAGTGGATGCCATTCACCAACCCGGCCCGCAAGGACGGAGCAATGTTCTTCCACTGGCGACGTGCAGCGGAGGAGGGCAAGGACTACCCCTTTGCCAGGTTCAATAAGGTAAGCTACCTTCATTCGGACACAGGCCAAGATTGCCCTCCCACTTTGAGCCATTTGTGCGAGCTCTCCAGTCTCCTAGGGTTGGTTCTGGGGGCACGCTTATGCCCAACTGTGATTACCCACTCAATCCTCGTGGCAAATGCATGCAGAGTAGGACTCTGTGGGTCTTTTCTGCCCAAGGGATCCTGTTCTTTCCCGGACCTGCTCTGGTTTTTCATGGCTTTTCTTGGTCTTTCAAATGTTGCTGTTCCTCAGAGCTGTATCCTAGGTGCTCTAGTCTTCTTGTTCTCTACTTTCTTAGTATGAACCCTGTGGCTTCAGTTACCCTCTCTACAAGTCACCAATCCAGAGCAGTGCTTCCTTCGCATCCAGTCATTTACTAATATCTCTTTCTCAATGCCCCACAGGTACCTTACATCAGGTAGGTACCCTGAACAGAGCTCATCATCTTCCCTCTGTCAGTCCCAAATCTGTTCCCCATCTCAGTGAATGGCACTATCTTCCACCCAGTTGCCCAAACCAGAAACTTGGGGGATCGTCCTTGACTTAGTCTTCTCCCTTAGTCCTCACAGTATTTAAATCAACAACAGAACAAAGAAGGTAGGGGAAAACAAACAACAAACATGTAAGGAAATAAATTGGAGTCTTTCAAATAAGAGCCGTCAGTAACACGAAACCAGGATTTGAATGGATATGAAATGAGATAAAGAGTGAACTTGTAGGTGTAGGGGAGTCCTACCTTAGGTTGGTCAGGGAGGGTCTGAGAACGTGGCATTTGAGCTGGATGCCAGTGATACATCTATTTATTGAGTCCTGTTGATTCTTTTTCCATAATAAATCACATCTCTGACTATATTCTTCATCACTATGCCAGCCCCCTAGTCCAAGCTGAGTTACCTGTGTAGCTCAGCACAGCACGGCCTTCCCAGACTCACCCATTCAGTGAGAGGCAGAGCTAGATTGGGCTAGGTTTCCTAGTCCATTACTTAAGTCATTGTACAGTGTGGCCTCACAGCTGCTGCGGCCTGGAATAGCCTAGACTTAGATCCTAAAAGCCTCATTTACCTCTTCTCTAACCAATCTTTGTCCCTGGGCTGGAGTGTCACTTGTTATACCCTATGTATCAAACTTCCCACACGGTACCAAAATTGTTTTTTCAGCTGCAGTATGAGCTTTGAGAGGCTAGGATCCCTGCCTGTCATATGCAGCACTGTGTCTCCAGCATAGGTATTGCAGCCCCATGGTAAATATTTGTTGAATGAATGAAAAAATGTCTTCCTCACTTGACTATGAGCTACT
This sequence comes from Homo sapiens, assembly GCF_000001405.40. Classification (NCBI taxonomy): domain Eukaryota; kingdom Metazoa; phylum Chordata; class Mammalia; order Primates; family Hominidae; genus Homo; species Homo sapiens. The sequence goes on from NC_000001.11 coordinate 44,216,198, forward strand.
TGAGAGGACTGGCTGCACAGTTCCTGAGGATTTTTTTTTTTTCCTTCTTTGAGACAGGGTCTCTTTCTGTCTGCCAGGCTGGAGTGCAGTGGTGTGATCTCAGCTCATTGCATCCTCCACCTCTAGGGCTCAAGCGATCCTCCCACCTCACCCTCCTGAGTAGCTGGGACCACCGGCATGCACCAACATGCCTGGCTAATTTTTGTGTTTTTTTAAGAGACTGGGTTTCACCATGTTTCCCAGGCTGGTCTCAAACTCTTAGGCTCAAGTGATCTGCCCACCTCAGCCTCCCAAAGTATTGGGATTACAGGCGTGAGCCACCGCACATGGCCCTGAGTTGTTGGTTTGTTTGTTTTTTAGTTAAATTGAATTAAAATGCATAGGAGAAATATGTAACCAAACCTGGGAAACCAGAGAGACTTCCCAGAGGAGATGATGCCTGAGAGCTCGAAAGGTTGAGAAAGTTACCTAGGTAGAAGGAATGTGGAAGTGGAAGGCATTTCAGGCAAGAGCAGAGGTCAAGGGGGAAGTCTGCTATGTTCTAGAAACTGCTAGTCATTTGGCTGCAGTTTAGGGTTCATGAGGGACAGTGGCTGCAGGAGGAGGCCAGGTCATTTATTTGTATGTTCATTAATTGATTTGGTAGACACTGATACATACAGTGTGCTGAGTCCTAAAGGTGCGAGATGAACTGGACAACCCTTGCTCTTCAGGAGTTTGTGAATTATCTAGAAGATGCTTTATCTTAGATGGAGAGCTTCTGAGGAGTTTAATAAGGGATAGTTGGGGGTAATGATAAGATATATATTCTAGAACACTAGGACAGTGTGTCTCAAATCATCTGTGGTGAAGGACATTTTTCTATTTTATTTCTAAACCATCAGAGACTGATAAAGATAATAAAATTATAAAGACAAAATACAAGTCCATGTTTCTTCATATTAGATTCAACAGCATACAATTGCTGTAAAATTGTTACGTAAGTTTTTCAGTGTGTACTCTCAGTTTCCATTCTCATCATAGACCAGGGGTAAGTGTAAACAGCACTGGTTTGCAGACTATCCTTTAAGTAGCACTGTTCAAAGAGATCACGTCTTAGCTGCAGATGGAGAATTGATTGGAAGCGGATTGAATGTGGGCAGAGATCAGTAGCGAGGCTATTTCTCTGATCCAGGCATGTGACAGTGGGTAGGCCGACGGAGAAGTGGCAATGGAGACAGAAATTTTGGAGGTAAAAGCCACAGATTTGGTGAAGGGGAGGAGTCAAGGGGAAAGATAGGAATTAAGATGCCTCCCAGGTTTCTGGCTTGAGCAGCTGGGTTGGGTGATGGTGATATTGACTGAAATCTGGACTGGAGAAGATAATGTTTGAGAGAGGGCCATGAGTTCAGTACTGAGCTAAGTTTGAGGTTCCTTGGGGCCTCCAGTAGGAGATGTCCAAAAGGCGACCAGTTTTGGAGCTGGTTGTGGTCTTTAACTGAGAAGAGAGACTTCCCTGATGTAGTCTAGCACTGACTCCTTCCTTGGGTCTCTGACAGACTCAGCTCGTGGTAGTGCTATTTGTCTCTGGGGGAGGTCTGTGGAAGAAGGGAGGAAGGGGCATTGGCAGGGCTGCGTATGTTGGTAGTAGGATTCAGGCCCAGCTTCTGTAGAGATGCCTGACCTTGGCAAACTCTGGGGGAGTGGCAAGTCCCACTGTGCCCACTGGGTGGCAGTAGTGCTTCAGATGAGTTGTATGGACTAGGGGTTGCTGGGCCTTTCTCCAGGTAATTAGCCATCTGTCCTACTCCAGAGTTGACCTTTGGACTCCACAGAAGCACTTACATGTGGGCCCCTCACCTTAACTATGGGGGCAGGAGTGTGTGTCCCATGACTGAGGCTCTGGAGCTGGAGACAGTGAAGTTGATCCTGGAATAAATCAGAGGCAGGCTACAGTCCCAAACCCTGCTAGGACCTCTAGTCAAGCAGACAAGTTCTTTCCTCACTCCATGCTGCAGGGGCACAGGCCCAGGGTCTGGCAACAAACAGGAGCAGCTGTGGTCACTGGGGCCTGGAGCCTGCTGGACATGACATCATGCGGGCATGCCCCTACTGTGTCCCTCTGTGCTAGTAGACTGTGCAGGTGCCTGTGTACTCGGAGCAGGAGTACCAGCTTTATCTCCACGATGATGCTTGGACTAAGGCAGAAACTGACCACCTCTTTGACCTCAGCCGCCGCTTTGACCTGCGTTTTGTTGTTATCCATGACCGGTATGACCACCAGCAGTTCAAGGTGAGCCATTGTGTATTTGCATGGGTGCCCAGCTTCTGGGTCTAGCAGGCCCTACTTTTATGCCATCTCTTCCACATGCCCCTGAATGTTCATTCCTCTACCCTGTCTTGCTCCTCAGAAGCGTTCTGTGGAAGACCTGAAGGAGCGGTACTACCACATCTGTGCTAAGCTTGCCAACGTGCGGGCTGTGCCAGGCACAGACCTTAAGATACCAGTATTTGATGCTGGGCACGAACGACGGCGGAAGGAACAGCTTGAGCGTCTCTACAACCGGACCCCAGAGCAGGTAAGCCCAAGGCCACATACCTGTCCTCCATGCCCCAAACCCCTTGCTCATTGTCTCCATCCTCCATCCCCTCAACTCCCACTCCCAGGTCCCCCTGCCTCCCACTGATACCTTATTAACTGCCCCAAGCCCATTCCTACTTCTCATGGGCCATCCCCCCTGCTTTTCATAGCCCTTCACCTCCCTCATGATCCATTACTTCTCAGATTCCCTCACAGACAGCCCAGCACCCTGTCACCTCCGTGTCTACCCTCACTCCTAGAAGTGCCCTCACACACTTCGCATCCCTCACTTTCCCAGGTGGCAGAGGAGGAGTACCTGCTACAGGAGCTGCGCAAGATTGAGGCCCGGAAGAAGGAGCGGGAGAAACGCAGCCAGGACCTGCAGAAGCTGATCACAGCGGCAGACACCACTGCAGAGCAGCGGCGCACGGAACGCAAGGCCCCCAAAAAGAAGCTACCCCAGAAAAAGGAGGCTGAGAAGCCGGTGCGGAGGTTCCGCCAGCCTAGCTCAGGGTGGAAGGGTCACCTGGCACAAGGCCTCACCCCGAGTGGAGGGTTCTGAGAGTACCCAGTGCTGATGGGGTGCTAGGACTAACCCTGGGCCCTCTCCCTGTGACACCTTGGTCTCCATAATGCCTTCTCCCCCAGGCTGTTCCTGAGACTGCAGGCATCAAGTTTCCAGACTTCAAGTCTGCAGGTGTCACGCTGCGGAGCCAACGGGTACGTGAGTCACCTCCTTTAGCAAGTTTGGGTCCTGGGCTCTGCTCTGGGCTCCATGTGTCCCAAACGCTGCAGGCAGGTGGGGATGGAGCAGTAGGAGAGATTGCTGCAGACAGAGGTGGCCTTGGCAGGATCTCAGTGATGTGGCCAGGCTAAGGTCATAGCAGCTTTCACTATATTCAGCTTCCTGGCTATTTCCTTTTCTGGCCCATAGTTAACCTCCATGTGTTACCGTCTCTCTTCCACCATCTTTCCCTCTGCCTTTTGTCCCCTTCATCCTAAGCCTCTTGTGGCTGGGACAGGCTTAGCTTGCCAGCTTTCATTGCAGATGAAGCTGCCAAGCTCTGTGGGACAGAAGAAGATCAAGGCCCTGGAACAGATGCTGCTGGAGCTTGGTGTGGGTGAGTGTGGGGACTGGGCCCCATAGGGTGTACCCACCCGAGGCTGTGGATATAGGTTGGGCAGGGGGAGGGGAGTTCACATTGCTGGCCCTCTACCACACCTGGGCTCTGCCCGTGCTGCCTGCCGCCTGCCTGCAGAGCTGAGCCCGACACCTACGGAGGAGCTGGTGCACATGTTCAATGAGCTGCGAAGCGACCTGGTGCTGCTCTACGAGCTCAAGCAGGCCTGTGCCAACTGCGAGTATGAGCTGCAGATGCTGCGGCACCGTCATGAGGCACTGGCCCGGGCTGGTGTGCTAGGGGGCCCTGCCACACCAGCATCAGGCCCAGGCCCGGCCTCTGCTGAGCCGGCAGTGACTGAACCCGGACTTGGTCCTGACCCCAAGGACACCATCATTGATGTGGTGGGCGCACCCCTCACGCCCAATTCGGTAAGAGTCTGGACAGGCTGGGAGGCACGCCTGGGCCCTGCGAGTGAGCACATGCACATGGGTGTAGGGGCTCCTCTCCCTCTAGTGCCTGCAGCAGGAACGATCATCACTTCTGTGCGAGTCTGAGACTGAGGGTAGGAGTGGGTTGACCAGTGGGCGTCCTTGTCCCTGAGCGTGTGAAGCACATGCACTAAGCCTGACTCAGGCCTTGGGGGGTCACTGACCTCAATGCCTTCTGTGTATCCTCAGAGAAAGCGACGGGAGTCGGCCTCCAGCTCATCTTCCGTGAAGAAAGCCAAGAAGCCGTGAGAGGCCCCACGGGGTGTGGGCGACGCTGTTATGTAAATAGAGCTGCTGAGTTGGACCAGGCTGCTTCCTTTTCCTTTCCTTCACTTCTGATGCCCCTAGTGGGAAGGGTGGGCAAGGAGGGGATTGTCACGGCCACTCCACAGCGTGGCAGATAGGTTTGCCTGTGTTCAGGCCCTTAGCAGCTCTCTGACCACTAACCACTACCAGTTTCACCCAAATTCCTGCACCTCAGAGCACCTGTGGTTTACACTCAAGATGGCTTTGCACACAGCTTGTACTGATAGTCGCCGCGCTTACACAGATGTGTGCATATTGAGTGAGGGTGTCACAGGTGCTGCAGTGACGGCCAGTCACACATGGATGGCTTTGTGCACAGAGGCAGTCTGGAGCATGCTCTACCTACCTTCACATCCTGACAGCTTTGGCGCAGCAGCAGCCTCACACACACAGATGGCTTTGCACACACACCCAGTGCCTCGTTTCCCCGACTTTATTCAGTGGCACGTTCACAGCGGGGATGGGGGTAGACACAAGGTGGGGCCTGATCTGTCCTGGAGCCCTGGGGGCACCACACACCATGCACTATGGATGGGAGGGGGCACAGGAGGGGCTTGGTGGCCCCACAGAAGCCTGTGTACCAGGGAGGAGGCGGTGAGTGCCTGGGTCCCCCTAGCCCAGGCCCGCAATGGGAGGGGCTGATACTGGGCTGAGATTGAGGGGTGGGGATGGGGGGCACAAAGTGTCTGCTCCAGAAGGGCCAAGTGGCCAAGCCCTTGCAAGGGCACAAGCCCACGCCAAGGGCATGAGCCCACAGGGCAGCTGGGGACACTCTGGACACAGAGCTATGCCACTCTCCCTCTTCCCCTCTGGTGAGGGAGAGGAGGATTCTGGGCTGGGCCAAACAGCTACCCTGTCCTGCCCCATCCTGTCCTCGGCCAATCAGAACGGCTTCGATGTCTGCTTGAAGATGAAGCCTCGATAGGCGAGTGTCTTCATGATGTTGGCAATGTTCTTGCAGTCGTCTAAAAAGGAGAGAAGACATTTAGATCAGCCCCAGATCCTTCCCCTCCATGCCCACAGGTGCTCTTACAAGGGTGGGGGTGGGAAGCAGGGTCAGATTCAGGAGACACAGGCTTTAGAGAGGGTGGTCCCATCCCCTGGTGGCAGCATTCCTAGCTTCAGGTTGGTCTGGGTGATGCTGGGCCGGCAGGAAGCCTGGTCTCGATGCTTCTCAGTTCCATAATTCATGCTGGAAATTGGCCGGCATGTCCCGCCCCAGCCCCAGCGGTGATGTATGGGCGCCGTCGCAGTAAGAAAAAGGCAGAGTAAATGTGTAATTTCTCCCTTGACGGCCCCCGGCCGCTGGGCGATCCTTCTTGTTGCTGCCGCGTGGGGACGGCCCGTCCGCCACACTCCGTCTTCCCGCCACCCGCCTTGATGTCTCCATTTCATTACTGTGCGACCATTCATCACACCCATGGCCAGGGTGACTTTGCCGGCACTTTCGTGTGTGTGGGAGATGTGACCCAGGCCATAATCACTAGTGACAAGGCACAAGGCTTGGCACTGCTGGGCCAGGGCCCTGGGAAACACACCTGCCCTGTGTCCTGGGCTTGTGTGCTCAAACAGCAGCTTGCCTGGGCACCTGTTCCTGTGGAGCTCCGACAGGATGGGGAGGGTCCAGATTTGTGGTCCTCCTCTTAGCCTTGGCCATCAGCCGTCTACCAAACCCTCCTGTATACATCGGCGGAAGCCCTGCTTCTGTCCCAGTAGGCTCAAAGTGGGTGCTAGTCACCTTTTTGGGCCCTGTTTCTGCCCATACCTCATGTGGAATGTGTCTGCATGTATCAGACTCTATCACAAACAGTTTCTCCAGTATTGGATGCTTTCAACTGTCCTAGAACCCTGGAGGCTGGAGGATCAGGCCTCTGGGGCCTCAGCGTCATGGACATGGGCCAGGATTTGTTTCACCACCACCACCACCAGCAGCAGGAGGTGCACCTGCCCAGAGCTTATTCCACTAGCAGAAGCCTAGGAGAGAAACAGCCTGAGTGCCTGAGTTTTTCTGTTCAGCTGCCCACAGCAGCCACCAAACTCATTATCCCCTCACCTGCCTCTTCTCCCACCTCCCTTAGATGCTCCTGGGCCATAACCAGGGCCTCAGCCACCACCAACCTTCATAGGATCGATGCTGTGATTGTAGAAATATTGTACATCAATGTCATAATCAAGTGTGGGGGGGTATTAAGGTCAAGGTGGGGTCAGGAAGCCTCTGCATGTCAAGGCCCACTTTTGCCAGGACCTTAGTCTAGGAAGGGGGACCCTCCAGCACTAGAAAAGGGCAGTAGGAGGGCACAGTCTCTGATCAGCCCAGGCCCTGTATCACTAGCCAGATCCTAGCTCTGCAGAGCCTGCTTTGGGCAGGCAAGTCAGACAGGGTCCTGTGTCGCAGAGATCAGCATGGACGCACCTGCAGTGGATGTGGGCACAGAGAGGTGACACCTTCCCCCAGGGACTCAGGAAGCCATACGGGCTGGTCTGAGGCAGAACAGTGGAAAGACAGATGGGTGGGTAGTGGCGACCATGGCAACTCCAGACGTGACCCATCCCCATGGTTTATGGGCCGGACACGCACCCCGCTCAGCTGAGGCCCCATCATTTGTCTCTCTTAGTGTGTGTGCCTATGCTTTGGGGGTAGTGGGTGGAGGAGGGAGGGGCTGTGCTAGGCAGTTGACAGGAAGGGGAATGGGACCGGAAGGGGCCTAAGAGGGGGAAGGGTTAGGATGGGGTCCATGGGCTGTGGTAGTGCCAACAGAGAGACTATGATAGGGTGATTTTCTTCCCAAATAAGTCTGGCCCTATCAGGGAACCTCCAATCCTTCCTGTCTCCGGTACCCTAGGGACCGTGGCCGCTGTGCATATTAAGAATAAGTCCCCTCGTTATCTGCAATTACCCAGCGGCCACACACCTCATTTCTTCCAGCAGAAAAGAAAATTAGTTTTCTATTGACTTCATCTGGCTCCTCCCTCATTGCTGGACAAATCGTTCAATTTGCTTCCCCTGGCCCAAGTGAATGTCCCAGCCCCAACCCCCAGGCCACCAGCCATCCAGTGGGCAAGCACTGTTCTCCCACCTGTGCCTGGCCCTGTGCTGGGAGAGGGTCCCCACGTCCCAGTCTCTGTCCTTGACCTCTCCCCACTCTACACACTGGATGGCTTCATCTAAATCGTGAGTTTCAGCTACCCGCTAAAGATCACCTCTCCAGCCTGGACAGCTCATAGGCTCTACACCACATATTCCTGAACATCTCTTTCTAGATAAACCCTAAACGTCCAATCACGAGCTAATTTTCTCTCCAAGCTGCTGCTTACCCCTCACCCTGCTATGTTCTCCATCCCAGTGAATGGCACCATAATCCACCCAAAATGCCCAAAGAAATCTGAGTCATGTTGCCACTTTGCCCTCTCCCTCACTCTCCAAATCTAATCAAGTATGAACTTACGCAGATTTTCTCTTCTTCTCTGCCTAATCATCTTGGATTACAACAGCTGTCCTCTTTCTCCCTCAAATTCATTCTCTTACAGCCAAACTGATCTTTCTTACATAAATCTGATCATGTTCTTCTTCCTTAAAGCCCTTCAGTGGCTCTCCTTGCCCTCAGTTTAAAGTCTACACCAGTAATATGTCTTAAAGGCTCCGCAAAAATTGATCCCTGCTATTTCTGGTCTCTGCCATGCTCAACCCTCAATCCCTGGACTCCAATCTCAAGGACCCACTCACTGTTTTCTGAAAATGACAAAGTGGGTTTTGGAGCCAGAAAGACATGTTTCCAATCTTAATTTCACCCACTGGCTGCATACCACACAGCAAGGGCTTAGCGTCTCTAATACTTAGGTTCCTCCACTAGGGTGATAATGGCCTTGCTGTTATTGTGAGGACCAAACAAGGTGTTGCACCCACATCTTTGCACATGCTGTTCTTTATGCTTGGAATGCCTCCTCTTTCTGAAGAAAAGGCAAGGAAGCTAGTTTTCTGGAGGACCTAGTGGTGAGAAAGTGTATACAATTGATAGCACAGATGACTGATAGGGGCCAGCAGACTTAGTGAAACCAATTGGCATTCACTCCAAATTCTGACTTCAGATCCTGTTTACTGGGTATTTCTGGGGTCTAACTTGTTGCAACTGGCCCACTACAATAAAGAGAGACCAGGGAAAGGAAGAAATTTGCTCCAGTTCACCTAACAAGTCAGTGGAATGGCAGTCATGGGCTTCTAGCTCCAGGCTCTTTTTCCAGCCCTTGAAGCCTTGACAAATATATATATATTTTGTTTTTTAAAGTCTATGGCCCTGCTAGAAAGTGAGGAAGCTTGGCAGAAGAAGCACTAGAGACAGATCTGGGGCTTTTAATAGGCCAAAAATTCAGAGAGAGAGAGCAGCAGGGTGTCTGGTGGCAACACAGTCTCTTGGAAAGTTTTCTGCTTGAAGCTCTGGGGGCCACCTGGGTTAGCAGGCTTGCCTTCCAGCACCTCTCATTGAGCTAAGGAGGCCAGCATGAAGCTGCTGTAGGGTGGGAGTGAGGTGGCAGGGAGCACAGCCTTGCACCCACAATAGAGGCCTCCAAGAGGCCTCTACCTCACCTTCAAATTCTAGAAGGCTAACCTTTGGTTTTGTTTCATTTTGTCTTGCTCTGTTGCCCAGGCTGGAGTGCAGTGGCGTGACCTCAGCTCACTGCAACCTCTGCCTCCAATTCTTGTACCTCGGCCTCCCAAAGGGCTGGGATTACAGGCATGAGCCACCATACCTGGTCAGGCTAACCTGTTTTTATGTTTCTGCAGGATCATCAATTTGTGACAAGATGACCCTCTCCTCTTCTTTTTTGGGGCATTAATATTCTCAGTGTTGGAAATATTTTTATATTGCCAAGACCATAATGTGAGGAGTGCAGCTGCATAAATCCCTGAGAGAAGATTAGTGGGGCTAGCACCTTACAAGGAAAGACAAGCTTGTTGGCTGGGCCCAAGGACAGTCAAATGTCTGCCTGACAATCTCCACACAGAAGGGTTGCTCAGATCACTTAGGACACCCAGAAAGAGCTCACAAAGGGCAAACAACCTAAGGCTGATATTCTCCATTAGCGGTACTTACCTGGGAACTGAGTGGCAGTGGACAGGAAGCAGGGCCTGGGCTAGGGAGACCCTCAGGAGGAAGGGGACCCAAGAAGTTAGAAGTCCATTCATTCATATACTCATTCATTCAGCAAACATGCGCTGACACCTTCTGTATGCTCAGTGATCTTGTACCATATGGCTTCTGAGGGATGTGCAAGACTCTGTAGCTCCCTGCCTTCAAGGAACTCAAAGACAGCCCTGTCAGGTGTGCAGTGCTATGAGAAAAGGACGCATGGAAAAGTTATCTAGTTCTGTTTGAGGATTAAATATTCCAAAGTTAAGCAGAGGTCTTAGGGGATGGGGGAGGGAGCTAGCCCACCTTGTTAGGGCTGGGGTGAGGAAGGTGTTCAATAAATAGTACAGGCACATTTATGGAGGTGAAATGTGGAGTGTCCAAATAAGTTTATCAGATGGGTGGGGGGATGAAGAATCAGAAGGGAGTGGCAACGAGATGAAGCTGGTGGTCAGTGACTGACTAAAGGGAATCCTGAAGAACCTAAATGCTAAACTAAGGAGCTTAAGATGTTAATATTCTGAGAATGATGGACATTGACATGTTTAAGGAGGGGAATGACAGTACCAGATCTTGTTTCAGAATTATGATCCTAGATGTGAGGACAGGATTGGAAGGATTAACCCTGAAGGCAGACAGATCAATTAGCAGATTGTACTATGGTCCAGACCAGAAATAATGGCCCAGAACAGGCCAGTGGCAGTGGAAATGGAGGAGAAGATCTATTGATGATGTGGGGGAAGTGGATGGAGGTAAGAGAATTTTTAGGAAATAGAACGAGCAGTCCTTAATGGGGGGATTAGGACAGCACAGGGGGAGCATCTAGGATCTCAGTGCCACTCACTGAGATAAGGCATACCAGGGAAGGTGCAAATTTGGATGAGTTAAGTCATATTCCTATGGGACATCTAAATTTGTCAGGCATTTCTTTATGGTTTCTAGGCTAATGTCTTGCTTCTCTATCTCAGCATTATTAAACACACACACACACACACACACACACACACACACACAAACTATCCTATGTTTTCTTCTAATACTTTCAGTTTTTTTAATATATTAACTTTTTAATCTGTCTGGAATTTATTTTTGTGTGTGGTAAGAAATAAAAACTCTAACTTTTTTCCCCCTAATAGCCAATTGTCCTACCACCATTGATTGAACTGTCAACACTTTCCCCACCCTTTTGAAACGACAGCTCTATCACATATACAATTCCCATACATGTGTCTGTTGGAGGCAGGAGTGAATGTATGTGAAATGATCAAAGAAGCCAATCAAACTGGGGGAACAGGAGGGACAGTAGGGTGGCAAGCTGCTGATCTTATGGGACTAAGAGGGAGTGTGGCCTAAAGGAACATGCAGACACATCCTGAGGTCTGCTGGAGTCTCCACAGGCCTCCTGCCTGCAGAATGCTTAGCTTGGTAACACACTTTATTACTGATCTTCAGGACATGGTGAGGAATGGGGCAAGAGTCCATGGAACAGGGACCAGAAGAGGTAGGGTAGGGTAGTTGGGAGGTAGGTGTGGAGAACAGTGCAAGGAGAAGGAACCATGCATGGTAAGGGTGACACAGCAGGATCCTTGGGTGTGTCCACGTTCTAGAACCTCAACTGTTGCCACATCTGTCTGTCCAGACATCCTGGCAGCAGTAATGCCCTGAGAGCAAAGTGCCAGTGCCTAGGCCTGCTTGACACAGGACTGCCAGATTAAATGCAGCCCCACCAGCTCCATACAGGACATACTTATACTATATTTTTTATACTAAAAATTATTTATCTGAAATTCAGATTTAACTAGTGTCCTGTATTATTTGTAACCCTGTATTATCTGGCAACTCTGTGATGGGGACCCAACAGCTGGGTGCAGTTTAAGGTTTAGCATCAAATGTTAGCTTAGAAGGAAGATGAGGGCCAAGGCAGTGAGTTTAGGACTGACACAGCAGATGGCCCCAGTATATCCTGCTTCTGGGTTTGAATCCAAACTCCACCACTTAATAACCATGTGAACTTGAGCAAGTTCCTGAATTTTATTTAACTTATCTTTGTTTTGGTTTCTTCTTCTCTAAAATGGGAATAATAATAATTATAGCAATAACTTCCCTCAAAGTGTTGTTAAAAAGATGAGTTATTTGTGAAGTGCTTAAAACAGTAGCTCGGTTAGTTATTATTTTTGTTATTCCAATAACATCTAAAAATAATGTTATTCCAACAATAAATTCCTGATATCCCCACCCCCCAGTTCCTTGTCTCAGACATGGCCTACACAGTCCCCTGCGCCCCCATTCACGGCCACCTTGGCCCACCCGACCCACTTCCTAGACACACACTCCCTTCTCCCCACAGCCATGGCTCCCATAGCTTCCTACCCCTCCCCCAGACAGGATCCTTACAGCCTCCACTCCAAAGTGACCCCTTCTTTCAGCCCCTCCCCTCAGCCCCCTCCACCCCACCGAGGTGCCTGGAGGTGCCACAGGCTGATGGTGAAGGATGACGATGGTTCCACAATAAGGGGAAAAGGCAATTTCATCTTGATTAGCAGGCGATTTCTCTCACCGTAATAAGCGCGCTCCAAATAATTAGCGTGTTTTACGTAATAATGAAATTACAGAAATGCAGTCCACTTATTCAAACAACTCACCATTACCATATTTTTAAATATTAGACTTAATTAGAGTTTATCACTTCAGAGAAGTATGCGGACCGAAGATGTTTTTAAAAAAATCCTCATAAAGTGTTTATTAAGCGCTGGTAAAGCTGGGATAATGATGTGTTTGGAAATTAAGGCAATCAAACACTTACCGCCGCTCCTGGAGGCCAGGCATGGAAATGAGGCCATTACACACCCATTACCCGCCAGCTCACAGCCACTTGGGGGCAGTGGGGTGGAGGGGGGGATGTGCCTGGCCGGGAGGGCACAGTGCCTGGAAACCCCTTTGCCAGCATCCCAGAACTGCCTGACCAGTAAGCATAGCATCAAACCCCTTATGTCGCTTGCAGTGCATTTGGCCACCAGGAACTCAACTCAGATTTGGCGAGGCAAAGGACATGATTGGTCCCAAATGCCAAAGATGATACCCAAGACAAACCCTTATCCAGACTCCCAGGCCTGGCAGGACATGTCAACGTCATTCAAACCCCAATACAGAATGAGGACAGAAACCACGTTGGGCAGCCAGGGAGGTCCACAAGAGGAGGTGGAGGGTGAATCCCACCTGCTGGCTCCAGCCACTGCAGAGGAAGCTACAGGCCTAGACCAGGTGACCACTCCCAAGTCTTGGCCACACAGGAGAAGGTAGCTGGAGTGGTGGGAGAAGCTGAGGAATTGTGCTGCGAGCCAAAGAGGCAGAAGAGTCAGGGGCCAGGCTCAAGAACAGACATGGGGCCAGAACCTGGATCAGGGAAAGCAGGCAAGAACGGTGGCAGGGAGAGTGGCTGGTGGCTCCAGGCCCCATTTATCCCAGTGAATAACTAATTCTAGAATTTATAGTGCTGGGTTTTTGTTCTGTGGCCATTTTTATCTGCAAGGGAAGGAAATGAAGAGGCAGCACGGACACCACATCTTTCTGTGTTATTGCTTGTCTGCCATTTGCAAATCATTATTAATTGTGGGCCCTGGTGGCAGGCTGGGTGGGGGCCAGGCTGGGTACATCCACATAGCTCTTCATCAAGGACCCCAGCCGCTGCCCCAGAGAGCCAATTACCCCGCCCTGATTGGGATCAGATAAAGAGGGAATTTTTACAAATTAGGGAATAAATAGAATTTCCACACAGGGTGCGGGCAGGACCTGAGAGGCTATAATGAAAAACCATCCGTCACCATCAGTGCGGCCTGGGCATGCAGCCCCGGCACTCCCTCCCTTGTGGGCCCGCCCTAATGCTCAGGGGCCTGGGCGTACAGGTCTGAGGACACCCCAAACCCTTCCAAGGCCTGGAAGCGGGAGCGGAGTTCTCAGGGGGTGCATACACCTTTGGGCTGAAGATGCTTGGGCCCTAGCTCTGGCCTGGCCCTAATGCTGCCTCTTCCTTTTCCTACCTCTCCCTTCCTCAGGCTCTTGGGAAGGAGGAGACTGAGGCAGTCCTGAGAAAGACCAGAGTTGGGGACCACAGGACAAAGACCACATCCATGTCCCCACAGCCATGGCAACCCTAGGGCAGAGCCCCAGCCCCATGGACCACTCACGCGACTCCCATTAGCACTCCTCCCCTTGAATCATTAAATATGTATATCTTATTACACGCCTTGTTAGAGTATCGAGCTCTATTGACTGATGATAAATCCTGAGCCTCGTCCTGGCCATAAATTTATCTGGAGATGATGAAGACTCAATAATCTAGTCAGGCAGATAATATCATCGGGCCTTAAAAAAGATCATTACATTATATGTCAGAATTAAAAGTGAAATACGCCGTAGTAACAGGGCGGCTGCTCTGGCCATTACAGAGGATGCCCGCCTCCCCCAGATCAATCCCAGCCAAGGCCCCATCCAGGTAGAGGAGCCAGGAAGCCTCACCTTTCTCCTGGTCTGGGATGCCACAACTAGAAGTGCCAGGTTATAGCCAGATCACCTACAGCCAAGTGAAGGGAACCCAGCCAGGGAGGGGTTGGCTACTGAGAACAGCTGAGCAGATCTGCCATACCTGGCAGCCTCATCAGTCTTCTGGGTCCTGTAGTGGATTCAATAGGAAGGTGTCAGGGCCTTACCCTCTTCCAGAATGGCCTGAACTACCAGGACAGATTCTTTGCAAAATGAGGACACTGAGATACAGAGAGGTTATGCCACTTGCCTGTGCTGCCCCGGGCAGCCGCAAAGTTCCAGGACCTGTGACCCGGCCCCAGACCCACGTGCCAGCAGACTATCTGGAGACTTTCTTGTGAGCACATGCTATCAATCCAGACCATGGCCACCTCCCTCCCGAGAGACCTGCCTGCCACAACCTCTATATCCTGACCTTTTGAGAAATCTTGTTGCCAGCCTCTTCCTTCTTTGACTTTAGTACTAATGGCCTTCTCCATTGTATCTAATTTCCACCCATTTTCACAGTAACACAGTCAACCTTTTAAATATCCTACTACTCTTCCTTTGAAATATTAAATCCAAATATCCCTTGTTTCTGACAATAACAATAACAAGGTTATTATCCAAAGTGCTTGGAGACCAGGAGTGTTTTGAATTTTGAATTTTTTTCAGATTGTGCAATATTTGCATATACATGAGATATCTTGGGGATGGGGTCCCAAGTCTAAACACAGAATTCATTTATTTATGTTTCTTATACACTTTATGCACATACCCTGAAGGTAATTTTATATAATCGTTTATATAATTTTGTGCATAAAACAAAGTTTTGACGGCGACCCATCACATGAGGTCAGGTGTGGAATTTTCCACTTGTGGTATCATGCTGGCAGTCAAAAAGTTTCGAATTTTGGAGCATTCTGCATTGGGATTTTCAGATTATGGATGCCTAACCTGTCTGTATACTTTTTTTTTCACTCACTGAAACCTTAAAATTTATACCCTTACTCTCTCCATATATATTGTCTCTCCTGTATTCACATTTTTCCTTGCCCACTTCTTTTTCTTTGAGTTAGAGCCCTACTCTGTCACCCAGGCAGGAGTGCAGTGGTTTGCTCATAGCTCACCACAGTCTCGACCTCTTGGGGTCAAGCAATCCTCCTGCATCAGCCTCCCGAGCAGCTGGGACTACAGGTATGCCACCATGCCTGGCTTTTTTTTGTGTGTGTACATATGGGGTCTTGCTATGTTACCAAGGCTGGTTCCTCCTACCCCAGCCTCCCAAAGTGCTGGGATTATAGACATGAGCCATTGGTCCCGGCCCTTGTTCACTTCTGATGATGTACCCAACAGCCACCTGCTTCTGCTCTGCTGGCAGAGCCCACTACCCCTTCAAGTAATCAGAATTAATCCTCTGTGGTCTGAGTCATTTTTGGTGATCCTTTCTCCCTTGCCAGTCATTGGCACAGGGATGGGCATGTGTTCTGGCTACTGAGACATGAGGGTAAGTTTGCTGAAAGGCCTTCAAGGAAAATTTCTTATCTCTTATGAAGACAAGCATGAGGGAAAAATAGTCCTTTATATTCTGCTGGATGTTTTCGTAACTGCACATAATGTCTGGGACTGCAGAAGCCATCTTCCAACCTTGAGGGGAGTTAGCCTATGAAGACCATGCTGAAGATGAAAGAAAAATGGAAACATATCTGGGTCCCTGATAACACTGCTGATATGCTGAATTAACCGACCTTAGGATCGCCTTACCGCCAAATTTCTTTTGTGAGATAATAAATCCCCTTATTTAAGATATTTAAAATTGGGGTTTATTTTTCTTGCAGCTGAAAGTATACTAACTGATACAGAATGTAAAGGCAGGAAGGAGAATGACATAAGGAATGGACCTTACAACATAGAACTCACTGAATAAAGGAGGCAGGCCGAAGGACAAAGAGGACGCTGCTATTTCAGGCTGGGAAGTTGGTAACCGTTTTTTTCTTTTGCTCTCTTGAAACATTTGATCAAATTGTTTCTTGCTGTATCTCAGGACACAGGCTATGTTAGGAAAAAGGCTAAAAGAATCAAGTTTAGACTAAAACCCCAGTGAAAACAGAGAGGGAAGAAATATAGCTTTACTAAGAAAGGCATTCTATGAGTATGGCTTGCAATATAAGTTGACTAAACACCCCTCAGTTCCACAAAATCATCAGACTATTCAGACTTCTTCTTTCTTTCTGCCCTGCCATTCTCGGCATGTGGTTTCCAATCCTCAGACTATTTCATAGTCCAAAATAGCTGCTGGAGCTCCAACCATCAAATCCACATTCCAGGAAAAAGAAAGGGGGAAGACGGGAAAAGGCAAGAATAGCGTATTTCCCAGATGAGCTGTTTCCCTTTAGGTATCATTCCTGCAAGTCCCAGACAACACATTTCCTTTTGTTTCACCGGCCAGAGCTCAGAGACATGGCTGTACCTAGCTGTCTGGAAAACTAAAAACGTAGTCTTTTAACTAGGTACACACTGATTATTATACAGCGGTTCTATAATTATACAGGGGTTCTATTTAGTGAAAAAGAAGGGAAAAGTCATAGTTTCTGTCCTAGCAACGTAACTGACATGTCTGCCTTTGGAGCCTGGATTGCATGGTCCATCATTTCAGTCTTTTTCTTGCCAATCCTCAACTCTCTTATTCCCTTTTCCTTGTCACCCTTGCCTGGAAAAACCCAGACTCTGCCTTCTCTGTGCCTGCCACCTGGAGCGTATGACTAGAGAAAATCACAACCATATAGACTAGTGCCACTTACAAAATCAGAGTCATCAGCCTCAGCTGGGTATATAAAACTGCCCAGCCAATCTCCAGTGTTCCTGATCAGTGTGCACTCTCTCTCCCTTCACCCATAGTGACAATTTCAAGTTTCTCTACTTTCCACAAATCTCAAATCCCCTGCCCTCAACATCACCCCAAACCCCTCACCCATGCAAACAATCTTATCTCCTACTCCACAGGAGCCACACAGAAGCCACTCTCCTGAGTTTGCCCCAGTCCTCTCCTCCTGTCACAAGAGAGGGCCAAGCCTGATGTCACGTTCTTTTTTTTTTTTTTTTGAGATGGAGTCTCACTCTGTCGTCCAGGCTGGAGTGCAATGGTACGGTCTCGGCTCACTGCAACCTCTGCCTCCCGGGTTCAAGCGATTCTCCTGCCTTAGCCTCCAGAGTAGCTGGGACTACAGGCTCTTGCCACCACGCCCAGCTAATTGCCTGATGTCACTTTCTAAGCCCATCCCTCCACTCCAGCTGGGTAGGGTCCAACCCAGAATCCAGGCCTTTTCAGGGTCCACACATTATTGAGTACTCCTATTTCCACTGATACAGCTTCACTTTTTTCTTCTGCATTGGTTCCTTCACATAAGCATGTAAATATATTAATTCTCTCCCATCTTGGGAGTAAACAAGTCTCCCTTTAACTCCCTTTTCCATTGGCTAGTACCCAATCTCTCCTCCCTTTTAGAGGCAAACTTCAGAGTTGTTTACACTCAAGATCTTATTTCCTCATCTCCCACCTTGCGATCTGATCACTGCTCTACCAACACTGCTTTCTCTAATGATCCCTATGACTCATGAGGATGAAGCTTTTCAGGTTTTGATTGATAGACAATTGGTGAACAATCCACTCCTTGAAGCTCTCTTCCCTAGGCTTCAGTGACCCACTCTCACTTTTCATGCAATTCTCCTTGGTTCCTTTGAACACTCCCTTTCTTTTGATCACCTCTTAGATATGGATGTTGCTCAGAACTGTCATTGGTCTCTTCCCTTCTCACTCTCTCTCCGTGGGCAAACTTATCCCCTCCTGGAGCTTTAATTACCATATATTTTCCAATAATTTCTAGGAGCTTTAATTACCATATATTTTTCAATAATTTCTAAGCCCATGTTCCCATTACCAACATCCTGGTCCAGGCCACCATCATCTCCCATCTAGGTAACGGCAGTGCCCCTGCCAATCTTTCTTCCATGGTGTCCTTTTAAACCACCAATCTGGTCATTTCACTCCCTGTCTTAAAACCCGGGCTGGGCGTGGTGGCTCACGCTATAATCCCAGCACTTTGGGAGGCTGAGGTGGGCAAATCACGAGGTCAGGATTTCGAGACCAGCCTGGCCAACATGGCGAAACCCCATCTCTACTAAAAATACAAAAAATTAGCTGGGCGTGGTGGCACCTGTAATCCCAGCTACTCGGGAGGCTGAGGCAGAACAATCACTTGAAAACAGGAGGCGGAGGTTGCAGTGAGCCGAGATCACATCACTGCACTCTAGCCGGGGCAACAGAATGAGACTCTGTCTCAAAAAACAGCAACAGCAACAATAACAACAACAAACCCTTCAATGAACCTGGAGCAGAAAAAGAACATTAATGGAAACACTGGTGAAATTAAAATAAGGCTTTTGAGACAGGGTTTCTTTCTGTTGCCCAGGCTGGAGTGCAGTGGCGTGATCTCAGCTCACTGCATCTCCGCCTCCCAGGTTCAGCCGATTCCCGTGCCTCAGCCTCCCAAGTAGCTGGGATTACACGCGTGTGCCACCATACCCGGCCTAAGAGGCCCTTTAATGTAGCACAGTACCAATGTTAATTTTCTGGTACTGATAACTGTATTGTGATTATGTAAGATGTTAACATGAGGGAAAGCTGGGTAAGGGATACATAGAAACTTTCCTACAAATGTAAAATTAATTCAAAGTAAAAAGTTTAAGAGTCAAAAATTAAAACCACCACCACCAGCACCACTTCCAGTGGCTCCTCACTGCTCTCAGGACTGCTCAGCTAATCCCCATTAAGTTCAATATTGCCACCTTGCCTGACTCAGCTCCCAATGCATCCAAACCCCTTTATAAAAGTCTGAGTTCTGGACCTGTTTACATCTCTGGTCTCATCAGTCCCACTCCCCTGTTGTACAGCCAAATTCAGGCTCATTTGCACCTTGAGTTTTCAAGTCCTCACTTCTCACCTGGCTCATTGCCTTCACCTCTCAGGACCCAGGCTTGCTAGTGCTTCCTCTAGGTGCCTTCCCCCCATCCCGCCTTTGTGTTAGGAACCTCTTCTGTGTGCTCCCACAGCAGCCAATTCTCCGCCTATCGTAACTGCCTCTCCTTCACCTCCTGCTAGACCATGAACTCTTTGAGGGCACAGGTGTTATCCACAGAGACACTCAAGAAATACATACTGAAAAGAAGGAAGGAAGGACTAGAGGAAAAGAAAGAGGGGCAAGATCACACGCAAACCTACTCCAGCCCTGACATTTGCCACCCAAAGCCTTGACATGCCCAGGCCCTGAAACCCTGTCATGGTCTTTGTCTCCAGCTTCCAAAGCCCTGAAGGTTTCAGGCCCTTCCCCACCTCCGTTCCCTTCTAGCATCTTGGTTTCCCCAGGACTTCACTGTGCCAGGAGACTGGCTAGGACCTGAGCTCTCATCTGTCTGGCCAGCCTGTCCTGCAAACCCAGGCAGTCAAGGGTGGCAGTGGTGGTGCTGGGGCGCCCCAGTCCTAGCCAGTGATGCCCTGGAGAAAGGCCTAGCTATGCCTAGGGACTCTGGGAAGGGGGGATGCCCTCCCTAAGCCGTGTCCCACCTGGTAAATATTTCATCCTCAAGCTGCTCAGCTAATCCCTATTAATTTCAATACCGCCGCCTTGCCTGGCTCAGCTCCCAATGCATTATTTATCCCCTTTGTTTGTTTGTCGCTAACAGGTGGGCCCCAGTGGAGGCACTGACTGGGGACAAGCCCACTCTATCACAGTGTGGCTGTGAATTAATCATGAGGACTAATGGGAACCACCTCAGCTCCAGGCACTTCCCTAGCTGCCTCCCCCTGCCCTGGCACCCAGGGGTGGGCCAGGGCCATCTCAACTCAATTTAACTCAATTCAAACAGCACATTTTATTTACTATCTGCCTATACGTGTCAGACACTGTGCTATGCTTTGGGGATATAAGCCAAATGAAACAGACATTTCTTGCCTTCAGGGAACTTACAATCTAGTGAGGGAGACAGGCATTAAACAACTTTCAAACAAATAATTTCTTAATTACAACTGTGATTAAATGCTACAAATGGGGAGAGCAGGGTGCTGAGAAAAAGTACACGGGGAAAGGGGGACTTGATCAAGTCTAGGAGTCAGGGAAAGCATTCCTGAGGAAGCAAACTTTAAGCTGAGCTCTGAGGGATGAGGAAGAGTTAATTAGGTTGTGGGGTGGAAATATGGGGCTCTGGGGGAAAATAAAGCCACATGGGAAGGCAATAAGGTAAAAGAAGGTGTGGCAGGTTCCAAGAGATGAGGGAAGGGCGTGGAGTGTGGGGAGCAGGAGGAGAGTGGCTTAAGGGGGGCAGGAGAGGGCAGCAGAGGACAGAGGCTGTGAGTCTGTGCCCAAGTAGACAGGGACTCCCCCTAAGCTGACAAGGCTCAGAGTGGGGACACTCTTCCGCCAAAATGATCAAGCTGTCCTGATGGGTCACCATGGAGCCCTCCTGAACACAGGATTTTCACTCACCACCTCCAAAACATGCACTCCCACTACCTCTGCCAACTTGAGCAACTGGTGATTTCTTGATCTTGTGCTTGTGGCCTTCTAAGGCTGTCCCTCGTGCTAGGCCCACCTCCTCCAGGGACTCCAGGAGTCCTACTTGCTCTTCTTGCCCACCCTTGAGGTAGTCAAGGGCATTAACCCTCAAATGGGCTGGTCAGGGGACTCAGGGGAGCGCCTGGCCCGGGGACTTGTGAGAAGACCTGCGTGAGCTTCTCAGCATCCTGAAGGCTTAGGTGCTTCCATGGAAGAACAGGGCTGGATCTGGCACCTCAACCCTATGGTAGAACCAGGAACACGGCTGGCAACATTGACGTGCCTCAGCCAAAAGTGCTCACTTCACCTCCCACAAAGGAGCATCTCTCACCTCTGAAGCCCTGGTATTGGCCTGGGCACCCA
This sequence comes from Homo sapiens, assembly GCF_000001405.40. NCBI lineage: Eukaryota > Metazoa > Chordata > Mammalia > Primates > Hominidae > Homo > Homo sapiens. The sequence continues at coordinate 44,237,291 of NC_000001.11, forward strand.
GAAGACCTCAGCAAACATTTTCTGAATGAATGACTAAACACAGGGAAGGCTCCATCATCTCCCACAATGATCTCTTTCCCAGACACTTCACTCAGAAACTTTTCTAGAAATTTAAATAGATGAAGGAGCAAATATGGGCCAAAGATTTTACAGTTCTTGCTTCCAGTGAGCCTGACAGTTAGAGGCCAGCATCAACCCCATTTTCAAGAGGAAGAAACATCCCATAGTGAATGACTTACCTAGTACCACTCAACCTTGAAGGCATGAGCCTTAAACTGAATGAGGTCAGCCCAGCTCCAGGCTCCAGCATATCAAGATATGCTCCCTCTGTGGGCATTTCCCCAGGCACCCTAGCTCTCTAGAACAATCCTAAAAGGCACCTGGTTTATGAACTAGGTGCAGCTCTGCCAGGGCAGAGGCCTCACTGTGCACATGCTCAGGGTTTGTATTTCTATTCAAAGTGGCCACTTTGAAAATCCATACGTCTCCAGGCTCCCTGTACATCATGGTGTCAAGTCTTGGAGCAGAGGCATCCATCAGGGGCTCCCGAAGGCCACGGTCTGCATGCCCACGTGCCTGATCCCACCCACGTGCCTGGCCTTGGCTCCCGGCGGCCGGCAGCACTACCTTGTCCTGTGCACAGGCTCACTGTAGCCCTAGCCCGTCTGCTTGGCCCTCTTACCCTGGCCTTAGACTCCTCTGGGTGCCCTGCCTCACCCCTGCCCCAGAATACCTCCTCGGCCCTACGCGGCCTCTGCTCTTCTCTCTTGGAGCCAGGCAGCCAGCACGGAGGCAGCCTCGATAACTCGCTAACGTGCTGCCCATGCTGTTCTTAAAAATTTATGACTGTGCACCATGAAAAATCCAGCTGAGGAGCCATCATTAGCGGTGCTGCCTCCCTCCCCCACCAGAGCCACCCTCGTAAATTGAGATTTATGGCTGCGGCAGGCGGGGCGGGGGCGTGTGCAGGCAATGAGGATGTTGTGGGGGAGACAGGGAGAGACCAATGAGGCAGCCGCGGGGCCAGGGGCTCCCCCCTGCGGCAGCTCCGGTTTATCGCAGGCTGCAGTGATAATCCCTGCGGAGAGTAAGGGCCGGCCTGGGTGTCAGCGCAGGGCTAGATCCCGCCTAGCAGTGGGACGGGACAGGTCGGGGAGGGGCCTAAACCAATCACCGGCTCCTTTCGGTGTATAGGGCCAGATCTTGAGGTGCCAGGTTCCAAGCAAAGGCCTTTAGGGAAGAAGCATCATCGTTGCGGAGATCACAAGGCCTGGCCACCGGAGTCAGCTTCTCCCACCAGAAGCATCTGGGTTGGGCTGACTGTCCTATCCCAACCCAAGAGTGACGGGGAGGCAGGAAGGATGCCTGAGAGCCTCCTCTCCCCTTCCTCTGGTAAGATGGGCCCATGGAAGGGATATTCACAGCGAGAGTATAGGACTGAACCCCATCACATAGCCTCCCCCCACAGAGGCCAGACTGGGGCTGAAAGGAAAAGGAAGTGATCCCACAGCCTGCATCTACCCTGCAGGAGGAGGGGAGGAAGAGTCCCCTCCTCCTCCTCCCCTGCTCACTTAGCCCTGTCAGCCAGGCCATTATGAAATTGGGGTTTCATTTACAGACTAATTAAACATTACAGCTTGTTCACAATTACAACGCGGGGATGAGGGAGTAACTAATTACGGAAGAAATGAGCTAACATTTATCTCTGCTCCCACCCTCCCTCTCCCCACTGCTGCCCCCTCCCCCCCCCAATCCAGCTTCCTCCCACTCCCTGGTCACTACCAACTCTCTAGGCTTATTTCCTAGGGTGGGAGACTGGAAGGGGCCTGGTAACCCCCAGCCCTGGACATAAGATCTAACTGCTATTCTTAGCTATTCTGGGAGAGGGGCTTAAGAACTCAGGGCCCTGTGGCAGGGGACAGTAGGTGCTTATGTGCAAGACCCTGTGGGTATGGCCTGTGATGGTATGTGTGGCTATGATATCTGGTGTGGGGGTCTGCTTTGGGGTGTGTGACACTGCTGTGGGGCTGCAAGACTCTGCATTATCTCCATCTTGTGGCAAAAGGTCTTGATGTGACTGCTGCAGATCACTGTGTGATGGGATATGAGTGTGAATGAATCACACCCTCAACCCTCAGCCCCAGGCCAGGATAGAAAAGAACTAAGCGGCTGCAGGAGGTGATGGTTAATGCAGGCCTGGGATATGGCCCCTAGAGCCCAGAGTCCAGAGCCCAAATTCCTGCTGGGAGGCCCCATTCACTCTCCTGCCTCAGAAGCAAGAGGGGCAGGGTTACCCTGCCCTGGGGCTCAGCTGGCCTGGCCTTGGCCTCTTGCCAGATGTTCCCTCTGGGGCCCAAGGAACCTCCTGGGGGCCTGGGGTGCCCCCTGTGGGCAGGAATCCTGGGGTCTGGCTGGCCTGCCACAGCGTTTAATAATAGTAACAGTGAGTGTAAGCGTTTCCATCCTTCCTGTCTTTGGGCAGAAGAAAGGAAAGAGGAGGGAGAGGAGGGAGAGGAGGGAGTGGAGGGAGCCGGCTGAAGGGAGGCTTTGAGGCCTCAGAACTCACATCAAACGGCAGGATCTGGGCCTAATTGTCTGACCCCTGCCCCTGCCTTCAATCAGCTCTGCGGCTCCCCGCCCGCCCCTTGCCTAACTAGCAGCCATGTTCTCCTCATTAGGACAAGCTCCCCTTGCACACGTGTCCCTGGACATGTCTCCAGCACTCCCAGCTCCCAGCCCTGCCTGGTGGGAGGGTACAGCAGGGACCCAGTTTTGGAGGGGCCTCTGGGACAGCTATACCCTCAGCCACCACAGCAGGCTGGCTTGGGCTACACCAGCCCCTCCTTGAGCTACATGGGCCTAGAGGCCGTGTGCTGGGACACACTTCTGCGCTGGCTCAGCTGCTGGGTACATTCTGTCCTCTGTGTGTCCTTCTTGCTACAGCCCAACTGTCTCAGACACACAGCTCCTGAGAGCAGGGCCTATTTGATTCCAGTCCCCTTTGGCCTGGTTCAGCCTGGCTTGGGCTGGTTTAGCCTAGTAGGAGGTTTGAGTCAGGGTCTGTGTTCACAGGCTAGTAGCTGAATGAACTTCTCTGCCTACGGTACAAGGATGGCTCTCTTAAATGGATCCAGGCGTGGTGACATGTCGCGTGTCTGCAGCTGGTGGAATGGAAGGAAAGCAGTACTCGTGGTGGTGAAGAACTCCAACCCTAGACTAGGAGAGATATGTTCAAATTCCTGCTCTCTCACTTCCTTGCTGAGCAGCAATCGGTCATGACAACCTTCTGGACCCTCAGTTTCCTCACATCCAGTAGAGATGACAGCCCTTATCACGGGGTTTGAGAATTCAATGAGAGAACAGATATAAAGCCCTCTGTACTAATACCTGGCCCTCAGCAAATGTAGAATGACACTGGTGTGATTCAGACCAGACCAAACAAATTCCCCTCTCTGCAGGCCACAGGCCCCACTTTGCCCAGTGGGGCCTAGGCCTGGTCAGTAGTGTCCAGGATGGGAGGAGCTAAGAGGAAGGGTCCAGAACCCTGCAGAAGGGTAGGGGCAGCCCCAGGGGGCACAGCTAATACTGAGGACAGAGCACCTATGCTGGAGCCAAAGCATAGGGAGGGATGTCCCACAGTAGCTGCAGGTGGAAGGGCAGGGCCCAGCTTAAGGAATGTCAGTTGGCATTAGGTCAGATGGGGTAGGTCAGCAGGGCTGGCCCATGAAGTGTGGATTGTCCCATGAGTACTGTGGGCCTGAAAGGAGGGGCTGCTGTGAATGCCACTGGAGTGAAGGCTGTCTGTGCCACTCTAGGGATTGATTCTCAGGGTACCAGGAACTGGGGGAGGGGCTGGCCTGGTCTGGGCCCTGACATTGTCTCTCACCTTAAACCAGTGGTAATGACTTGCAAATATTGATGAAAACACAAACTACAGATATTGTGTTTTCAGGGAGTGAAGGTGGGGAGAGGGGATAAGGAGGAAAATAAACTGAAATGAAGTCCGGTTATCTCCCATCTGTGGCTGCTCCTAATCCCCCAGCCCACAGGAATCCAATGCAGTCCCTTATCTGCCCTGTCAATCACTCAATCACCGCCCAGTGCTTGGTGGGCACCGCACGCCCTCACACACACTCAAACACATGCTCACACATGCACACACATGCACACACTTCACTGACTCTTGCTCTAACACTCCCACCCACCCCCAGCCCATTACTCCTCTGAGTAGGAGCAGCCAGCACGCGGGTCCTGCCAGATGGATGCAATTTGCATAATATCAGCAGTGGAGGCTGCAAGATCACCAGGGGTCAGGGCGCTGACATCCCCGCAGAGTCTATCTGCAAGTGCTAATTTGGCCGGCATTGATCTGTCTTTCTGATTTCTTTGTCATTTAAGTCTGCGATGGTTTGACAGGAGATACAGAGAGAGACAAGGGGAGGCGAGGCCGGGGCCTGGGGCTAGGAAGGTGGGGAAACAAAGATTGTACTTCCTAAAGAATCAAACACACATAACACATACATACATACATACATACATACATACATACATACATACATACAGGAGAACCTTCTTCCATCCATCTGTCCATCAACTCACCCACCCATCTAGTCCATCAACTCACCCATCCATCTAGCCATTCTTCCATCTATGGTTGCTACTGAAGAACAGTCTGGTGTCTGGCAAGAACCAATTCCTCAGATGTCTCTGGGGCTCCAAGGGGGTCAGCTCAGGAAGGAAGGAGCCAGCACCCTCTCCCCAGGCACTATCCAGGCAGGCCAGTGCAGACCCTGTCAATGATGGGAGAGTTAACCCTTCTCATGACCATCCATCTCCCTAGCTTCTCACTTTCTTAGGGCCACACCAGAAAGAACTGGATGGGAGGGGGCAGTAGTGTACAGTAGTACTGTGCTCTGCCCTTCCCCACAAGGCAGCTGGGCTGACTCCTCCCCTCCCAGCCCTGAAGGTGGCCAAAGCTGGGGGAAGCAGGCAAGGTACCTCTCTGGAAGGACATCAAGGTCTGTAGAGGCCTCACATCAATGCATCACCACTCAGGTCATCTGAAGCCCAGAAGACTTCATGAATCTCACTGATTCTGAGGCTCTCTAGTTGAGCCAGAAAGTCCCACATCCTATCAGATCTAAATGCTACCTCCTAAACCCTCAGCCAAGGTCCTCACATTCTTCCTTGCCTTGAGTGGGGGTCCCCCACAGGAATGGGGACACTGCCAGGCTAGATGTCATGGAGAAAGGGGATGGGAGGAGAAGACTGCAGCTCTGGGAAGCAAGAACCCTCTGCAGAGAGGTGGACACGGTCACTCTGTCAAGGGATGCAGAGGGGCTTGAGGCTTCCCAGAGGTGCAAGGCCCCCTCCCCCAGGCCACAGTGGCTCTATCTTGGTACCACCCCCTTTCCTTGCCTATGGTAGCAGGAATAGGGTGATCAGAAGGAACTCCCTGCTGGGCAAGACGGGGGCTGGCGTTTGGTGTGTGCTAATCCTGGGCCCGAGGTCTTCAGAGGGACCCGGGAAACTTCAAGGAGGGAAGGCAAAGCTGTACTGCAGACGAGCTCATTAGCCAGCACCCCCCGCACCCCCCTCAACGAGGAGGAGGGCGGGCAGCCCAGTGAGCGTGGCGGCAGAGGCGGCAGAGAAAAGGCTGTCACTGTCCTTTCTTCCTTTTGGTACAAGCGTCTCCCTGAGCCGACGATTCTCCCGCAGTGACACCTCTCATGGGCACTAATGAGATCTGTGTCACAGAGCTAATGCGTTCTGACTGGACTCTTGATAGACACCCCACTCCTTCAGGGGAGACCACAGGCCAGCCCACTGCCCCCCTGGGGCCCAGGCCCCCACCCTGCCACCTGCCAGCCCAGCTCTCTTGCCAAACAGTTCTGGGTAGCAAGCTCTTGAGAGTCCACTTGGTTTCTGGCCATGCCACCTGTACCACAAGCCTCAGTGGGATCCTTCTCCATCCCAGAGCAGAGGGGACAAGCTCCTAGGCAGGACCACCCAGCCGGGCATCAGGGAAGGTTCCAGTTACTCTCCTAGCCAGCTGAAACCAGCAGTAGTCTGTGAGGCCTCCAAGTTACAATAGCAGGTGAGATTTTACTGACATTTCCTGTGCAGATTTCCAAAAAAGAAGGGAAGGAGGTCCAGGCCCTGCCCTTAGAGAACCCAAGTGCGTAGGGCCAGATCATTACCTCTGACAAATTATAATAGGGCCCAAGTGTGTGTTTTGAACACTCATACTGGGAGGGCCAGGCGAGACTCCCAGAGGAGGTGGCCCCTGGAAGATTAGCAGAACTTTCCTGGGCCATGAGGTAGAGAACTGAAATCACAAAGAACCGTCAGGGCCAGAAGGAGGTCAGATGCCAACAATTGCAGGTCCCTGGCTCAGGGTGACTGTAGCAGCAGAGAGGGAGTGGTGATGCTGCCTTTGCTTTCTTCCTCAGCTGCTGCTACCGAAGGTCTGTTCAGGCCTGCGTGTTTCACTTGACGCTGAGGGAAATGAGGGAAGCGAGCTTGTTTTCTTCCACATCGTCTCTATTGGTAGCGCAAAGCCCAACACCAAAAGGGTGCTTCATAGTTCCACAGTGATAACAACACAGGCTCTGCACTCAGATGGGCTTGGGTTTGAATCCTGGCTCCTCAACCAACTGGCTATGTGACCTTAGGCAGTTCACTTCACTGAGACTCAGTTTCTTCATCTATAAAATGGGAATGATGATGCCTGCCTTCATTAAGACTGTTGTGAAAACTAAATTAGTTAACATAAAGTGCTTCCAAATAATATGAGTGCTTACTGCCCCTTTGCTGAAATGAATGAAGGACCACTCAGCAGTCCCCTGTGGAGGCTGCCCTCCCTCAGAGCCTGTGGTCCAAACTAAGGATGCTGACAGAGACCATCGGCAGCCCTGGAGTCAGCAGTTCTAGATGCATGCAGGCCCTACTCACCACAACCTGCTCTGGCACCATGCTGTTCACCAGTCTCCCAAGGCCAAATCCGCTACCCCAGGAGGAAGTGCCCTCCCCTGACTATGATGTCACGCTGACAAGCCTCCAGCAGCCTTTCTGTCCAGTGCTGCATCACCTCCAGACCCTCCTTGGCCATCCCTAAACCTGACTTCACCCTCAGTCCCCAGGGCCAAGCCCACAACTCCATTTGTGAGCTCTGTGGTGACAGAGCACTGTGTCTGCCATTGTTACCAATACATTTCTAGCACCTACCATGGTTCCTGATATATGGTAGGTCCAAGGTAGTGTGTACTGAATGAAAGAAAGTTTTACCTGGTGTCCTACCTCTATTTCCAGGGCCGATGCACTCTTGCTTACCTTGCTGCCCCTCCCCTTCAGCCTCCTTGTCTGCAGTCTCTCCTCACTAGTCCTTCCCCTACAAACTATGAGCATCCTCTGACTGAAGCCAACACTGACCATGTAACTCCCCTGCCCAAAACACTCCTACAGCTTTCCCACGCACAACCATCCTAGTAGCCCCCTCCCCTACAGCCTGAGCCCCTTCCCCACACCCGTCACCCCAAGTCTGCCTCCGTGTTCTCTCAGCACCTCCACACCACCCATGCCACACCCCTGTGGCACTGCAGGAGGACTGAGCAGACCCTGGACATGGCTCAGCTGTGGGATCTGCAGCACCCTTGCCTGGAAGCCACCCAATGCTGCCTTACCCCCCCAGCCAATACACATACCACTCCCCACTCCAGGCTGGCAGCTCCTCACACAGTTAATTAGCACCATGTCACTAAGGACCAGCCTGAGTGGCCAGTGACAGGAGCTGACCTCTGACCCCCAGGGCTGGGAAGCAGTCCACGTCAAACTCTTACAGCGCGACCCTTTTAGCACGCACAGTAACTCGGGGCATCGCCAGCTGAAGCTCATTAAAGCTGTCTCTTTGGTGCGAGGGCCATTAACCTCACTGCTCAAAACCCACGCCTCCCCTTCCCCGCCTCTCCCAGCCCAATTAATGCCCTGCATCCTCCCTCCCTTCCAAGCACCCTCACCCACACCTCAGAGCCAGCCTGGAGGTGGCAGGGCAGCCCTCTTCATTCAAAGACTACAAAGACCAAGTGTCAAGAAGCCCAGTGTCCTGGGGAGCCGCTGGTGCTGGCAACAGAGTAGGGAGCCCCTTCAGCCCCATGGTGTGCTCAGCACTGCATGAACACTTTCCCCAGGGGACTCACTGAGCCTTCCCAATAACCCAGAGAAGCAGGTGGCATTGTCCTTCATCTAAGGTCACAGGGTTCTGGGTGGAAGAACCAGAACTACTTCTGGCTCCAAAGCCCTTACTCCATTGTCACTCAGAGCCTTGGGCTGCCCCATAGGGCCCAGCCAGATAAAGAAACCTTCTCTGAAAAAGGAAGGGACACCTCACAGGTCCTAACCTAGGGTCAACAGGTGAACAGATAACAGGGGCATTGCTGAGTCTCAAGAAGCACAAAGAGTGGGAACGAGGAACCCCTTCTCACACACACACCCTGGGATAGATGATAGAAGGGGCACCCAGATAAAGTATATGTGGGGTGCATTAACCCAGGCTGTCCCTAGCCCCCAGCCAGTTCTTCCTTCCCTGGACCAATGCAAGTCTTCTCACTGGTCCTCTTTGGTTCCTCCCTTTCCCATCACTCTTTCATTGATTCATTTACTCACCTACTCATTCATTCAACCACCCATATGCATTTATTGAGCACCTACTAAGAACTAGTTTTGTGCAACACAAACTGCCTCATTGATTCTGAATCAGGGCTTTGATCACGTCATTCTCTCACTCACAAACCTCCTATGTCTCCTCAAAACTGCAGGAAAAGTCCACACCCTTTAACCAGGCATTCAAGGCCTGCTTATATCTCTGTTTATTTTCTAGCTGCTTCCTAACCCAAATTTGCCACTCTAGTCATGGGAAGCTTCTTGTAGGTGTCTGAACTTGTCCTCAACACACTGGGTTTCTCATGCCCACAGGCCTTTCTACTGAGTCCTCCTATCTAAAATACCCTTCCCCCATTTTTCTGCCCAGCAAACTCCTATTCATCTTTCAAAGATCCCAATTCAAGTGTCCTCTTCTCTAGGAAACTTCCTGCTGACCTCCCAGGCATATTACACTGCTGGGTTTGGCGTCTTCTCTAGATTGTTTGGAAAACATCTGTGAAACATCTATGCGAGGGAACAGCAGTTATGGTGGAGCACCCCCACTTCCCCAGGCCTGTTGGTCACTTCCTCTTAGCCTGAGCCCTGGGAAACCCTTCAGATGTCCCAACAAGAATATGGGGGCATCCCTCCTGGGGTGAGATGCCCCCATATCACTACCTCTTAGTGAGAGGTAACTGAAAAAGTAGAAGCTACTTGGCAACTGAGGAGAGGGAAAACCACCTTTGGGGCAACCCAGGTGTTTTCTGTCACAGCCCTTAGTACCCTGGGTGGCAAGCACCTATTTCAGTCCCTGTCTCTTCCCAGGATGTGAGCTCACTGAGAACAGAAACTTCTACTTAGCATGCCCAGCATCCACAAGGTACCAGTGAATGTCTGGAATGGATAAAGGATCTACTCTGAAGGAGGTGACTGGGTCCTTTGGTCCTGGTATTCTCTCTCCAGTCCCCCCCCACAATGATGCGACCCCAAAGGCTCACAGGTTGTGGTAATGTCAGCACACTGCCCAGAGATACTCTGGCTCCTCCCCACTTGGAACAAGGCCTATGCTTGGTCAGGTGCCTCACCTGAGAGCATCTGCATGCACACATGTGCATATGCAAACAAAATAAGATATACAGAACTGAACAGACACACCTGACAGATACACACACAGATTGGTAGCTGCTTCCACACAGACTCATGCCCTCAGAAAAATACAGATATACTGTTACACGCTCCCCAACAGACATGTATAATCATGGATACATTATACTCTGAGTCTGACACAGAGACATACAGCTAAAGGTGTCACACATATGCAGACACACAGATACAGACAGATAACATATTCATACTGATAGATCAGAAACTAACAAAACCTCCAACTGCCTGGAATCATAGCCACTCCAGTTTCCTTCCAAACAAGAATCCCCTTGAGGGTATACCCCCATTTGGTACCCCAAGTGGACCCCCTCAACCCAGGCACCGCTCAATGGAGGCTGCTGCTCCTGCGGGGGAGTCAATACCCTGTGGACGGAGTCATCGGTCAGAAGGACCCCGACTAATTAAAAGCTGGTGAGGTTTAAATAATTCATCTCCTTAACTCCCATTGATCGTCCAGTTTAGTGGCCACAGACTTCAAACAATATTAAACAGCCTCCTCCAGCTCCATGGGGGGTGGGTAAGCTGACATGTCCCCACCCACTGAGGACATTGCCCACTAGAGATGCAGCCAGTGAAGGAGGACCTTGGCCTGAGTCCAAGGCCATCTGTGACTCACCCAAAGCCCAGACCCCAGCCTCCTCCAAAATACCACTTTGAGTGGTGCCTTCCAGTGGTCCCATTCAGTAATTTTCTCATGCCACCCCCCTTCCACCATCCCCCCACCTATGTAGAGAGCCCTGTTGGGGCACTGAATGAGCCATGGAAACTCTCTATGTGCCTGGGGACTGGGGCACGCGGGCAAGGGACGATGGATGGAGCTGCCGGGGGAATATGCGAAGGGACTGACCAATGCCGCTGTGGGGCCGGCCTATGTGTTGCAGGCTGAGGCCCTTGTTCATGTCTAGAAGTCCATTCTTGGGCCAGCAGCCCATGGCGAAGCTGTAAGCCTGGAAGACAGGAGGCAAGTGGTTAACGGAGGCCCTGACCCTCTGAACCAACCCCACTCACAAGGTCTTCCCCCCACCCCCCAAATCTTTCCAACAAGGAATCCCTCTCATAATGCCATCTCGTGAGAGTCCCTTCTCCACCCAGGTCCTCCCCAGACCCAGCAGAAACTCCCTTCCTTCTCCAGAGTGCCTTTTCTCCTGGGCTTCTCCCCATCTGAGTCCCTGGCCCTCAATGGGTGCCCCTCACCAGGACTCCTCTCTAAGGAGTTCCCGTTCACTAGGCTCCTCCTTCTCAGGAGCCCTCCTCTCACAAGGGCATACCTGCACCTTGCACCCCTCCTTAGGATCTCCCCTTTCCGGAGCCCCCAGCACTTTGCTGGGCCTCCTCCTCACAGTATTACTGTTCACAAAGACTAGCTTCAGGCAGGACCTTGGAAACCAGTGCATCCAAACTGCACTCCACAGACAGAAATGTTGAAGTGAGAGCTGGCCAGCAAGGTGCCATGGTCAAGGTGCTTTTGACCACAAGCAGGCCAGGCTATGAAAGGATCTGGGAGCTTTGTGGTGGCTCAACTGAGGAGAGGAGTAAGGTCACTTGGTCAACTCAAGCAGCTGGGAGGGGTGTACATGGGGCGTGTGTGTGTATGTATGTGTGTGAGAGAGAGTGTGTGTGTGTGTGTGTGTGTGTGGTAGGGGGAGCAGATGCTCTGCTGAAGGTCAAGTGCTCACTTATGCATATTCAAAGCGGCCACCCATCGATCTGTACTTAATTGTTTTCCTGGGGTTGGGGAAGGAAGTGCTGGGGGCATCGATCTGCTCAGGCCCCAGCACTCCATTGCCCCCCCTCCATCCCCTTCCCTCACCACCTGGCTGCCAGCAACCTCCACCTGGGGGGGGGACACACGGCAGCTCAGGGGCAGCGCCTTCCCTTACAGTCCCTTTTAGCCATGACTGACCTGATGCCACAGATGAGGAAACTGAGGCCCAGAAAGAAGAGACTTAACATAGGTTAGATCACTATGAAGTAGCCAAATAGGATTGAATTCCTGCTCAGCCTGTTAACCAAATCCTGGGCTTCTCCGGGTAGGCCTGGTAGCTAGTCGGGCCTTCAAACATTACCCATCCCCTCACTTTAGAAGTCCCCAAACACCAGGCTGCCCTTCTACCAGTGGCAGGACAGCGTACAGGGCAGTGGTCAGAATGAAGCTTGGGTGAGTTTCCAGAAGTTGGATAGGTGGTCCAGTGATGGAACCAAAGTGACTGCCAGCTGTGAGTAGATGAGCACCGCAGTGGTCCAGCCCTTTGCTAGTCCCAGGAGGTCTCCATCCCACTAACACACAGGGGAGAGGGCCCAGCACAGGGTCAGAAACACAAAATGGGAGGCTGCACACAGTGTCTGTGCCAGGGCCCAGGGCCCAGATTCTGTGTCCACCCTTCCTTTCCAGCTGCAGGAACCAACACTCCAGCCCCATGGGTACTAGGAGGCTAGGAGAAAGTGTACTTAAACCTTAGCACCCTCTAAAGCCATTCTCCTTGACCGCAGAGGTACCAGCCACAGCCCAACTTCCCAGCCAGCCTTCCCCCACCCTTTCCCAGGCCACAGCTGAACCCACAAATCAGGGGCTGAGTGTGAGGCTCAAGGACAGGGGAGAAGATGCTGGCCCAGAGCCAGGGCAGAGCTGGGATGGAGGCAGTGAGGGAAGCAGCCAGTGGGTGGTGCATAGCCAGAGGAGCCGCTGAGCCTGGTCAGGGCTGAGGCTGGAGCGCAGTGGGCCAGAGAGCAGTGGCGGCTGCCTTTCAAGTACTTTAAAATCACTTACAAAGGCCGGATTAAACGATCAGAAATTCCATTTAATAGGACAAATAAAGAAATAACAATCTACTCTATCAGCCTGGAGAAGACGAGCTGGATGGGTTTTTTTCCCCTCTAAAAAGGAAAAAGGGAAGGAAGGGGGAAAAAAGAAGGATAATGTGTGTTTACTCAAGCAAAGAAAAAAATATTTAAGTGATGTCGGGGAGAAGATTGCAGTAACTAGTGAAGAATAACATCGTCTACTTTGCTGTCAAATCACACCCGAATTTCAGTAATAGATTCTCGGCTGACACTCAATTCAATTCGAAGGTGATCCTGCTTTATCCCAGCCCATCAAATATTAAACACTTGCATTAGCAGGTGCTGCCGCTTCCCAGCTTAAAGCGACGGGCGGGCGGCAGGGCTGCCGAGGCCCCTCCGCTCTGCTTATGGCTCGGGGACAGGGCAGCTCAACGTTATCTGCACGTCATCCTGAGTCTTATCGCAGCTAAGCGGGAAGACCACTTCAGATAACATTAGATGCTTGCCCCACCGCGTCACCGTGATTAGATTATTATTGTAATTATGACTCCCCAAGATCTTCCACAGACTGGGACGTGTGAAAGGGGGACGGAGGACAGCAGAGCCCCAGGAGGGCCAGGCTGGACCAGGGAAAGCTGGGCCCTTGGCAGGAAAGCGAAGGTGCCAGGAAAGGAGGCAACCCGGTCCCGCCTGACAGATGCCTTTCAGGAAGGGCAGTCTGGCTTGTCAGAGCGAGGGCGAGATGAATTGGCGTCTCCACTGCGGCCGTGGGTGTCATGCCGCACAGTTTCATATTCCCAGATAAGGCGTGATAACCAATTGCTGCTGTGACATGGCCTCATCCAGCACTTCCTCAGGGGGGGCATGGGGCGGGAGAGGGGGTGGCGCATGCACATGGGTCTGCCAAGCTCCTAATAAGAGGGATTTAATTTTTACAAATGCTGCTTCCAGCGGGACCTTCACATACCAGCCAAAGTCCAAAATGATATTAAAAACGGTTAATTAAAACTGCTCTCCCTCAGCCTGGGCTCTCCCGCTGTTGGCCCTGCTGAGAGCCCTGGCACGTCTTCCCCAGGTACTGACACATGCACCTGCAGAGCCTAACCTTCAGATGTGACCACCAGCCTCACGGGGCCACCCTAAGCATAGTACCAGGGCCCAGCACCTCATGCTCCCCCCAGCTCCTGCCATCTTGGGTACTGCTTAGGCACAGCCAACAGACGCAGATAGCTGCCCACAAAACATAGGTGGTCCCACAGCAACCTGTGCTCCTGCCAACATATGGTCTGCCAACATATGGTCTGGATCCTCACACCTGCTACCCCGCTGCACCTGTAGTCATCTGTGCCCACCACTCACTTTTAAAGCCCATGCCTCTCCCCACAAGATATGCAGGCCATGGAGTGGCCCAAGCGCATATATGCTGGCATGCCACAAATGCATCGGACTTGCCCTCAGGTGACTGCCACACTTCCATTACTTGCTCCCTCCATTCGCCCTCCTTAAGAGATTGGATCTGTCTACAAATCTCAGCAGAGACCTTCCTGGGAGTCCTGATCAGGGTGAGGTGTCATGGGCTATGTCTCAGAGATTCCGGCTGAGGAGCCACGGCTGGCACTCAGAGACCCATCAGAGCAGGAGGATCAGCAAGGCTGAGCCCTTTGGATTGCCTACAGGGGACAATGAAGACAAGCAGACCCTGGTGAGATTGGAGGAGGCTAGGAAAGCTTCCTGGAGGGAGTGGTACTGGCAGGCTGGGACGGTTTGACAGGTGGCAGGGGAGTACAACATTCCAGACAGAAGGCACAGCAAAGACAAAGGAAAGTGGCATGAGCAAGCACAATAAAGGCTTGGGTGTGGCTGGGACAGCCAAATTAGAGAGGGGAGCCACATCTGAAGGCACTGTCTCTCAACTCTGTGTACCTGGCAGCAACATGGCATCAAGGGGCCTTGTGTCTATCTCTTTACTCCTGCCTGCTCCCTCTCACTGCTCCCTTCCCTCTCCTGCCAGCTTGGGGGAATGGGGATATGGGGCCCAGAAGCTTTCTGATCTTGATCAGTGTGGGGCAGGAATCTGCTTTAAGAGCTCTCTCCAAGAGCTTGTGCCCGAGCCTGTTTCCCAAAGCTGCTTCCAAATCCTCTGGGTGCCACTTCTTTGGCTGCATCTCTCTCAGCCATCAGGGTCCACCTGCCCAGCTATGCACAGTCAGCACCTAGCCCCTGGGGTTCCCAGACAGAGGGTGGGGCAGGTAGGAAGATGACTGAGGTGCTCCTGAGTCCTGTCCAGGGCAGGTACTGATGCGAGCCACAGGGACAGGTGGAGCTGGCTGAGGTGAAAGATGCTGGGCCTACCAAGCCAAACCACCTCAGCCCTGTGCCAGGCAGGCACGCACACACGCTTCCCTTCCCCTGGGCTGCTGCAATTTCCATGCACAGGGAAGCAGGTGCCGAGCTGCTCCCGGCTGGCTCTCCCCTCTCGTGGCTCTGCCCGCCTTGGCTGCTGCCCCATTAGCTTAGTGGCCAGCCATCTGCGACGGGCCTGCCGCATAGCCCTGCTGTAGGTGCGGCGGGTGGCCCCCTGTGTAACAGGGAGCTTTGCCATTAGCGCCTTTAATATTCTGACACCTCAGCGCAGCCTGCTATTACATGCAAACACTGATCGCCCTGTGAAATTACATTGCTGGGCCCGCGAAATGGAATCGTGTATAATCAGCCTCCTCCATGCACTGTCAGTCCCATCACAAACACGGCGCCCGGCGGCTTATGGGGGCTTAGCAGCTGCGACAAGTGTATTGGGTTTAATAGATGAAGTAGCCCTCATCGGCTGCAGCATCAGATCCTTCAAAGAGGAAAGAGGCCTCAGCAGCTGCTATGGTATCTCTGCCCACCCATATACTACCTACCAGGACCCTCAGAGTGGAGTGGACGCACAGTGGGAAGGGCTGTGGTTGGGCTAAATGGCTAGAACCCAGCTCAGGCTGCAGACAGAATAGGCTGCTCTGCAACTTTCAGAAAAACCAGAGTTTTGAAGCCTGTGCTAGCACATTCAGCCTATCCATCCCACCTAGAGGTGAGGAGGAGCAGGCCTTTAACCATACCTCTGGATGACTTGTCACCCTGCAGGTGATTGCTCAAGACTAGGAGCCAAATCAAACCAACTGCCATTCCCCTAACCCCCAACAGAGATGAAGCTGTGATGGTGATACTCCAGAGGATAGGGAAGAGAAAGTCTGGCAGACACAAATACTACCTAACTCTCTATCCTGACCAACACTTCCACAGCTGGTGAGCCAAATACCTAAGGGCACAGGTAAACACTAGGCTGGAGTATGCCACATATACTTATGGCACACCCAGCAGCCCATGCCTCATAGAAAGGCTCAGTTCTGCCAGCTATTAGCACTATAACTTTGGATGAGTTATTAAACCTCTCTGAGCCTCAGTTTCTTGTACTGCGAGATGGGATGACAGTACTTTCCTCCAGGTATATCTGAGATCACCCAGGACTACTCACTCCCACTGCTACCTCCAGATATTCTTGGTGCCATTGCTCAAAATGCACCTTGCCTTTGAGAATACAGTTCCCTCTCCCTTTCCCAGGGAACCCTTTTCCAGGTTCAGCCTAATACCAGTTGTGGCAGAGTGTATTTTCCTGTGATGGGTTGCAACACTATCTCCCATCTCACATGTTCTTCTTTCACTGTGACTCTGACATACCTACCATCAAGACTAAGTCTCTGTCACCATCCCTGCCCTTCAACACTACTGCAAAAATGCTTAGGCAGCTTCCACCTCAATCACTGGAAAGTTTCCCTGCAGTCCGGGGCTGCTGTGTTAAGTAGTGAGACTGCCTGAAGGTAGCCATGCCATGAGGAAGCCCAAACTAACCCATGCAGAGAGAACACAGATAGAAGCCATGAGACTCGGTGAAGAAAGAGAGAGGCCCAGCCAGCCCGCAACTGCTCTGACCATTGTGCCAGCTCCAGCCACTGCCTGACTATATAACCACACAAGAGATCCTGAGCCAGAACCACATTACCTATCCCCTCCTGAATTCCTCAGTCACAGAAACCATGAGGGATAATACAATATTTGTTGTTATTTTAAGTCACTAAGTGTCAGGGTGATCAGTTATGCAGCAACACTAACTGGCAAGCCAATACCTAACTCACTCCTGGATATACTCTGCAGATGTCTTCAAATTCTTTCCTGCTGCTTCTAGACTATTCTTCCTCTCCCTCTGGGACTTCATTCCAAATCATCATCACTCTGGGTAACTTCAGTATCTACAAGATAACCCAGCCATGGACGTTGCCTCTCAATTTCTTGACTCCCTGTGCTCTAATGAGCTTCTCCTCTACCTATTTCAGTCATCTTTCCCCAGAGCCACCCCCTGAGCCTTGTTATCACCCAGAACTGCCCTCTCTCTGAAATCTCACAAGGACGAATTCCACTCTGGCCCCAGCCTCCTAACCTTCTAGCTTTTGTTTGCTTTCTCCCTCTGCTCTTGCTTCCTCCCAGCCCCCGCCTACCCCTAGTCTGTCTATCCCCTTTTCGGGCTTCAGTACTTTTCTACTAAGCCTGAACCCTTGAATCTATCACTTCAACCACCCATCCCCCAATTTTTAACACCCTGCCTACTTGTCCTAGAGCACACCTTTTCTGGAAAACCCCAACCATGACTCCATTTCTCCACACTTGCTCTTGAGCTCAACAATGCCAGAAAAAGTCATTCTTATATACAGAAAGTGGTTACTACAGATCCAAGACCACAGCCTTAGCAACCCTCAATGGTACTCACCAACCCTAATGCCTTCCTACTTCCAGAAAGATAATAAAGCCACTAGGCAGAGCTCTTTCTGCATGCCCCTTATCTACAAATGCATCTGCATCCTTCCCCACCTGCTCCTTCACCTCCCCTGTTCTAACAGGGGAGACACTACGCTTCTTGTCTAAGGCCAACACCGTACTTGTGCTTTACAGGCCATCCTTTCCCCACCTCCTCAGGCCCTTGCTCCATCTAGTATTTCTTGTCTTTCTAAATCCTTAACCTCCTCTTCTCTGCTGGCTTCTTCATTAACATTCAAGCATATGCTTAGATTTCTATCACTTTCACATAACTTCTCTGTGTCTTGGTTTCCTCTTTGTAAAATGGGGGTTATAATAGTTTCTACCCCATAGAATTGATGTGAGGATTAAATGAGGATTACTGTCTGTAAAGTGCTTAAAACACTGCCTGGCTCTCTGAAACCTATGTTAAGTTTTAGATTATTTTTAAAGTTCTATATGCATTTCACATCCTATCCAGCTACTGCTGTTCTCCTGTTAACGACCAACTTCTCAAGACTGCCTCCACTCCCTTCCTCCTTCACTCCTTCACTCCCTGCAGTCTGGTCAAGCTGCCGCCATGCTGCCCCACATCTGTGGACAGTTTCAGATTCTTACCTGCCTTCGCCATTTTGCAGCCTGCTCCATCTCTGAAACCCTTCTCCCTTCTTGACACTCTACTCAGTTTTCCTAGCTCTCTGCCATTTTCCCCACAATCTCCTGTATAGTCTCCTCTGCATTTGGTCATCGTATCTGTGTACTCACCCACTCTGCACTCTCTCTTCCTATTTTTTTCTACATGCTACCACTCTCCTTGGGTTCCTTGGGTGATTTCCTCAAGTCCATTGTCTTCAACCTTTCTAATTTCCAAATCTGTATTTCTTACCCCTACTTGAGTGTCAGACATATATATTCTATTGCCTACCTCGAATCACCCCCTGGATTTCACACAGACGCTTCATTCTCCATATGTTTAAAGCTCATTTCAACATCTCCTCTTCAAACTGCTTCTTCTCCTGGGCTCCCAAATTGCAGTGAAAGCTATTACCATCTACCTGGTCTACCAGGCCAGAAATGTGGGAGTCAATCTTGATTCCTTCCTCTTCCTTACTGCCCACCAAGTCCTGGGATTGCTGTTTCATGCCTTCAAGCCTTTGATGAAGCAGTTCCTTCAGCCTGCCTAGAACGCCCTCTGCCTTCTCCCACATTTTGTCCTAATTTGAACACACACTCCTCTTTCAACATTCAATTCAAAAAGTACCTTCCTTTATAGTCTTTCCTGGCTCATCCCTCCTTTAAATCCCCCATACTGTGAATGGCACCTGTAACATGGATTTTGTCTCCCATTATGCTGAGAGGTTCCTGAGGGGGTTGGGGGGTTGTATTTGCTGTCTCTGAGTGGTCTCCACTGAGAAAAGGAGAAGCGAGAGGAGAAGGGGAGAGGAAGAAAAGACACCTCTTTGGGTATAATTCTACCAAGCCTGGAGGCCTGGTTTCCGGAGCTGCTACTCCTGCCAATCCTACCCAGTCTCCTTCAGGAACCATAGCTGTTCTTGCCCAGCAGAACAGCAACAGCCCACCCCACAGCCATTCTTGGAACTGGGGGCTCAGTTGCCTGTTTTAAGGAAGAGGGAACTGTTGCTGTCTCCTCCTTTTCTGTACTCTCAGCCTATGTATATCCCCCAACCCATTCCTCGGGTCCAGCAGAGGCTTGACCCGCACAGCTAAAGCAGCAAAGGGATGGACACTTGCATCAGGTGACACAAGCCCATCCTCCCTAACCCCAGATGGCAGTTCTGTTGTGTGTACAGTGTTCTCCGGCTACCAACATACTTCAGGGGCCCCAGAGCTGCTGCTGCCTCTCTTCATCAACGGAACCTGAGTGGGATAATTATCGTCTCTGTGTACTTAACCTTACTGCTCACTGCCTCCAACATGATGGCTGCCTCTAGTGCACTGGGCCACCACTACAGCAAAGGCAGGGGCTATGCCACAGGTCTAAGTCCCACAGCATTTGGTACTGGGGGTCCCAGGAGTGGAAGACAGCTACCAGCTCAGTTTGATCCCAAGTATTATGGTCCCGAGTATTTTCAGGTGGAGTTTTCTCTTTCTTGCTCTCAGATTTCTTGGCTTCACCGCTGAGTCAGAGGGGCCTTGGGGACAGTGAAGTTTCTGGGTTGAGAATAAGATAAGTAGCTCCTGAGCCATGCTGCCTCAGTCCCTGCAGAAGAGGGTGGCCTGTCTGGGGCTCCACGTGCACTGTCACAGAGTCTAAGGCAGCAGGTCAGTCTGAGCCAGCTGCCCAGGGTGAGAGCTACATTGTGAGTTTTCTTTGTTTTCATTACAATTTCCTCTCCCACCGCTTCTTTTTAGCCAGCCCTTTCCTCCCCGGGGTGCTGGGGATTGAATGAAACACCACCCCCGGCTCCAATAAGTGTATTTCAATTACATCTGTCACTGCATAACGATATAATGATATATCATGTGATATTAAATCCATGGTAATCATATCAGGGATTTTTTTTAATCGTGCACTAATCGCATTATTACATCTCTATAATTAACAACAGGAGGTATGGAAATTCAGTTAAGGCAGTTGGCTCAATGTACTCCCCCCAACCCACCCCCATCCTAGCTCCCCCAGATCAGGACCCGATCAGGAGACAGGGACTGCAGGGCACTTGCCAGCTGGGCCAAAGCCCCACTCCCAGTGCCTCAGTCATGGGCAGAGCTTTCCACATCCAGGGCTGGCAGAGACAGTCCAGGGTGCTGGTCCATCTTGTGGTTCCTCAGGAAAGAAGCCTGGGGGCAGAAGCCAAACAGAGAGGCCCAACTACAGGGCTTAGCTGGGGCCTTCCAGACTTCCCACCACTGCTGCACCAAATCATCTCCATGGGGAGGGATGTCACCTTTTCTTTCAGCAAGGCCCTCAAAGGTGCTTGTAAGGCACAGGGGTGAGTTTCTCCCTCATGGCCTCCTGCGCCAGAATTCCCTCTGCTACTGCTACACATACACCCTCCCTCTAACCCAGCCCTCTGACAGCTCCTAACAGCACCAGGTCCAGCAGCTGTGATGTCTCTGCCTCTTGGTCCTATCATCCCTGGTGATAGCTGACCAAACCCAACTCCCTGGGGCCATTCCTCCCCAATCCTCTCGCAGAAGCTGGCCCTTCATATCATATAACAAGTGAGTTTTGATAACCACTGGGATGTTCCTCCATTTCCCCAAAACAGTCTAAGTTCTTATGTTCTCCCACCCAGGCCTAGATGGAGAGAGGAGGGGCTAGGGACTGCAGCTTGAACTATGTCAAATGACCCTGTCTCTCCCACCCCCCTTCCTGATACTGAGCTGTTAGGGCTAATCCCCTCAGGGGTGTCAGAACCAGTCTGCAAAGCAGAATTCTGTGTTTCAAGCCCAAAGCTTTGAACCTGGCATGTAACTAGTCCTCAGTAAGGGGCAGGCATTTTGCTAAGTTTGACTCTCAGAAGTTGGACAGGCCTGAAGATAAAAGAGAAAAATCATGTCCTTTTTCCTAATAAAAAGGAGACACTAATAGCAGTCAGCACTTAGGCAAAGCACTTTAAGTTTCTAAAGTGCTTTCCAAATTAAAATATAATCCTTTATTGAGCATGCGGCACTACCGCCACCACCACCCACCCAGCCACCCCTCACATACAAAGGTATATGCATGCTTGCACACAGCATACACGCCTTCACTTTCTTTCCCCCTGGGAAAAAGAAGAAGGGTGTTCAAAACATTCATCCCAGATCCCCCTCCCTCTTCATTAGATTGTTCATGTAACACCCATTTATTGAGGAACTACCATGTGCCAAGCCCTGTGCTGGGTGCTAGAGATACACAGGTCAAGCAGACCAAGCCACTGCCCTCAAGGAGCTCCCAGGCTAGAAGGAGAGACATGTAAACATATTTGCAAAACAACACTGAAGGAAATCAGCAAGAAGGACCCACACGGCCTTCAGTGGGCCATAGGTGGGGCACCCAGGGAAGGTGTAGGCTAGGAGCTCAGACCAGTGGTCTGAGCTGAGACAGAATCCTAAGAAGCAGATGAGTGGTACAAGAAACTAAGAGTAGATAAGATCACCCAGGAAGAAAGTAAAAACCTTTAGAATCAGATGAAGCCCTTCTCTTCTCTGATGTTTGGAGGGAAAAAAAGGATGAGAAGGTTGAAATTCCAGCCTCCAGAGCTAAGGCCCAAAGAACCTTCTCTTTGGGGTGCACCCAACATCCTGGCTCCTGTATCTTCCTTGGTCAAATCAGTCTTCACTCTACTGTAATATGATGGAGAGTGCACGCTTTGGAATCACACTGACTCATTCACAACAAACATTTACTGAGAGCCTATTACATGCCAGGCTATATGCACATATATAGCAACAGAGCACAACACTGTCCTCAGAGAGCTTCCACAGCTTTCTCCAAGAGACTTAAGCTCAAAGGAACTGTAATAAAGGTTCCAACAAGACACATAAGCTTTTATAATAGGAGAGAAAAGGGGAGTCTGACTTAGGTGGGGAATGCTTCCCTGAGAACAGGTAAGTAGAAGCTGGCTGGCTGCCTGGCTGCCTGGCTGACTGATTGGAGGTGGGGTGGGGGAAGGGCAGAGGTGGGGTGACTGGGGGCATGCTAAGGCCTGGAAGGAATCAAATCAACGCCAGAGTCCCTGAGCACAGAAAATCAAGCATGAAATGTGGCTGATGAGGAAGGCAGGAGATGCAGCCCATGCAGGACCTCAAAGGACACGGTAAGGGCTTTGTACTGTTTCCTAAGGCCATTCAGGGGCCCTCCACTACCACGCTATGTGATCTTGGGGTGCTCTACCAATATGAAAAGGTAGTTCCAGCCAGGCACAGTGGCTCATGCCTATAATCCCAGCACTGTGGGAGGCTGAGTGGGGAGGACTAATTGAACCCAGGAGTTCGAGACCAGCCTAGGCAACGTGGCAAAATCCTATCTCTACAAAACACACAGACACACACACACACACACACACACACACACACACAAATTAGCCAGGCATGGTGACGTGCACCTGTGATCCTAGTTACTAGGGAGGCTAAGGTGAGTGGGAGAATCCCTTAAGCCCAGGGGGTTGAGGCTGCAGTGAGCTGTATTTGTGCCACTGAACTCCAGCCTGAGTGACAGAGGAAAACCCTCTAGATAGATAGATAGATAGATAGATAGATAGATAGATAGATAGATAGACAGACAGACAGACAGACAGACAGACAGTAGTTCCTTTGCACATCTACCCCTCCTTATTCCTAAGGGTAGCCAGGCCTGGGAAAAACTAATAGAGAACCAAGATAATAGATCCTTCTAGATTTTCCATCTAGAAGGAGAGGAAGAAAGTACACAAGCATTCATTCACTGAATATTCACACATTCACTGAAGGCCTGCCAGAACCCAGCAACTCAAACAGAATCACATGTAGACCTGCGCTCAAAGAACTCATAGTCCTTTGACGGGAAACAGACACAGAAACCAGTAATGGCCCATAACTGTGATACAGTGAGTGGAGAGACCCACAGTAGGGATTGAGAGGAGGGAAGTTCTCAGGACCAGTGGCCTCTGGAGCCCAGAATGGTGTGTGTTGCTTCTGATCCTGCCTCACTGCACAGGCAGCAATTGGTTGGCTGGGACAGCATGACCCACACAGACTGCGGATTGAGCAGGGGCAGGAGTGTGAGGAGGACCCTAAAGCCAAGCCTCCTGGGAAGGGGCTGGAGACCAAGTAGCAGTGAACCTAAGCCTGGACCTTCTGGTTACAAAGATGAAGGTTGAAAGGACGTGATCAGAGCCACAGAGGAGAGGAGAGAGGCCCATTGTATAGTCTCTGGATGGCTAGAAGGGAGTACCTTTAGAAATAACAACAGGGCTTGGATAAAAAAGAATTTCAGAAATGGAAACTCTAGCCCCTGGGTCTCAGTTTCTTCACTGAAAAATGAGGGACTTTACTGGATTTCTTAGGTCTCTTCTTGATCTGAAATTCATCAGATCTGAGGTACTTCATTCAACTCCCCCACCCCCACCCCAAGAGTCAGGCTTATTTCTGCCCCACATGTTTGCTTA
Source organism: Homo sapiens (assembly GCF_000001405.40). NCBI lineage: Eukaryota > Metazoa > Chordata > Mammalia > Primates > Hominidae > Homo > Homo sapiens. The sequence continues at coordinate 44,260,792 of NC_000001.11, forward strand.
TACTATATTTCCCCACCTGGAACGCTCAACTTCCCTTCTCCAAATCCTGTCTGCTAGGACACTACCTTCAGGAAGCCCTTCATGATTTCTCTTTCCCACTCCTCCATGCCCCACCCTGACCTCCACACCCATTTCTCTCAACAGCACTTTGCTTAACCACGTATTTACATAGGGTCTGGTATTCTTACCTGATTGGTCTAGGGATTGTTTTTTATCACTCCCTGACCCCTGACATCCATTTCTTACAGGTCCTAGAAGCAGGCAGGTGCTGTTCTAGCCTGAAGTCTAGGTCCCCACTCCCTCTGCCCACAGTCCTTTGAGAACTCGACAGGCCTCGACTTGAAAAGGGTGCTAAAAGCAATGATGTCTCCAAGTGTGATGGGAGATATTTGTGTCTGCTTTACCCTTGGCTTTTTGCTCCGGTTCAGGTAGGAGCGGGGTGGGCCGGCTGGCAGATCTGAGAGCGTGGCACGCCCCAGCGGGCAGGGCGCACAGCGCGGAGGAAGGCGCGAGTCAGTCTGGAGTGCTCCCCATTTATCAAGCTCACGCAGGCCGCCAGCCGAGCGAGTCTTTCTATCATTACACCTCTCAAAATCCGATTCATACCACTAATCCTGCCTTCATTCTCCCAGATTAATAACATCTCTTTCAACCTTCACAGTGTGATAAATAGACAAAGAGAGAACAAAAGGAGAGACAGAAGAGAGAGAAAGAGCTGGAGCAAGTCCCCATAATAGAGAGAGCTGAGAAAGAGGAGAGGGAAAAAAGGAGAGCGAACGAGAGCAGGCAGCGGCCAGAGACTGCAGCTACCTTAGAGAGCCGCTCTGAGGAGAGCTGGCGGCTGCGCCCCGCTATGCGCTCCGCTCCGTCCCCAAAGAGAAAGAAAGGCTCGTTAACAGCTCCTTCCTGCCTGCACTTTTGTTCAAATTCTTTTCTTCCCTTCCAATCCTGCTTTAGGTCAAATTCCAGTGAAAATGAGTCTCCTGGCTTTCCCATCTACTCCCAGCTTCCCAACCAGGCCCAGGAACCCACCTGGCCCTTGGCAGAAGGGCTGGGTATGGGTACAAGACAGGGCTGGGAATGGGTGTGGCAAAAGCATGCCTAAAGCTTTCCCAGAGCTGTTCTCCTAACCTAAAACCTCACCCTTTTCCTGCTCTTTCAGCAGAACAGGAAGGGAACAGAGTAGAGGGAGGATCTGCTTGGGGTCGTTCCCGAAGGCTCTGTCCTCACATCTTTCCAACCTTAGGCTCCAGACAGTGCAATCCAAGGCCCTCCACCCACCGCAGCCCAGCCAGATGGTGAAAGTAGGTGTCCCTCAGGCTCGCTAAAGCAGAAGTTGGTCCATGTCTCCATATTATAATGGAGAAGTGTGACAAGGACAATAACCCCCACTGGGCCCAGCCCCACCCTAACCAACTGATCTCTGACACTTGTCCTCTCTGCCCCATGCTAGCCTACACTTGTCTCCACAGCACAGTCCCCATCCTTCACAGAGGCCCAGTTCAAGGCCCCCTTCTGGATGCCCATCTGAGCTCTCGCAGGAGAATTCAATTACTCCCTCTCTGGAAATCCAGCAGTTCCATTAACCTTCCTTCTCCGGGCTCTGGAAGGCAACACCATTTATATTACCCTGTAGAGATGGTGTGCTTCTCTCACTCCCCTGGGAATCTGTCTTCTGAGTTCTCTATCTCCAAGTCGAAGCTGCCCATGGCACAGCACTTCCATCTGGGCACCCACGCCCTCACAATCTAGCAGAGTGGGGGAGGTGGGGCTACACCAGGCTGCCAAGACTACCCTATCCCTTAGCACGCTTGTGGCAGGCGCAGGGTCAGTGGGGATGGCACAGGCAGAGGGAAGATCTGCCCTGCCCAATCCAGCCTAGCGGGAGGAGCCTTCTAGAAGTGTCAAGGCTTCTCTGAGGACAATGCCTTGTGAGGTACAGGAAAGACCTAAGCGGACCTTCAGCAGAAAGCTGGTGGCCTGGTGGTCTATTTAGAGCAGGTCCCATCTAGGGAACATCTTACTGACACTCTCCAGATTCTTTCCTCCCAAAAGCTTCCCTGCTTCCCTCCCTCTATTTCCTGCCCCAAAACTCAGCCTTTCTCTGGGCCAGAATGGCTGCTGCCTACTCCCACCGTTCACTCCCAGGAACCCCATCACTTCCAGCCACAGCTCTCAAGTTTGCCCAGTCACATTTCCACTTGGGGAAATAACCTGAAAGCAGAAAAAAAGAGGCTTCACAGGGCCAAGTAAAAGAGCAAACCACAAGGGGAAAGGGATGTTGAAATGGGCAGTCCTTGGGATCCCTTTCATTAAAAAATCCAGAAGTTCCATTAACCTTCCCTCAGCTCCTACATCAGAAGGATTCTCACACTTTTTTCTATTTCACTAGCCCTCCAGGATCAGACACTTGGAAAAGGGAGGGGGAAGAATGATAGTAACTGATGTTCATCCATGGGCCCAAGCGACCCAAGGAGGTCAGGGGCTGAAAACGAAAAGCAAGAAGGAGATTGTACAGTCTCAGTGAAGGGGAACTGTCCTCCCTAAAATAAGCCCAGCCAGCTGGTGCCCTGGCTTTCAGGGCAGGCTGGGTCCAACTGGCCACACAGGCCCACACTGCCTCTCAGCCCAAGGTCACAGTAGGGTTCCAGAAACTTGGAATGGATCTCTGGTCCTTCTTCCACTAAGAGCCTGTGTTGTTGGCAGATCAGATAGCCTCAGCCGGAGTCAACTTTGTAGTACCTTAGATACAGACAGGCAGCAGGCCCAGACACCCTCAGCTTTGTTCTAAACAGCTTCCACACTCTCTAAGCAACCAGGTGGCTTCCTGGACAGCTTCCCCGGGGGCTCAGAAAGATGCTCTGGCCCTTGTGGCCCCACTCCTGAGAGGAGTATAGGCTTGGGCTCTGAGAAGAGAAGTCATGGTGTCCTCCCTATTCTATGCTGCTATTGCCAAACCTCACCCAACACACACTCTTGCCCCTCCCCTGGCCTTGCTTCCTCTAACTCTTCTAGCCCTCTCTGAGCCCTGAGCCCTTCCTCCCAAGATAAGCCACCACCCAGGCATTCAAGTCTGAGGAATAAACCTCATCTCCTCAGGAGAGAGACAACCCTAGACCCCAGTAGGGGACATGTCTGGGGATCAGGTAGGAGGAAGTCAGTCAGATACCAAAAGTCAGTCTGTCTCTGGCAGATCAAGAAGCCAGATCCAAGTGATGCTCTTCCCTCACTCCCTGAGTATTCAGTTCTAGAGCTCACTCCCTCCTCTAGACAGCCAGTAGCACAGAGCAGGAAAGGAGAAGTTGGGTCCTAATGTGTAAAAAGCTCCAGCAAAGCGAAATCATTTACTCTTCGGTGCGACTGCTCAGCAGAGCTAATAAATCTTGCATGAGCAGGGCCAATTCTAATTTCCTAATATGAAAAGGCATTTGGATTGAGAGAGAGGGGGAGATAAAAGTGATTGAATCTCCAATAGTCCAGGTTACTGACAAGAAACATCCTGCTTAGCCCTGAGAGAAGGATGGCAGCACCCGCCCACCCGCACACACCCATCCGTTCTGCCCCCCTCTTGGCGTGATACATCTCAGTCTCTTCTATTGACAGGACGTGGCTTTAAACACAGTTACACAAGTTATCATTTCTGCCTTCTGATCAATCTGAATTTTCAGGACAATTACCCTCTTAATCAATGATTGCTATCAGCAGCCCCGCGCCTGGACGGATTTCTCAGCAAGGTAATCATGCCGCCAGGCTGGACGGCGCGTGCATAGGCAATGAAGCTCCGGGTGGGGTCTCCTCCCTCCTTCCTGAGCCCCCATATCCCAGCGCTGCTGCCAGCATCGAGGACAAGGACGGCAAAGTGTGAAGGCCACTTCAAGGAGTGGTGGCAGTACAAGGAAGGGGGGGCAGCCACCAGTCAGCCTTCCAAATCAGCTGATTATGGAACAAACCTATTAAAAGCCTAGATTTACTGCCCACCACGCTGATGCATCTCCACATGCCCTCCTGCCATCATTCCTTCCTCCTAATTAGCCTAATAAAGCCCAATTCTAATTATGGGCTCAAACTATTAGGGTGAGTTAAGTACAAAGAAAAGAGAACTATTGGTTTTACTAATCTCTCAGAAGCTACTGGTTCTAGAAATTCCTTTTCTTCCATGGAGCTGGTTCATATGGGCTACTGACTGGAATGGTAGGGGCAGCCTCTTCTCCTCACATGCCCAGGTATCCAGAGCTATCATAAAGCCAGCCTAGCCTTGAGCCAGGAGGCCACCCAGCCCAACACTCCCTCCCGCAAGCATCCTCTCACAGATCCAGCCCTCCATGCTTAAAACAATTCAGAGGCCCCCAGAAGCGGGAAGGAGAACAAGTGGAGTCAGTGTTGAGTCTGCTCGAGGCCATTATCTGCTACCCTGGGGACAACTCAAGGAAGTTTCTCAGATCACCTGTTGTTGGTGAAGGACTTAACTAGAGAGGCTTGGTCCAGGGCACTGATGAATGAACTTACACTCCCGCACAGGTGGCAGATATGCCTATACAGCTGTACTCACAGCAGAGTAGGCTGGGGCTAAAACAGGTCCCAACAATTTGCTATTACATCAGAAGTGGGGAACCAGAATGAGAAAGCTTGCATGCTTTTATTCACTGACATTTACTGAGTACTATCCACAGACTAAATGGTGGGGGTACAGCAGTCAACAATACAGCAGTGACCCCTATTCTCACGGAGCTCACAATGTACTAGGAAAGACAGACAAGTGTTCTTTTAAAAAGGCAAAAATGACAAAGTGAACTCGCACATGAATGTTCATAACAGCCAAAAAGTAGAAACAACCCAAATATTGATCACCTGATGGGAGAATTAAAAAAAAAAAAGTGGTACTATCTATACAATGAAATATTATTTGGCAGTAAAAAGAAATGAAGTACTAATTTATAATACAACATGGATGAACCTTGAAAATATACTAAGTGAAAGAAGCTAGTCACAAAAAAAACCACATACAAGAAGTTCCCAGAATTGCCAGAATAGGCAAATTTATAGAGATGGAAAGTAGATGAGTAGTTGCTTCAGGCTGGGGCATTTGCGGGGAAATGAGAAGTAGCTGTTAATGGAGTTTCTTTTAGTGGGGACAAAAATCTAAATTTAGATGGTGATGATGGTTGCACAATCCTGTAAATATATTAAAAAACAAATTGTACACCTTAAATGGGTGAATTGTATGGTATATAAATTATATCTCAATAAAACTCTTTTTTAAAAGAAGTTAATTCTGATCAAAGAAGTGCAAGAAACCCACAGCAGGCTCATCAACTGTGAACAAAGTCAGAGGAGGCTCTAGCACCATGCCTAGCTTTCTGAAGGCACTTGATATAGGCACTTGATGTAGGTGTGTGAAGAGGGAGGAAGTTCCACTGGGAAACTGGAAAAGTCTTCACTGAGGACATAAGAGGAGTTAAGTCTTGAAGGATAAGCAGGAGTTCACTAGGCAAGAAGGCAGCAAAGGACTTCCTAGCCAAATGGAATAACAGTGAATAAGGCTTGGAAGTAGACCATACAGGCTATCTTGACACAGCTCAAAGGGACTTGGAGTGTCTCAAAGGTCAGGCTAGAGAGCTTATACTTTGTTCAGTAGACACTAAGATTTTTCAAGTAGAGAAGATCAGTACATTGATAGTCTAGGGTTTGATGGTTCAGGCACAGGAAACAACTTATCACAGTTCAAAGGGGATGGTTTTCGGAATCACAATATCCAGAGTTTAAATCCTTAAGTCCTTCTCCCAATAAACTCTAATGACCAGTGACGGCTAGGATTTTGTCTGTTTTGCTCACTATTTTATCCCCAGTGCTTGGCAGAGTGCCTGACCCAGTAGGTGCTCAAAAGCCATTTACTGAATGAAAATGAATGAATGAATGGCTATGTTGAACTCAATCCCATTTGACACACATTTATTGAATACCTACCATAAACCTTGGCACTCTGGTTATATAGTGTGAGCTCTTCAAGGGGAGGGTCCCCGTCTGATCTCTGATCTCTGCCCTCAGTGCCTTACGCAGGTTCTGTTTGGCACAGGGCAGGTCCTCAATCTGTATTAATTCCCTTCCCTCTCATAGTCTACGTAGTTTCCTTAAGACCCAGTGAATTCCTAGATAGGCTCGTCCTGAACATACCACTGTAGCTAGTAAGAGAAGGGAAGCTGAAGGGATGGAAGGCTTCAATAGAGCAATAGGAGCAGGTGGCAGTGCTAATGATATTTGCCCCAAAGCAAGCCATGGTGCTCTAGGAGGCCAGTACACAATCTGAGTCATCCAAGCTGGTAAAGAACTGGGTGGGAATGAGAGACCATTCTCACAACCCTGTCCTGCACCCAAGGCAGTGGGCCTAAAGCAGGGAGAAGCTAGCATACTTAGGTAAGGTGGAAACATAAGCTACAAGACTTGTAGGTGGATGAAGAGGGGAAGATCTGGGGCTTATTTCCTAAGCAGTTTGTCCTGACCCTGGAGATCTGCCATTTCCATATCATCCTTCTGGTTAGGAGAGCCCTCCTGACCACAGTAGAAAGGGGCTCATTCTCCCAACCCCCAATTCCTATGGGCCTCTCCTCCCCTCCTTCTTCTTCCCTCCCTTTCTTTCCTGCAGAGCTTCCCTCAAGCCATAAAAATAAAATAAAACACAAACACCCACAGTCCAGGAGGAGGGCGTTGGACAGATAATGGGCATTTTATATCTTTTTATGACACTCCCCATAGGCAGCTCAGCAATCACAGCGCAATAAAGGCAGGCATGCAGCTTGCATAGTTAAACAACTGCCGGGTAATTAGGCACAGCAAACACACCACTGGGGAGGCCTCAGGCTTGCCCTGGGATCTGCCTGCAGCCCGCCTGCCTGCTTGCAGCCAAGTAGGTGCCAAGCCCAGGCCTAGCAACATAAGACCTGGTTGTGGTGCTGGGGACAGGCCACTGACAGCTGCCATAAACACGCTTGGGTTCATGCCTGTGCAAACTCAAGCCTACCTGCCCACACCCACACAAAAACACTCCCTAAGCCAGCCTGGACCTTATCTCCCCAGGAGGGCCACCCTCTTTTCCAAGTAGGGCAATCTAGGGTATCTTGAGGGCCCCGCTTTAGGGCCTTTGAAGAAGTCACAGCAGGCACTAGCAGGGACTAGCTCATCGGGGTAGCTCAAAGCTTATCGAGTGGCACAGGCAGGAGGCACAGGAACATACAGACGTGTTTACATGGATCCTCTGTCTCTTGTAAATTTTTACTCAGTACAGAGCTGAATTCAAAATAATTTTTAACACAGATGATTCATACACACCCTATATACATATTTCTATCACTGTACTTACCACTTCTATTGTGTTTTTCCCCCATCTGCCTATTGACCCATCCATCTTCCCTACCAGACCAGGAGCTCTGTACAGGTGGAGATCAGGTCTGAGTCACCTCTGAGTCCAGAGGTCCCAACCCATAGGGTGACTGGTGGCTGGAGGTGAATATAGATGTCCCAGCCCAGGCAGAGCACAGGACTCTTGCTACCTGAGACCTAGGTCCAGGGGATGTTAGCCCGAACAAGAGAGAAATGTCTTTATTAGGGCTGAGGGCACTGTACCATACATTGCCCATCTCTTCTCTAGTGCCCCAGCTGGTCAAATTCAGAAATTAAAGAGAACTGAAAACCAATTAATGGGAAAAATAAATAAAAACCTACTACAATCCCACTTGAAGACTGAGATAGCCAAAGGTCCCATCTATAGCAGCCATCCAGATCAGCCCTGAGGAGTCAGCCAGGGAAAGGTAAGGCACCCAAGCTCAAACCACTCTTCCTCCAAGGCAGGTGACAGCAGGCCAAGTCAACTCACAGAAAGACCATGGGTTGAGCCAGCACGGTCACATATGAATGTGAACACACATCCAGCTACTTTTCCTAGTCTCTACCTGGGCATCACTTGGTGTCTGCCAAGACAACAAATAGAGGATAAAAGACCAGAGGAAGGGCCTAGGCTGCTCCCTGCCGTTAGGGTACTCAGAGGCCCCTCTCCTTTCCACCCACAAAGAAACAGGGAGACAACAAGCTTCTTCTCACCCTGTATTCTCATGGTGAAGCCCAAAGCCTAAAAGCATTTGGCTTCAGTCCAAGCCAGCCCAAAATGTGACAAGTGACAGCTATCCAAACTCCTCCACAATACCTGAGTCCCTAGCTCTCCTGTCCTGATGCCAAGCAATGCCCTGCCTTCCCTGGACCCTCAACTTCTTCCAATGGGACAGTGGAGCCATCCCAAGGCCAGACATTGTAGTTGGTAAGGGTAAAAGTGGAACTTCTGCTGTCTTCCTTGCATCTGTCTCATGTTTAGATGGGAGCAAAAAGGGAAAGCCTAAGTTTCCATGAATGATCTCATAGTGGCAGAGGTAGAAGAGGCCAAGAGACCACAAGAAGAAACTCCCTCATCCAACTCCCTTATTTGTTAGATGAGAAAACTGAGGACTCAGAAAGGGCAAGTAACCCAACACCAGAGCCCACGTCTTTAGTTTCTAGCGTCAAGTTCAGTCCAGATTTCTCTATGTTACACCATACTGCCCTCCAAGGACAAGGGCCTCATCTGCCCACCTCTAGTGCCTAGAGTCAGACCACAAATCCCATACTGGCACATTCACCCACATTCCCATTTGTGGGCCCGTGCACACATAAGAATATACACAGACATACTCAAGCCTGCACAGACCTCCCCAATTGGGTGAATGCACTTCTTTAAACACATACAGACATGCATATACAAATGGGTACACCCTCTTACACACACAGTGGTGTCACTCTCAAGAGACCTGGAGTACAAGGCCAATCCCTATCCTTGCCCATTCACTGACTTTCATTGAACACACAACTGATAATGGCTGCTGTGTGTGCCTGGGTCTCCAGTTCAAACCAGGCCAGACTGCCTTCAGGTGGTATCTGCTATGGGCCAAGTGACAAGAGGGAAGCTATGGAAGGAGAGAAACTGAATTTGCATCCTCCTGGTCATGTGGTAGGCAAGCTTCTGAGTTTCTATTTCAGCACCCATAAAATAGGGACAATAGCCCTCACAGCCCCTCAGTAGCTGTGAGGATTAAATGCAATCATGTGTGTAAAGTATCCAACACAGATGGCATCAACTGGGGCTCAATGCATTGGTGTTCTATTATTACTGATAAACATGGTGAAACCTGCCTTTGCAGACTGACCTACAGACAGTGTGGGAGATGGAAGGCAGGACTGTGCTTCTGGCCTTGAAGGAAGTTACCCTGTCTTTTCCTCATCTTTTCTGCAACTACTCCCAGTTTCAGGGTCTAGAGTAGCAACAGCAAAATCAAAAGAAGGGGAAAAAACACACACACACACAAAAGAAACCCTGGGACAAGGCAGACTAACTTTACCCTCTCAGACTCAATAGATAAGTTCATCTTTCTCCTGCCACCACACCCCATCTTTCTCCCAAACTGTCCTCAGCTTTTCTACAGTATTTATGCCTCTTAGTTTACTGAAGTCCCCTCTATTTGCCTAGCTCTGTGGATTAAGAGAAGCGGCTTATCTAGTCCCTTTCCTCAAGTGGCTTGTGGTTCCTCACCCAGACAGACCAGCCCATACACAATAACAAAGAGGCATGGGCTCTGAGCTGCACTGGGCCCTAGTAACTGGCCCAAAGTGTTGGAGTACACACTCAATAGAACACCTAGGTTTAAATCCAGGTCCCAAACACACCCAGCAGAGCTCCCAACTTTCCTGTGCTCCAGAGCAAGCCCAGAATTCACTTCCTCAAGGACTCAAGAGAGGCAGGTGAGGCTCATCATGGGACTAGGACTAAGAGGCTGCCTCATTTGACAGAATACAGACTCTAAGCAGCAGCCAGCAAGAGAAGGCAGGCCCTAGGGTGGGCCTGCCACGGAGGGCACTATAAGAACTCCAGAGGAGAGGTCACTTTGCAGCAGCTGCAGGGAACCTTGAGAGAAAGACAGAATCCCAGCTGCCTTGAGCTGATTCCCTCACTTGCTTCTTTCCCCTGTGTGGCCACACCCACCAGGGATGCAGAGCAAGGCAGGCTAGCTCTCCAGCTGAGGGTGTGCCAAGCTGCTCATCTAACACAGAGTGCCAGCATTCCTCTAAGAGCTTTACAAGCATGATCTAATTGATTCCCCACATTTACCATAAGGATATAGAGGTCTTCTGCCAACGGTCTCAGACTGTCCATAGCTAGTATGCTAAAAGGTAGGGTGGCCACTTCCCTCCCTGCTATCCCTGGCCCACGGGCTCCCTCTTCCCTTCATGCACACAAACGTGGCAGTTTTCTGGAGCTACTGTACCACTCTTAGAAGGCAGCTTAGGCTGGCACCACTCTAGACACTGGCCAATGATTGCTTACTGCACATGCTCACTCTCACTCCTCTTTCTCCAGTAAAAGCATACACATGGCTGGTCCACATGAGTAGCTTAAAATACCTGAAAACTGCTGTGTGTAGTTCCCTAATCCTGCAACGTGCTTCACCACTTCAGGCCTTTCTTTACACTTCTCCCTTTGCCTGGATGCACTTGCACCGTCACCTGAGAATATACTCATCTTTCAACACTCAAGTATCTCCACCAAAACCTTTCTTGATTTTCTCTCCCACACCCCAAATAAAAATGACTCCTCCCTCCTTTGCACTGGCAGCAACAAAGTAAAGCAGTTAAGAGCATGGACTCTGGAGTCTACTGCCTAGACTCAAATACTTACTCTATCACTCACCAGCTGATGAACCTCTCTGCCCTTCAGTTTCCTCACCTGTACAATGGCTAATAATAGAACTTCTCCCTTAGAATTGTTTGAGGATTAAGTGAGTTAATTCATATAAAGCATTTAGAACAGCACCTGGTTTTATTATTACTATTAATTATCTCTACCTTACAAATGAAAAAAACCAAGGTTCAGAGAAGGTAAGTAACTTGTCCAAGATCATAACACAGGTAGATGATAAGGCCAGGAATTGACCTAAGGTGAATGTGCCTCTGTACTCCATTGGACAGCCAGGCATGCTGATGGCAGCTGGAATCAAGGGTGTGAGATGATCGACTCTGTCCCGCAGTGTGAGCTGAGGGTAAGCTGGTCCAAGGACAGCATTAAGCTCATCCTTGCCAATGCTCACATGAACTCTGCTGTGAGAGTCTCTTTTTCCTAGCTCCTGCCCACAATGTCCTGTATGTCTACCTGGATCTCCCGTCCCCCTGACTCCTCTTCTCCCGATAGCCTAGTCATCTCATCTCCAGTGGCCAGTACCAGGGACAAGCGAAGGGCAGGGGCATAGTGCTACCATTTTATCCTCAGGTCAACTCTAGAAGGTGGATATGATTTTTCTTGTTTTATAGAGGGAGCTACCAAGGCTCAAAGAAGTTAAGTGACTTTTCTAAAACCCCACAGTTAGTAAGTGTAGAGCCAAGATTCCATATCAGGTCTACTTGACTCCAGAGCCTAAATTCTGTGTGACAGATATTAATCATCATTTACAGGTTCAGAGAGGGACTTGCTCCAGACCACACAGCTAGTGAGTAGCAATATTAGAAATCCAAGCCAGACTCCTCTGGCTCCAAAGCTCTTCCTTTGCACAGCAGTTTCTAGCTGTGAGCCACATCCCACCTCCCCAGGACTCAGCGTATATACCATGTATCACCTGAAGACTAAATGGGGGGTAAATCTCACATACAGCCATACTATTTTTCCAGGTTTTTGCAGATAACATTGTAATTAATAAAATACAGGCCAGGCACAGTGGCTCACACCTGTAATCCCAGCACTTTGGGAGGTTGAGGCGGGTGGATCACTCGAGGCCAGGAGTTCGAGACCAGCCTAGCCAACATGACGAGACCCCATCTCTACCAAAAATACAAAATTAGCTGGGCATGGTGGCACACCCCTGTAATCCCAGCTACTCTGGCGGCTGAGCATGAGAATCACTTGAACCTGGGAGGCAGAGGTTGTAGTAAGCCGAGATCATGCCACCGCATTCCAGCCTAGGTGACAGAGCAAGAGACTGTCTCAAAAAATAAAATAAAATAAAATAAAATAAAATAAAATAAAATAAACTACAAATCCACGTTAAAAAAACAAATTTACTATAGTTTTTTTTTCCATTATGTACTTTATCATTATATACCCAAAATACAAGTTCCACCAAGTCCTGAAGAACGAAGGGAATGTCTGTGGCGTTTTCTGACATTGCTAATAGCTCCTTGTACTCTGTCTGCCTACTTCTCTAAGAGCTCTCCAAAACCACACTTAGGTACCTTTCCCAAGGTACTGTCCTGATTCTTGGTTACAAACTCACAATCGAGAAATGTATTCTGTATGGAATAACTGTCCAAAGGTCAACAGCAGCAATAGGAGGCACAATCCCTTCTGGGACCTGAGTCCCATAAATGCTAAGAACTAATGCAGTTTCCAGCAAAGTGGACCTAAGTCCTGGGCTATGGAAGGAAGGATTCAGGGCAATGAATTTCTGTCTTTCGTACCTTAACCTCTAATTCCTTCCCTGCCCACTTCCCTAAGATACATGGTCTGGAGAAAAGAGCACACTGACCTGGGTTCAAATGCTAGCTTCACCTCTTCCTGGCTATGTGCCTTTAGGCAAGTTTCTTCATTTCTCTAAGTTTATTTGTCTGGGAATTCCAGCAGAGGAATAGGCATCCAGACTCTGGAGCTCATCAGTCTAGCCCAAGATTCAGTGTGGATTAAATTAATGCTTGTTGATGCCTAGTGTGTGCCAGGTCCAGTGCCATGCACTGGAAATTCAGAGATGGGTGGTATATTGACTTCAGTGAACTCACAGTATAGTGGGAAACAAAAACATGTAAGCAGATAATTACAAAAGCATGTGATACACTCAATACAAAGTTCTGAAGCCATACAAAGGAGGAAGTGACTATTTCTACCAGAGATGGGGGAACATCAGAGAAAGCATCACCCACAAGGGTTTTGAAGGATGAACAGGAGTTTCCCAACACACTAAAAGGGGAAAGGCGATGTAAGAAAAGGGAACAGTATATGTAAGGGGAGGTGAGACAGTCATGTATATTTGAAAAACAACAAGTTTGATATGGCTGGAATGTTATGGAGAGACAGGAGATGTGGAGATAGGAATGGTGCAATGAGCTGGATCATCCAGGGCCTTGGTATCTTGCTCAAGAGAAAAGATGGAGCAGAGCCTTCCATACCTACCCTTGGCTCTGGTGCTCTTCCTGTCAAAACAAGCACCCTGCAATCACACCCTTTCCTGTGCCTTTGATTTAAGAGTTCCTCTCCTGGCCCTGACAGTAAGGCATTTCTGTCCCACAGATTATAACTCACTCTGGGCTATTATTCAGCTCCCCAGCCCTGGCCCTGCTGCAGTTAGTCCAAACATAATATCCTTCATGCATATATTATCTGTCTCCCTATTATCTGGAATCATTTCGGAATTAAATTTCAGTCCTGCAATATTGGCTTCAGGAGCGGCGCGCTTTATGGGCTAGTCAAAGGTTAGAATACCAATCAAAGTAACAGTGCCGATGCAGTGAGACATTTTAATATTCCAAAACCTGGTAATTGTAAAAGGACATAATATTTTTTCCCTGATTACCCCAAAGGCAACACATGTTAACAAGGCGAGGGAAGGAGTGAAAGAAATTTCAGAGTTCAGACAGCTGTAAGACATATTTAAAGGAAAAGCCCAGGCTAGGCACTACACCATGGGGGCAGGGAGATGGGAAGAAAGGAGACATTCCCTCTAGCTCCAGCAGCCCCTGACTCCAAAGACAGTACTTTCCCTCCTCTATCTCTGGACTACACTCCAAGAGCTTACCCCAACAGCAGATGTTGCAGAGAATGGGATGAAAGGGGAAAGAGTTCAAGATCTGGAGTCTCAAGGCTCAGGTTCTTGTTTCAGCTTACAATTCAGTAGCCTCCAGCTCCCAAGACTGTTCCCTCCCAGGGTTCCAGCATCAAACCCAGCAGCAAGCACTCTGGGCTGCTCTCCCACTCACTCTCTTCTTATCCCATGCCTGTGCTCACACCTCTGCCTCATCTATACCTAGTGCTCTATGCGTGTGTTTTTTCCCAAAGACAGATGAAGGCCCTGATCTACTTGGCCTGCAGAGCTGATTCCCATCAGGACACCAGCCCACAACTGCCCACTGCCCCATGGACAATGCTCTGCACTTTGGATGATGCCAAAGACCGAGACCACAGCCCCAGCCTGCTTCTGACCTCAGAGGGACCCAGAAGTAACTGCCCTCAGTGCAAACTCTCCCCCTCTCCAAAATAAAACAAAACAAACAGCTTGCAGAGCCCCTAGCTATTCATACCTCTCTTGGTTTTCATTTTTGTTTGTTTTTTTTTCCAAGTTAGCTTCTGAATGGCCCCAGTAGAGGAGCTCTGTGGGCAGCACCTTGCAGCCACCCTTCTATAGAGTCCTAGCTTCTGTAGCAGCTTAATCCCCACAGCCCCCAAAAAGTGAACTGGCTAGCAGGGTTTTGGATCCCCTCACTCCTGATGACTTCCCAGCCAGCTCAGCCCACTTGCTGAAGCCTCCAATCTGCATCATCCCGACCTGCTGACCTGCTATGGCCCCCAGCAAAGAACTTCATTAAGGCCGAGAATTTATTCCTCCATAAGCCCTTAATTTATTACTGCACTGATTGGGACTCTGAATGCTCCAAGGTCAGGAAAAGTCACACTCAATCGTAGACATCAACCCTCCCTTTGGCAGTTTCTCCTGCTGCACCCTCCCAGGGGAGAGGGAGAAACAGAATGTTTCTTGGAGGGACCCAAGATTTTCTTTAAGAGCTGGTCCTCATCCAATCCTCTTCGGAGCACCCAGAAATTGCAGCAAGGCATAGTGTACGGATGGCAGAGGAAAAGTGGAGCAGCAATCTTCATACCCTGATATATCAGGGTCTGTTAAATTCTAGGTGGCCCTTATCCCTACAGCTGCTGGGTTTGACTGGCTGAGCCCTGTCTGCCAGGACTGACTCAGAATCCTCCTAAGGCTGCCTGCCTGCTTCCCCAGAAGCCCACCTCCCTCAGTCCATTTTGTGTTGCTATAAAGGAATACTTGAGGATGGGTAATTTATTTTAAAAAATCGTTTGTTTGGCTCATGATTCTGATGCCTGGAAAAGTTAAAGATTAGGCATCGGGTGAGTGCCTCAGGCTGCTTCCACTCAAGGCAGAAAGTGAAGGGGAGCCAGCTTGTACAGAGATCACACGGCAAGAGGAAGCAAGTTGAGACAGAGGGGGAAGTGCCAGGCTGTTTTTAACAACCAGCTCTCTTGGGAATGAATAGAGTGAGAACTCACTCACATCCCTCACTCCTGCCCCAGGGAGGACATTAAACTATTCACTCACAATGCAGACACCTCCCATTTGGTCCCATCTCGAACATTAGGGATCAAATTTCAACATGAGATCTGGAGAGGACAAACATCCAAACCATAACACCACCCTATCAGGCCCAGGCGTCAGAGGGAATTCCACACAATTTGCAAGTATGTGCAGTGTGCACACACTTGCATGGCTATGTGTGTAGGTATGCATTTGTATTACATTTATACATATGTGTCCATGCATATGCAATAGGTAAACATATTTTATGTGTGCATGCATACATACACATACATCCTTATGGAGGTCTCTTCCATCCTTTCTGTTTTTTGATTCCTTATTCATAATAACATTCTTTTCCATACAACATCAGCTACCCACTTCCATGGCCATACCTTGGAATCTGCCAACACCTAGAACTGCCCCATCCCTGAAATCACTAATTCAGACACCTATTCTCTAACCATAATCTCTAATCCTTCCATCTGGCATGTTAAACTATATCCACTATACCAATTCCTCATTTTGTTGGTACTTATTTACTTTTTCCATATCCATCAGACCCCCTGCTATCTTCTTTTCCCCCAACATCCAGCTTAGATCCCATAATCCATCTTGCCAACTGCTCTCTTACCAATATTTTCAATTCCCTATCCCTTTCATCAAACCTCCCTGAGGAAAATCTCCACCCTGAATGAATCTAAATGTCTACTTTCTCCATGCCCACAACCAGGCAGCTGAGGTCCAATAAAGAAAAGTCATACAATTGAACAGAGTGGTTCCACAATGAATTAATACCATCAACCTCAACTGGATCCTCAACACTGCATAGAAATCCTACTATACTTCTCAAGTCAGCTCACACATCTATTCTTTAGTAGAACTACGGCAAGCCTGTAAACTCTCCCAGCCCTTCCCTATTAGTGATCAGCAAATGACTCATCTGTTTCACACAGAAAAATAAAAGCCATCAGATGGTAACTACCTCAACCTGCTGCCACCAAATCTACAAGCCTACCTACCTCCATTTGTGCCCATCTTCCTCTCCTTCCCTCCTGTCACAATAGAAGCAGGGACCTTCCGCCTAAAGAGAGCCAATTTCAAGAGCCTAGGTTCTCCACCCCTTCTCCTCTCACCTCCTCAGAGGCCTCCCTTACTGGCTTCTTCTCCCTCCTGCACCTTCAACAGGATTTCCTTCTCTAATAGATCCTACAGAAAAACACATGCCTTCTACCTTAAAAACAAAACCCGCTTTAACCCCTACTTGCCCCACCACAGCTCTTGTCCTTTCTCTCACCTTCAAAGCAACATTTCTGAAAAAGTTGAAGTTTCTCCACCTCCTCATTTCTCATTTACTCTTTAGTTCACTCCAATTTGGCTCCTGTTCCTATCATGCCACTCAGGACCAAGGTCACTGAGGCCCTTGTTATTAACAAGTTCAGGGCTCAAATTTTAGTCTTCATCTTGTGTAGCCCTCTCTGAACTGACCACTCCTCTTCTTCTGAAACACTTTTTCTTGGTTTCTGCAATACCACACTCTTACAGTCTTTCTTCTTCTATCACTTTTTTACTCTCTGTCTCTTCAGCATTTAGCAAAACTGAATTTAAGTTCTGGCTCTGCCATGTACTACTGTGAAACCATTGAGCAAGTTTCATCATCGCTCCATGCCTTGGTTTTCTCAACCTTAAAATGTGAAAAATAATAGCAACCACTGCACTGGGTCCTGCGAGGACTAGACAATGTAGGTACATAACCATAGCGTCTAGCACAGCACTGTCCAATAGAAATATAATGTGAGCCACATATGAAACTTAGAATTTTCTAGCAGCCGCACTAAAAAGTAAAATGAAACAGACAAAATTATTTTAATAATATATTTTATTTTAGTATATCCAAGTATTATTTCACATGTAATCAATACAGAAAATTACGAGACATTTTGCATTTTTTCATACCAAGTCTCTGAAATCTGACGTGTAACTTACACTTACTGTACATCTCAATTGGGATGCTAAATCTTCATCAGAAATACTTAATCTGCCGAGTGCAGTGGCTCGCACCTGTAATCCCAACACTTTGGGAGGCCGAGGCAGGTTGATTGCTGAGGCAAGGAGTTGGAAACCAGCCTGAACAACATGGCGAAACTCTATTTCTACTAAAAATACAAAAATTAGCTTGGCATGGTAGCACACACCTGCAGTCCCAGCTACTTGGCAGGCTGAGGCACAAGAATCACTTGAACCCAGGAGGCAGAGGCTGCAGTGAACCAAGATCATGCCACTGCACTTTAGCCTGGGCAACAGAGCAAGACTGTCTCAGGAAAAAAAAAAAAAAAAAGGAAATACTTAATCTGTATTTAGATTTTATACAATTAACAGTTTAAAATGTAGATTCACCAACTCAGGCTGTACTAAACATAAAATTTTTCAAGAAAGTTTTTAATTAATTAATTTTTTTGAGATGGAGTCTCGCTCCGTTGCCTAGCCTGGAGTGCTGTGGCACAATCTCAGCTCACTGCAACCTCCATTGCCTCCCGGGTTCAAGTGATTCTCACACCTCAGCTTCCCGAGTAGCTAGGATTACAGGCGCCCGCCACCACATCCGACTAATTTTTTGTATTTTTTAAATAAAGACGAGGTTTTGCCATGTTGGCCAGGCTGGTCTCAAACTCCTGACCTCAGGTGATCTGCCCACCTCGGCCTCCCAAAGTGCTGAGATTACAGGCATGAGCCACTGCATCTGGCCAAGAAAGTTTTTAATTTAAATTGATTAAAATTAAATAAAATTTAAAATGTGTTCTTCAATCATACTAGCTACATTTCAAGTGATCTACTGCCACATGTGGCTAGTGGAAATTATGTTGGAAAACACAGGTCTAGCACACAAAATGCAATCTGTAATTCAGGACTATTTATTATATTCTCTATTTTTGACTATTCCTTCTGTATCTCGCAAATGTTGGTATTTCTCAGTGTTCTATCCTAGGCTTTCTTCTCACCCTATACCCTCTTCTTTGGCAATCTCATCCACTTCCATGCTTTAATTATCAATCACAGACCAATAACACTGCCAATTTTTTTTTATTTCTTTGAGACAGGGTCTTGCACTCCAGGCTAGAGTGCAGTGGTACAATCACAGCTCACTGCAGCCTCAAACTCCTGGGCTCAAGGGATCTTCCTGCCTCAGCCTCCCAAGTAGCTAGGACTATGAGCATGCATCACCAAGTCTGGCTAATTTTTACATTTTTTTGTAGAGATGAGGTCTCACTATGTTGCTCAGGCTGGTCTTGAGCTCCTGGCCTCAAGTGATCCTCCCACCTCAGCCTCCCAAAGCACTGGGATTACAGGTATAAGCCACCATGCCTGGTCTTCAAATCTGTATCTCTTATCTAGGCTTCACCCCTGAGCCCCACACCTATGTACTTAACTGCCTCCTCAATGTCTCAAAAGCATCTTAACACATATGCCCCACAATGACTTCATCTTCTTTTCCAATTCTGAAACTTCTCCTTCTCCCATTATCTCAGTCAACTCATTCCAATTCACTCAGTTGCTCAAATCATAAATCCTGGGGTCATCATGGTCTCTTCCTTCATCCTCAACCCTCACAACCAATCACCATTTGCTGTTTATTATATAATCAGTGCTACTATAATACTCTTTGAAAAAGCAAATTTGTCCAATGCAACTGATGTATTGGGAACAATTTATAGTAACACAAATTTTGCATTTGTTAATGTGCAATTTTGTTCACAAGAAACACTAGATAAACACAGGAAACTATACCTCACTGAACAGGGCTGGGTAGGAATACATAAAACACATACATGCACACATCTTAAACATCTACCAGCCACCTAGATCACCACATGTTATGGACCACATTCATCTGGTTACAATTTTCCATCTGATTTCAGATGATCTTCTTCCACTACTTCATAACTCACAAGCTGCAACCCTTCTCATGCCCATTTCTATAAGCAAACTTCGGGGTTTTACAGAGTAAAGTACCATATTTATTGTGGTATTTATGTATTTCTTAAGCATTTAATGTGTAAAACTATGCTACCATTTTTATTAGATTCCTATCTTTTATGTGTCACTAACTGAATTTTTATTGCATGACTTTCTCTAGCATGGTGATTTTCAGAAATCTCTATGTTGCATTATAGCAGAACTGACTAAACCATTTAATACTCAGGAATTGGCCCATTTCTCTACATTTCCACTGCTATCAGTTCAATCGAAGTAATTACCATCTTTCACCTGGACCACAGAAACAGCCTAATTCTGTGGTTCTCAACCAAGGACAGTATTCCTCCACTCCCACCCTGTCCAGGCCACTAGAAATGTATACAGGGTGATATTTTTTATTATCACAACGACTCGGAGAGGGTCACTATTGGTATTCAATCAACAGGGGCTGGGGATGCTACAAGTTCAGCAATGTCACCCACACAATGATCTGTCCCACCAAAAATGCCAAACATAGCTCTATCAAGAAAAACCAGCAACTGGTCTCCTGTATCTGCTCTTAGCTCCCTCTACACTGCAGCCAGAGAGAACTTTCTTAGAATGCAAATCAGATGATGCCCCTCTTATATTTAATACCCTTTAACAGCTTCCTCTTACCCTAAACATCAAGGTCAAAATCAAAGTGTGGTCTATAGGCTCCTGACTTCCTTCTAGCCTCATCTCATGCCACTCTCCTTTTGCCACCTTCACTACATTTTAGGCATTCATTCACTCAACACATAAGGATTAAACATCTGTGTGCCAGGAACTATTCAGAGCGATGGGGGTAGAGCAGTGAACAAAAGACACAAATTCTTTCTCCTCTTAGAACTTACATTCTAGTTTCATGAAGCTGCCAGGCTTCTTCTCCTCACCTCAGGGTCTCACCACATGCTACATTGTGCTTAGCCAATTTCAACTCATTCTTCAGGTCTCAGCTTAGACATCCTTCCTCAGGGAATTATTCTCTGACCCTACCCTACTAAGTTAGTTCCTTCTTACATGATCCATGACTCTGAACTGTTTAGTGTTACTCAATGCAACTAAAATTATTTATTCAACATCCACCTTCTTATATCCCCAGGCCCTCACACAGTACCTGGCACACAGAAGGCATTCAAAATATTTGTTTATTGGCCAGGCACAGTGGTTAATGCCTGCAATCCTAGCACTTTGGGAGGCTGAAGAGGGAGGACTGCTTGAGCCCAGGAGTTTGAGACCAGCCTGGGCAACATGGCAAAACCCCTTCTCTACAAAAAATACAAAAATTAGCCAGGCATAATGGTGGGCACTTGTAGTCCCAGCTACTTGGGAGGCTGAAGTGGGAGGATCATCTGAGCCCGGGAGTTCAAGGCTGCAGCGAGCCATGTTTATACTACCGCATTCTAGCCTGGGTGACAGAGTGAGACCCCGTCTCGAAAAAAAAAAAAAATATATATATATATATATAATATATATATTCATTTATCGATGAAGAGATATATATATGTTTACCTGTGTGCATGTTATCTTTATACTTTATGAATATGTATGTATAAACACCTTCATGTCTGGGTATGCCTGCAAATATTTCTGCAGGTGACTGCTTATAGGAATATGTGCATATACATGAAGGCATGTATGGATACAGACATGCAATTTGGAGTATACTCACTTGGGCTGTATGCATTCACATGCATATACATGTGTATATTTATACATGTGCATATGTGTGTGTGTGTGTGTGTGTGTGTGTGTGTGTGTGTGTGTGTGTGTGTATGTATTCTTCAGGCCCCTCAGTGACAGCTCTGATCTCCTGGAGGGAGCTGGGAGCAGGGCCCCAAGTCCTGTCTAAGATGACAGCTCAATAAGAATATAAGATCATTCAATGACATTCCAAATGTCAGCAAACACGGGCCTGCTCCACTCTGCTACAGGGGAAGTAGGTGGCAGCAGGAGATGTGGAAACTTGGCCATTGAAAAGTTCCTATTTCCTGATGCAACCCACACCATTTCTGGAGAAGTAAGGGCAGCTGAAAGACATTTTGCCTCTTCTCAGATTAGAGGTCTTAGGAAATAGGCATGGTGAATTCATGCCCAGTTGCTCACTCACTAGGCAAGTCTCAGGTGACCAAGCAGACCAGGACCTTTCCCACCTTTCTCAAGGAGTAATGCTCTGCTGGGGGAGCAGAGGAGGAAGAGAGAAGAAAGGGAAGGGGGAAACACAAAGTAAGATCAAGGACAGGAGAGGACCCTGTAGAGAACCAGAGCCTGGGTCACACAGGGGACACAAGGCATGGAGTAAGTCTTTTACATAATATTCCTGCAACCTTGGCAATGACCTCTCTGGCTTTGCTTTTATCATTACTCTTTTTAAGCAGGAATCTTAGTGCAGCCTGCACCAAGTCACACAGCATAAAGGTCAGAAAGAGTACCATGCCCCTGGGCCTCCAGACTCAGCAGCCTCTATGTCCTGAATGGCTGTTGGTAAGGACTGAGCTAAAGTCCAGAGTTAAGCCACCTCTCCTGTTGGGCCTTTAAGCACATTTGCAATACAAAGTGGCTGGAGTGCAGAGAGGAAGAGGTTAGACCCCTTATGTCTCCCAGACTTGCTCAGCTTACCTCACACGAGGAAATCACAAGGCCAACTAGCAACAGAGTCCTCAGTTTCGCCTTGTACCTACTATTCCCTTCCTCTTCAGGTCAGCACAGTCTGCAGGGGAACCAAACTGAACAGACTCTGGGCAGCCTGCCTTTACCCCCACCCTTTGGGCCAGCAGCACCAAGGTGGCCCTGAGTGACAACGTTACCACATGGGTCGGCTGCTTTCCTGCCTTTCTGCCAAGGAACCTGGAGGCAGGGAGCTATCCATACACCAAAAAGTCTAGTGAACTTCACAGGGTAATTGTTCATGGTCAGCGCCTGCCTCGCCTGGCCGGGCCTTCACATTGCATTTGCTGAGGCCAGCAAGCAGCCTCAGATGTGCTCTGACAGCTGGTATGCTATGTTCCAGGGGTCCATGCCTAGCCCCACCACATGCCTAGCTCTGCCTTGGGGGACCTCTATGGAACTAGTTCTCAAAGATGAATCCGTCAGCCAGCAATTACTCACTGAGCACATACTCTATACCCAGCCCTGGCCTAGCCACTGGAGACACAGAGAGGAACCAGACTTCATCTCTGTGATCCAGATGGCCATGTCTGGAAGGAAATACACATGGATTCAGTTTCAACTGAGATAAGTGATTTCCCAAGTGCCAAGGAACCTCAAGGCAAGAGACTGACTGCTGGGCTTCTCAGCAGAAGTGATACCTGAGGTGAATCTTCCAGGGCAGGGAATATGTCTGATGAAGATGACTGAGGGACATTTCAGACAGAAGGCAAGCCATAGAGCAAGGCCCAAAGCCAGGGGAGTGCGTAGCTTTTTCAGCACAAGAGGAGTAGTAAGCAGCAGCTGCCCAGTTTCATGGGAGATCAGCAGGAGAGGGGGTATGAGTCAAACTGCAAACAAACCAAGTGCAAAGCACCTGTCCACCAGTGGAAAGCAAACAACTTCACAAATGATGCCACAAAGCATGGAACTAAGTCCAAGGTCATTGTCAGTGTGGCACAAATACTTATAAAGCTTTCTCTTCCACTGCTCCTCCACATGTTTGCTTAGCTCCAGCCCCCACACACACCAAAAGCATGCTGCCCTCCCTGCTGAGAAAGCATTCTCTCCTCCTCCTATCCATATCCCACCTTCCTTGAATGCCCAGGTCAAGACTCAAATCCTCGCCATACCTAGCCTCACCCCCCTTGACCTCTCTCTTCTCTAAGCCCCCTGGGAGCCACTACCTTGACCCCCGGTGTGTTCTCCTTTCTCTGAGCTTCCTCTGACTGGTAGCATGAGGTTCCTGAGGCTGTTCCAGGACTGCTGCCCTTAGGTCAGAATGATTTATGGGGGTGAGTCTCCCTAGTGGACTGGGCCTCCTGGAGCAAGGATTCCTCTAGAGCAGGGATACTCTGCTAGGAAAGTACAGTTTTCTAAGTGATTCATTCTCTGCCAGGGCTCACTATCGTAGCCACACATGGTCCTTGCCGGTCCATAGCCTGAGCACCAACTCCCCAGGTGCTTGATTCTACATAAGTTCCAGTCTCTGCCCTCATGCCCAAAGGGAATTGGACTCTAGTTTCCATGGCTCTTCCTCACATGAGCCAGGCTCTCCTGGAGCAAGGCAGGAACAAAGCCAACTTAAGTGTACTCTGCCTCCCAACCAGAGTGATATATCAGGGCCAGTTAGGAGGGTCAGAGACCACATTGATGATGATAACAAAGGAGAATACTTTCCCAGAGGCTCAGCTAGTGCCATGTCTCTCCTAGAGACAAGCCAGCTCTGCCCACAGATTCAGCTCTGAGCAAGAGCCCCCCAAAATCTCCTTAACTGGGACTTCTCTGCCTGTCTGGGGGACACCAACTAGGGCAGTGTCATAATCTGCCCAGCAGCTGGATCCCCAAGCAGCTCTCCACAGTCAGAAATAACCACATTTCAGTGCATATTAGCTAAGGAAAAGGATGAAGTTAAGAAAAGAGAAGAACAAAAAGAAAAAGAGGGAGAACAGATATAAGAAAAGAAAGCAAAGGACGGGAGCTCTGAGGCACAAGAGCACCAGGGGAAGCACCCAGTTGGGGCTCAGACACAGTACCTTTTTCAGATTAATCCACTGCTTGAAGTAATCCGCCACTGGCAAGCCCAAGTACTGGCACTGGCCTGGGAGCCTACAAAAAAAAGGGAAGAGAGAACAAGTTGGGCGCATCCATGTCCCAGGTATGAAGTCTTAAGATGGGAAGTCCAACAGAGCATACAAGACAAACAGACCTCAAAAGGTCAACCCATTAGCCATGGGTCCCACCCCACCAAAGAAAGGGAACCCCACCTCCAGCACCATGGACACTGGGCTCCAGCTCTAGCCCTCAGATCCAAGTGTGAGAGCCCAAAAATTCTTTCCAAAATAATAGCAGCAGGCCACTATTTCCTAATGGCTTACAGTATGCCAAGTACCTTATATTTTCACATTTAATCTTCAAAGCAATGCTGAGACACAGGTACTGTTGTCTACATTTTACAGACGAGAAAATGAGATGTAGAGAGGTTACCCAAGGTCCCACAGCTAAAACATGATAGTGCCAAGAACTGAACCCAGTTCTGTCTGACTCCAAAGCGTATGTTCTTTCTATGCACTGGTTTGTTATTTTGTTACAGCAGAGAGGCAGACAGACAAGATAGGAGGAGAGAAAGGCAGAGTATATGACTTAGAGATAGATGAGCAGGGGTTTCAGCTCACATTTAAGCCTCTGGCTACAGGTTTGTTTCAGATAGAGAAGAGGCCAGGTAGAAGGATAAGAAGAGGTCAGAATTCAAATCAAGGGTCTGTTCTTGTTTTTTTTCTTTAAATTAGAATTTATCAACTATCTCCCCCTCTAGCTGGTGATGGTTTTACTCAGACAAATCCATTCAAACAAACATGCACTGATGCTTAACAAGGGTCAGGAACTTACGAGTCAAAAAGTAAGATGTAACTCTTGACCGTAAAGGGCTCAGTTTGTTCAGAGGTATGGGCAATGAAAGAAAGACAAAAAAAGCCTTAAGTTGGAGTATGGGGGCATATGCAAGGATGGAGGAAGACAATACTGGAAGTATCAGCCAGGAAAGATCACAGTCTTATTCCTAAGAGAAGAGCTTTGCTACAGGCAATGGAGAGCCTCTGATGAGTTGTGATTTACCAAGATTGTTCTGGATGCAGCAAAAATAATAGACTAAAAGAGCAGGGTAGAAGCCAGTAGAGAGAAACAGTAGTGGAAAAAATGGTGATCAAGGAACAAACATTAAGATGTAAAGGAGGCCCCAGTGACTAAATGAAATGTGGGACCCAGTGAGAAAGCAGTAGACCTCTGCTTGGCTAGCTTCATGCTACTCACTAAGATAGATCCAAAGAAGTAAGCAGTGGCATGGAGAGCCTATGTGACATCTGGAGCAGGCCAGCATTTGGTCAATTTTATTATTGTTTTAAAATGCTCTACCTGTAGCATACCCACTTTCTGCCCAAACTGTGGGAGAACTGCTCCCCTGCCCCATCTTTAGTACGCCACTAGAAGGAAGCATGAGTTTGGGAATGCAGTTTTAGACACATGCTTGATACGCAA
The DNA here is from genome assembly GCF_000001405.40 of Homo sapiens. Classification (NCBI taxonomy): domain Eukaryota; kingdom Metazoa; phylum Chordata; class Mammalia; order Primates; family Hominidae; genus Homo; species Homo sapiens. Next base: position 44,286,333 of record NC_000001.11, read on the forward strand.
TAAGCACTCGATGTCTGCTGAGTTTGAGGTGCCTAGTTTGAGGCACCTAGGAGATATCTGGCAGTGGAATGGTGTCTCAGAGGCAACTGGATATCTAGTTTTGAAGAGAGGTCTGGAATAAGACCATGGATTGCCAAATCATTAATATAATTATTAATGTAATCATTAACCTAAGTAAAATTAAAGCCAGGAGAGTAAATAAGATCACCCGGGGAACAGAATAGAGCGAGGTGAGCAGAGGGCCCAGGCTAATGCCTTGCAAGTTTTATTGAGCTAAAATGAAACCAGGTTACCCCCATCAGACCATCATCACACACAAGGACCTCACTTCATGAAGCGGCCAGATCTAATTTTGGACTCGATTCTTAGAACATCCTTCCTTAAACACTAGTCTGTCTCCCTGTAACTTCTACCCATGGGTCCAAAGTATGTCTTTAGAAAACACAGAGAACAATACTTCCATCTTTTCCTCACAGAACCCTTCCAAGATCTGAGAGTCCAGAAAGCTTCCATCAGAGTTCCCTTCTCCAAGCCACATATCCTTATCAACTTCAAGAGTTCCTAAGGAGACAATATGCCGTGAGTCAGGACTCACCCAACCTATCCCCATTCCCAAAGGGCAGGGCCCCAGACCTTTCTCAGGGTATTAGACACCTAAGATCAGACATGCTCTTTTGACCCCACTTCATATTACCTGTGGTCAACCTAAACTGTGATAAAAGCATGCTTCCCCTTTCTGCAATATATAGAAATGATTTTTGAGTTTGAAATGTAAATCATTAGTGTCAACTGCCATAGAGTGGTCAAGCAAGATGACAGCTGAGAAAAACCCAATGGATTTAGTAACGAGGAGGTCACAAGTAATCTTGGCGAAAGGGGCATCAGTGGACTGAGTGTGGGAGGCAGAAGGCAACCTGCAAAGTGTGGAAAGAGTGAGAGATAAGACAGCGGAGATTACAAGTGCAAAATCCTTTTCTAGAAAGTTTGGCTACAAGAATCCAGTTGAGATGACTGATTCCACTCCAGAAAGTTCAAGGCAGTCCGGCCTTCCCTCCATTACCCTTCAAATATTTGACAGATAGTAACAGAAAATTGATCCCTTTGTTTCAGGCAGTGTATAGTAAGGATTTACTTTTATAAGACCCAAGATATCTCACCTGAATAAGAGGCTACTCTCAAACATCCAAGTGGCACAGTGACATTAACTACAACTGGTCAGTTTCCTGGAAGGGAAATTCTGGCTGAGGCCAACATGATGAAGGGGTATCCAGATAGATGTGCCCATGTGGGATGAAGGACCAAGAACATGAGGAAATGAGGCAAGGTTTTTAAGGATGAAAGGTAGCCTTAGGAGCTAGAATGTGGTTGCCTAAGAAGCAGAGCTGTAATCTGACAATAATTCTATTTCCTTCAATCTTTCTTTCATGTTCCTTATCCTTCATATTTGTGGAAATGCTTGCTGAACTCAGCTATTTTAGAAAAATCACATTAAGGTCTATGAGTGAAGGGGGCCACCAGAAGCAGCAGAATCTACAAAGGAATAAGCCAGGGGGACTGGCCAGCAAAAGGCAGGGAGCCTCGATCTTATTCTCCCCTAGCCAACTGCAGTACTCTCTGATTCTTTTAGTTGACACAGGCCAGGAGTCCTTTTGGCTCTGGCTAGCCCTGGGAGAGGGATGGGCTCTCTCTTTAGCAGAATTTTAAGGGTAGACATAGCTGTAGGCATTTCCACTGCCTAGGAAGGGTCTAGGTCAGTAGGATGATGCCTATTCTTCTCAGAGGAAGACCTATCCCAGAGGGGCCACACTGAGGACAGACCAGACAGTCAGGTTGGATACTCAGCCTGAGATATGGCTCAGCAGCAGTCCTGAGTGCCATTCTGAATCCCATGTCTGACTGATGCACATGGGGGTTAGGCACTATAATTCTCACTCAGGGGCTCTAGTCACTTGCAGGTACACATGCAGTTTGTAGACTCACTCGCAGGAATTCAGGTTGCTGAGTAGTCCTCTGGGTCATCCTAGCCCTGTGACTCCAAGACACAAGCTGTACAAATGTAGCAGGGCCCAGCCCCATCTTCATGAGAGACATAGGGTCAAATGCCAGAACTTGAGCTTGCAAGTGCCTCATGGGAAGACAGTTACACATCTCTACCACACACCCTACCCCAGCTTAGAGAGGATCAAGACAGGAAATCTGTGAGGAAGGTGGGTTAGAGTGGTCATCATCCCTTACACAAAAGAGGAAACTGAGACTCAGAGAAGAAAAGGATTTGCTCAATCATACAACAAGGCAAGGGTAGTACCAGAAACAGAACCTAAAGCTTCTGACTGCACAGGCATAAGCTGTATAGATACACTCAGGGCTCTTTACAGTCCCTGGGAAGGCAAAGCCTGGGCCTTAGAGAAGCAAGTAGCATAGTGGTCACTGCTCAAGGTCACACCTGGGTTCAAGGTTCTTAGGAGCCTAAGGTCGGTGGGTATCAGTGGGTACATGGTTCCACCAATTTCTCAGAAAAAAAAAAAAAGTTCCCCAGGCACAAAGGGTCTGAATGCTGTACATTCCTACCAGATTGTGATTCCAAGAAAAGAGCCACTGGCAGTGGGCCCTGGACTAGCCTGCGGGCACAAACGTGCAGGCAGGTTTATGGTGCCCAGGTCTCCATGCAGCTGGATTCACTGGGCACAAAGCTCCCCAACTGCCCAAACATCATCTGGTCATGCTTATTATTGTTGCCCAATGAAATTTTATGCACCGAGTCCACAGGTGTGATTTCCCCTTCTTTATGAGGGCCGGAATGACATCACTGATGGCCAATAGAAAAGAGCCAATTATGTCCAGGCCATAAAAAGGAATGAGATTTTTTTCAACCAAATCAAAACTTCCTTCAGCTTCATGAATGCAAGAGGCCCCTTTAAGGAAGGGTCCCCCAGTCCTGCCTGTGGGCTCTAAACCAAGGGACATGATTGCTTTCCAAAGACTATGGGTCTAAGGCCAGAAAGGGGGTCCGCCCTTGGCATTTATCATATGATCCTGCTATTACCACACTGGCCCCTCAGGGTCACCTGAAAAGATTAACAAGCCCTACCCTCAGACCCTAACTAGCTCCTCTCTATTCCATCCAGGGAAAATGAGATGAGATACTCAAGTTCCTTTATTACTCCTTTTGAATAACAGAAAAGAAAGCAAAGAGCATTCCCCCTACTTAGAAAGAAGAGAACAATATAGAGGAAACAGGGGTGTAAGAAACTGCCCCTCACCCCTATAAGCACACAGGACAAAGCAAAAGGAGCCAGCCTTCCCCACCCCACTCCTCATTCAGCCCTACCACCTGCAACTGAGCCATACTGGCTGGGCCGAGACAGCCCTGATGGCAAACAGGTGTGGCTAGCCCGGCGCCAGCCAAGGCAGGGGATAGCTCATTAGGGGAACACCCCCCTCGCTAATGGGTATGGCCACGGTGAAGCCCTTGTGAGCGGGAGCTCAGCTTTGAAGATTAGGTGAGGCAGATGTGGGGGAGAGCTGCTAGGCTGAGGCAAGGAAAGCTGCACATCCATTGAGGTCTGCCGGACAGACTGGCAGACAGGCCAACAGCCAGGACCAGCAAAAGAGCAGGCACCATACTGGAAAAGGCGATGGACACTCTGGCTTTCATGCTTTCATCTCTTTAAGACTTAGGGGCAGACCCAACTCAGGGAGATGCATGTCATTCTCACTTTTAGCAGACTCAAACCTTTGAAGAGGAGGGAGACCAGCAGACTCTGGAGGCCTCCTTGGCTCCTTTCTCCCTCTCAAGAAAGGCTGTGGGACCTGGATCTTGGAGTGATGTGGGCTGGCAGTCCTGGTGCCCACCAGCTCCAGGACAGGCACATACTGTTCGCCTGCAGGAGCAAACTACTGTATTCCATGTGATATGCAGAAATGGGGGAGTATGGAGAGGCTCTGTCTTCTTCAAAGTCATCATGGGACCATGGAGGCACAGAAGGCCCAGGCTTGGAGAGAAGTGGGCCAGTAGAAGCCAACCAACCAGCCAGTTGGAAGATCCTGCCACAGGGACACCTGTGAGGGGTGGGTGGGCTTGCTTCCATGCAGAGTTGCCACACTTGCTCATTCCAATACACTCTCAAAGAATGCTGTCCCTAGCGGCCCTGCAGCTCATAACTGCCACGATTTCCTATGCTTCTCTCCAAGTCTTGAGCCTCAGGAAAGGGCCCATTCCCACTGGATCCCAGTCAGGGAGCCCTATCTAGTCAGAGCCTCCATGGGCAGCATGATTTGAGTCGGTATCCAGCACGTTCAGGCTACTCCAGCCGAGGCAGCACTTAGCTGGGGACACAGCTCTTTGTCTCTCCTGTTTCCATTCCCCCACCCAGAGGAGATAAACAGACCCTGGGTGATAAACAGCCCGCCTTTCATGATCACTTTTCCTCAAGTTGAGGAGAGTAGCTAGTGATGGATGGGCTGGAATTTGGTTATCAGGAAGGGCTGTCAGCCAGAGGTGCCTATCTCCTCCCCCACTACGCAGGGCATCATTACACTGTGGCATCGAGGTAAAATATGACCAAGGGGAGGGAAGGAAGAAAGAGGGGAAGGCTGAGCTTACACATGGAGCAAATTGAGCAACAATGAGAGCAGGCACGAGGCTGGGACGTTAGTTATCTGCCCGTGACACCTTTTATCTCTGCACAAATTGGTCCTTCCTCCCCCACTGCATCCTCTTATACAAACAGAGGCAGACACAATGTGTCACCACTGCAACAGCGTAGCAATTTAACCCGAATTAGTGAGGGGGTCAAGCTAGGAAATAGGGGTTTCTCATTTCAACAGGTTCCTTAGTCTCAGCTCTGAACTACCACATTGAGCGGAGGAGGGTAGAGAGAAGGCAGACTCATAATTGAATTCACTCTCTTGGCCGCTGCTGATGTATAAAAAATTAATGCATGAGCCTCCTACTTATCAAAGCTGGTTAGTATCTATCTCACCTGCAAGATCCACCATGTCAGAAGACACAGCATGGCAGGCCTAGCACTCAGTGCCTTTAGTCGGGATAGGAATCAGCAAAAACAGGAAGAGAAAAGCACTGCCCAGGTGGCCTGGAAGCATCCTCAAAGGCCATTGCAGGTTTGGTCTCAATCGATCTCCTTATAGCCAGAATCCCTTCTATGAGGCCTTATTTGTAAAGCATGTTACCCTTGGTTGGCCATAAACCCCTGCAGAAGCCTACAGGATAGAGTGCTGGCGAGGGCTGGGGATACTATAGGAGATCACATCAAAGCTGGTCCTTGACAGTTCAAGAATACACTTCAGCCTACACAGAAAAAAGGCTGGCTCCACCTCCAACAGAAGATGTCCAGGTTGTTTTATGAATAACCCCTCAGACAGAGAGTCCCACACTGCTGCGCCTGAAACTGAGGATGCCATTGGCAGCACTGATGGCACTGACAAGGCAAAACAGCAAGGAGGAGAGGAGCCTGGCCTTTTCCCCAGTGACCTCGCCTACTGCAGGACCTGGAGTTACAGATGGAGAAGGCACCTTGGGACTCATTCTCCCCATCAAAGTCCCCTGATGGTGGGGCATGCGGTTCAACCCCTGTCCAGTACCACAGCTCCACTACACTAAGATAACTTGGTCAAATGACCATGTGTCCTGGGGTAAGTGACTTCACCTCCATGCCCTGCTCTGTGAGGGTTAAAGGAGCCAACCAAGGGTAACATGCTTTACAAATAAGGCCTCATAGAAGGGATTCTGGCTATAAGGAGATCGATTGAGACCAAACCTGTAATGGCCTTTGGAGATGCTTCCAGGCCACCTGCATTGACAAGACAGTGCCTTGGTCAGGAAAAGGATACTGGAGAAGGCTTGCTGGGGGTGACAGGAAAAGGGAAAGTTCCAGAACCACTCCACAGCTGCAAAACAAATTCCAAGAAGCTTGGGCTGAGGGAAGGAGATATGAATAGAGGAAGCACCTTGGGACTCATTCTCCAAATCCAAAGAATCAGCACACAAATACCAAGGAACAAAAGCCAAGACCCCAGGCCAGACACAAAATGAGAGAGCTTTCTACCTCAACCGACCACTTTATATTCAGGAGTATCACTGAGACCCAGGACCCTCAGACAGAGGCTAGTGGAACCTGATTTCTCTCTTGAGAGAGCTTCCAGGCCCACTCAGAAGATAACCATAGCAGACACAGAATGGTCACTGCAGGAGTGACTACTGAGAAGTGGCCATCTCACTTCTGCTGGTGGGAGGGCAATGTCAAGGGCACTCAGAGACTCAGCTGCAATTCCCCAGGCTCAAGCAAGTGTGCGTGCATGCACACGTGCGGTCCCTCCATTCTCCTCTGCCTGCCCACAGCCCTGGGGGGAATGCACTGCTGACTTATCAGCCCACTTTGCCCCCACACTTGCCCCCTTCCTCTGGGACGGCTGCAGGTTACAATTCCAACCACAGGCTTCAGAAAGATGATACACTTGCTGGAGCCTGCAAAGGGTCAGGAGAGAGTACTGTTTGAAATACCAGCATGACAGCTGGCTCCTTGTCTGTCTCTTCCTCCCCAACCCCCTCCCCAAACTTGTCATGGTACAAGAAGTCTATAAGCAGCCCATCAGCTTTAAATATCAGTGTGCGTGAAGCAGGAGCACGAGAGCAAGGGAGCGGGAAGCCGACAGCGAGCGCCTCTGTCGCCACTGCCTGTCAGGGAACACTAATGAATTTCACCACCAACAGCCAGGCTTCAGATGGGGGTGAGCTGGGGGCTGGAGGGTTTTCTAGGGAGAACTCTGGCAGTATTAAAACATATTTTCCCAAAGCCCTGTTAATAAATGTCATGGCGGAGCTGAGAACTATGGCCTACCACCAGGACTTCAATGGCAGAAAGGGGTGGGGCAAGCCCCGCTGTCCTCTCAAACAGGGAGGAGAGTGCAAGCATGATGCTGGAGGGAGCTGGCTGAGCCCCAAGGTGAGGCCGGGTGACCTCGGCAAGCCTCTCACTTTGTCTTGCCACCATTACCCTTCCACATCTCATCAAGGTCTTGGGATGCCTTGTTGAGAGGACTAGGATAAGAAGGAAAGGCCTGAGGCAGGGAGAGATGACCAGCTGTGCCTTCCTGGCCAGACTTACCACCCACCCCACCTCAACCAACTTCAGCTCACTCACTTCACAGTGAGGCCCCACGGCAAGGGGTTACAGGTCATGCTTCCAGATCCAGGCGAGGTGGGGTAAGAAACTCTGGCACCAGTCCTAACAGGAAGCTACATTTCCCCCACAGATGTCAGGAGCCAGAGCTCCTTATTATTTTACAGATAAAGGAATGGAGGATGAGAGTGGGAATGTGACTTTCCCAAGACCCTACAACTAGAAAGCAGTAAAGCCAGGAATCGAAACTAGGTCTCTTCATTCTAAAAGCCCTGTTCTTTCCACAATGCCACACAGCTTCTTTGAGGAAGGGCTGATCACCTCACTGTCTCCTGTGTGTCCTCTACTCTCAGGCTCTGCCCTTCCCCTCCACTTCCCCCTACTGGTACACACGCACCTCTGGCCTGGCACGGGTCACGGCTGCCATGTAACACTGGGCTGGGCTCCAGGCCAGGGTGAACCCAGCCGGGCAGAGAAAGCCCTGGGAATGAGCCAGGCCATCACCTGGGAGTCTCCACAGCTCACAGGACATGGCTGCAGGCATAAGCCCTCCCACGGGTGCCCTCTGCACAGCTCTGAGCAGGAGTGTCTGATCTGGCAGCGACCTGCTGTGCAGGGGGCAAATGACATTTAATTTCCTCTTGGTTTCCCTATAGTACAGATGAAAGGCCGTCACCTGCGTCTGGGTCTGGCGGCACAGCTGGAAGTGTTCCCAGACATGCTACTCTGGAGAGTTCCCAACAGAAACCAGAACACAGGCAGTGCAGAGGGATGCTCCATGGTCCAGGCTGCTGGTGCCATGTTGCTCAAATCCCTAGTGCCAAAGTTGCTCAAAGTCTCCAAAAGACACTGTATATGCATATAGCGCCTCCCTGATCCATGGCTCTTTATCCTATCTGCCAACTGTCTCTCATTTCTTCCCTATGGAGACCATATGAAGCATACAAGTGCCACAAACACGCTGTGGAACCATATGACAAGCACCTCCCCAGTGCCACAAATAGTCCTTAAAATTCTGTAACTTGTATCTCCCCAGCCCCTCTCTAGGGAAATAATAAGACAAGTGCCTCTCCGGTGTCCTTTCCATGGCAACTCATCAGGGAAAGGCACAGTGCCCCATCTGTCATGACTGTAGAAGTGCTGGAGCTGCCACCAGGGCCTGGCCAGAGCTCTCTTTCCTAGATGGAATGGCAGAAGCCCCAGTAGGGAGTGGCTATGGAGAGGAGGCTGAGCAAGTGATGGGAGGTTTCCAAGACACTGTGGTCAGTGCCTCAGCTAATGAGCTATTCTCTTTTTGGCCAGGGAAACCAGGAGCTCCTTAGCAGATTGAGCTGTCTCCAAGATAACTCACTCATCCCACTACAGTCTTCCCCTGGCCTGTGGCCATCTTGACCCTATGCCTGAACTGCCGTTGTGTGGCCTATGATGCCCTCTGGAGGCTCCGCAGAGAGGCATCCTCCTAGCGTTCAGGATCTGGGTTGCAGTCTGACCTCCGCTCTCATATAGGTACTCAAGACACAGCTGTACCCTTAACCTTCTAGCTGGTCTCCTCTGCCCTGATTCCAGCTCCCCTGACACCTTCAAGAGGTATAAGCACTTGTCCTATACAGAGTAAGACTTCTGGGCGGGCATTAGAATAGGCTAGTGATTTTTAAAGTGTGCTCCATGGAGTTCTAGGGTTCTAAGGAGGAACATCAGGCTACTTCATGGACTGGGGGAAAAGGAGGAAGAATGGGAGAGGAAGAATGGGCAGGGCTTTTCCCCATCTTCAACCAGATTCACATTGGGCTTTAAAATTCTGTTCAAAAGAAAAAAAAGTTTAGTACTAAAAAAAATACTACCATTCCATCTCTCTACAGTGCTCCTCTGGATTCTCACAGCATTTGTGTTGTGCCTTCATTGTAGTGTTTTCATACTCTACCTTACTTACCCTATAGTTAGGTATATGTGTGCTGGTCTTTCTGTCCTGATCACTTGGCAGTCCCCATAGTCCCCAGCACAGTACTTACAGGGCCCAGAGCAGCTCTCAACAGGTGCTGACTTTAGGCTACTACCGGAATGCCAGCACTTCCGGGATATGCTGGGGTCAGCACCTTCAATGGCAATTTCCAACAGGATTCCTTGGGAGAGAAGAGCTGCAGTGGAGGGTAACTGATATTTACTGAAAGGTCCTCGTGAAGATGTATATATAGCACATGACACTCTTAAATCAATGAATGGGACACATCTGCTACCACGAGCAATCATCTAAATCAACTTTCAGGGGACCAAACAGACTTTTGCATTTGGCCAATCTTTGGGAAAAATGCAACAAATTTCAACAGGAAACATCACTCATTAGAAGCTTCCAAACCCTGTGTGTGGGACCATGGGAACATAGGATGATGTTCATCAGCTGAGCATTCAAGGGTCTGTCCCCTGGCTTCCTGTAGCCTGTAAAGGAATCACTAGTCCCATGATTCTGGCTATAGGACTGACAATGGGTAAAGCCCCTTGGCCCCATCAACCAAGCCTACTGCGTGGGCCTCCTTCTCCAGCTAGGTTTAGGGAGGGGGCCAGGAAGGCAAGGGACTGTGCTCGTCCTAGCTAAAGCCACTTGTTAATAGGCCCTAGATTCCTTTATCCCTGGGGAAAGGAAGGTAGCAATGAGCTCTCTTCTCCACCCCCCTCCACCGTGCCTCCCAGCAGTGCCAGGGAGGACAGCCATTAGTGTGTGCCTCAGCAGACAATGGGGAGGAGAAGTCTCCAGAGCAAAGGACAACTGCAGCAATTAGAATGCAGGGAGGTTCAGAAGCTATTTAACTGGGTGACCCCTGAGGTCGCTGCATCTGACTCCCATCCCTGGATAAATATTGTATGAGAGGGGAGGGGGCGAGCGAGGGAGCCAGAATGCTGCTCCTCCTTCCATTCCTTTCCCCACCCCACGCGCTGCCTCCAGCCACATACACCAGGAACATTATTTACAGTCCTGACAGTCAGAGCAATCACTCTGCTAACCAAGAGGGAATGGACAATGTCGACTTACCAAAAATTGACTATGGCAATTGAAGAAGAAACCAGAGCTGAGCCAACACAGATGCAAGGCTCCCTCCACAATCTGGGTCCAGTTGAAGCAAATGTTCTGTAACCCTAAAACCCAAAACTACTGGCAGGTGAAGCTGGTCTCAATGGCAGAGAGTAAATCAGAAAAATAGAGCATCCTTCCACCTTTTAGGGGCCCCATAATGGAAAACTCCTGGCTCTCATCACTACCTAGGTGCTCCTTGGCAAAGATGGGAGTCCTAGCTACCTGCCCAGAGGAAGCCAAACCAGCTACATGCCACTTGTCCAGCTTGCCCCTTAGCTGACCTAGTTGGGAAAGGCCAAGAGCAAGAAAGTCAGATATTGCAGAAAGGGGTCAGGGTGGTGGAAGAAGAGAGTGTTTGAGTGCAGGCTGTGCCTCAGCCCCCACATGCACCGCTCCTCCAGTCCTGCTCTAATGCACCCTGACATGCCTCTGAAGACAGAGAGCTGTTTGCAGTCAGCACCGTGATTTGTTAGTAATTATTTCCATGGTGTCACATTGCTGTCACTCTGTTAACAAAGAGACAGGCTGCCTCGGGCTGCCTGCGAGAAAGAAATCGCAGAGAAAAAGGCCTGTCAGGCTCCCGGGATTCTCTGGGCTGGCTGGCTTTCTTCCCCAAACCAACATCCTCGCAAGCTTTGGAAGAAACAGTTTTACAGAACTATCAAGTCTGAGTTGTGTCACCCTTTAGCCAGGGACACTGAGAATTTATCCCACCCACTCATAGTTGCCCTTCCCAAAGCCCTACAAAGCTAAGCCCCCAGAGTCCACAAATCATTCAGGCATGGGCCACTATGCCAGGTGAAGCCTTGAGTTCCCCAGCCTTCAACTCCTAAGACCTCTGCTCCCTGACTCATCATCTTCACTGGGGTGTTCACAGCCTCTCATGTGCTCTTAGGAACCCGACCAAAGAAACCTAATTCAGACCAAGCAGAAGCAGCCACCCTATTGGCATGGCTGGGGAATAAGAAGAATATGATGGCAGGGCATCTTTGCCTCTTGAATCTGCCAGCCCCAGTTCAGGAGCATAGTGGCTCAGGTGCCAACACCCCTGTAGCCTTCATGTGCCTCTGCATCTGTGAAGAGACACTTATGGAGCTGTCTCCGCATGTGACCTGTCTTTCCCAGTGCCTGGATCTGCATAGCATCTGCACTAGGAGAACTGGTGGTTTGCTTTAGCACAAAGTAATGTCTCCATTACCCTGGCTGGGAATTAGAGGACAGATTGGCAAGCGCTGACAAAACAGAGGTCACTCACCTTACAGGCATGGAAAGTTGGAGATTAATTCTCTCCTCTCACAGAGGGAATCAGACTCCAGGATAGTGGAAGGGAAGCACCAATATTGAGAAACCCTTTCACTGCCAAGCAGCAGCAACAGCAGCTAATGTCACCCGTACCAATATCAGCAGAAAAGGAAGATAAAAGGCCACAAGCCCTAGAGAAGTCCTGCCAAGGTGGCAAGGGCTTTGCCATCTAGCTCCTGCAGAATCCCAAAGGACAGAAGAGCCTGGACATGACTAGGATTCTTCAAGCATTAGGTCCAAAAGGCAGACAGCTGCAAGCACTGGAATGCAAACTCCATGAAGGCAGGATGTCTGGGAAGTTTTCTTTCTTTATTCACTGCTGTATCCTTAATACCTAGAGCAGTGCAGAGCACATAGCAGGTTGTCAACACATCTGCTGAAAGAATAAATAAATGAGTCAATACAGCTCAAAGGCCACTTCCACAGGGGCCAGTCTCTCCCTATCACAAGACCTCAGAGAAGAGGGAGGACAGTGTGGGTTCCAGAATAGACAGGGAAGACCACATGGCCAAAGGACTGGAATTAGATTTGAAAGGGTGAGGGGGATTGGGACAAGCTGATGGGCATAGGGAGATTCTCATATTAAATTGAAGATTCACATATTCATTCAGCAAACATATACTAAATAACTAAATACAGTATAATAGATGTTCCAACAAAAAAAGAATAAATAAAATGTAGTATAATACAATGGAATACTACACAGAAATATAATAAAAAGCCTAAATTCTTGATACATACAATGCACAGGAATCTCCTATACATTATGTTATGCAAAAGAAGTCAGACACAGGTCGGGTGCGGTGTCTCATGCCTGTAATCTCAGCACTTTGGGAGGCCAAGGCAGGCAGACTGCTTGAGCTCAGGAGTTCGAGACCAGCCTGGGCTACATGGCAAAACCCCGTCTCCACAAAAAAAAATACAAAAACTAGCTGGGCGCAGTGGCATGTACCTATAGTCCCAGCTACTCGGAAGGTTGGGGTGAGAGGATGACTTGAGCCCACGGAGGTAGAGGTTGCAGTGAGCCAAAATCATAGCACTGAACTCTAGCCTGGGTGAAAGAAGTCAGACACAAAAGAGTATGCCTTGCATGATTCCATTTATACGAAAGCCAACAATAGGTAAAAACTAACCAAAACTAACAGAAGTCAGAACGGTGGTTAGCTGGCAAGGGGAAGGCATCACTGACTGGGAAGAGGCACGAGGGAACTTTCTGGGATGATGAAAAAGGTTCTTGATCTTGACCTGGGTGGTAGTTACCCAGGTGTATACTTGTATAAAAATATATTGAGCTATATACACTTCACATTTGTGTATTTATGCATCTGTACCTATTTCATACCTCAATTTTTTTTTTTAAGAGACAGGATCTTACTCTGTTGTCCAGGCTGGAGTACAGTGGCACAATCATGGCTCATTGCAGCCTCAAACTCCTGGGATCAAGCAATCCTCCAGCCTCAGCCTCCTGAGTAGCTAGGATTATAGGCATGTGCCACCACACCAGGTTATTTTTTATTTTTATTTTTATTTTTAATAGAGACAGGGCCCTGCTACCTCAGGCTGGTCTCAAACTCCTGGCCTCAAACAATCCTGCTTCAGCCTCCCAAAGCACTGGGATTCCAGGTGTGGGCCACTATACCAGACCTCAATTTTTTTTAAAGACCCAAAAACTAGCTGATGTTCAAAAAGGGTTTTAAAAAAACACAGATCTAAGCAATATCTCATACAAAGGAAAATATTTTCCAGGAGCACCAGTGGTTCCTTCTTGGAGCTTGGGAAAAAAGGTCTTCCAGCCTTCACTCTCTATCTGACAGAAGTCAGAAAGGCCCAAGCAAATGGGCCTAGGAAGGTGAGAAATGTTCAAAATACAAAAGAGTAGAGCCCGGGTCCCCCACCTAGGAGGTTGTGGCCTGGTGGGAAGCTGCATGGAACCTCTATTCCATGCCAGGTGAGCTATAGGAAAGCAGAGATAGGTCATACAGTCCAGCCAGGTGCCCAGCTGGTTCTGAGGCCCTCTGAAGCAGCCTGTCTGTTGGATTCCGCCACAGAATACAGAACCAGACTTCCAAAGACTGCCCTGAAGAGCCACCAACATAGGATCCAATTTGTCTTCCTGACAAACCAGGCAGAGACCGGCTGAGTTAGCCCAACTCTGGGCTAAGGTGAAAGTCTCAGAACATACAGCCCCTCCAGCCAGCAAGGAGGAGGTGATAAGACTCTCATCCATGGTCAAGGGGAGAGCCTCATATCAAATCCAGGGCCAGAACCAAGGCAGCAACACTTGCTTCTGGACCAGTTAAGCAGTAAAGAACCACTCAGTTATCAACTCAGGCCAAAGCATGAGGCTCCTACTGCCTTGAACATCTTGAAGCCTGATCAGTCATTAAGCAAGTACCTTTACCTTTTATCAGGGTTTTCACTGAGCAGAATTTCCATTCCAGGGGTTCCTATAATCACTACAATGATTTAGACCCTCTGACACCTTCCTAGTGGGTGAAGAAATGAGGTTGCCACTGGGGTTCCACCCTACAGCCTAGAAGTGCCCAGAAAGTAAAATGCCAGAGGCCCTGTCTGCCACGGAGGGGTTGTGCTTGTTGATCAGACAGCAGAGCTTCTCTCCCAGTCCCCATTGAGGCACAAAGTCCTTCCAGAGCAGAGCAACTATCCCAAACTCAGGCTCTGAGGGAAGGACATGGGGTGAGACGCCTGTTGACTTGCAGCTCCAGGATCACATGGATAAGTGTGAAGGGAGCCAAGGTTGGGAACCAGAAGAGATGCTTTGGCTCCACAGAAACCTGCTCCTACCCTCAGGCCTGCATCTAGGAAATGGTTAATCCCCAGCCAAGCCCACCATCAGGAGCCCCTTTAGTGCCAGTTCTGGGCCCGGGGACATGTGCAGGAGGGGGCTTTCATGTTTGTGAGTAGGCTAGCCCCAGGGGCATCAGGCAGAGGCGGAGCACCCCTAGCTCCTCCAAGCCCAAGAACTCTCAGCCCAAGGAGCTGTCAGGCTAACGAGGCTACCCCACCACCACTCCATCTGAGCGTGGCAGGCTGCACTGCACGACTGGCTTCAGGTGGCTCTTCTTTAATTAATGGCATCCCGGGCTCTGCAGGGAGCTTCACCCCACAATGAATGGCCCTCTCTCATTAGAGGCAAGCCTGCCATGATGTATTCAGGGTGAGGGCCAGGATTCATTTCCCTGTCTGTGGGTTGGGGATGGGAGGGAGGGGAGGGGCAGCAGGGAGAGATTTATATCGAGTGACTTGGATTAGCTGCAGCTGAAACATGACCCCATCAACTCACGCTGCCTTCTTGGGGCTAACCCGGTGCACCTCTGCTGACAGAGGGCTCTAGGGAAACTGAAAGGAGGGCAGAAGGTCTGGTTCCCACTCTCTCTGAGCTCAGACTACAACTCTAAGGCCCAGAATTCCTATACAACCTTCAGAACCTCCTCCCCCTGCCCCCACTGTGCACTGGGAGCCTGGGCTGATTCTGAGCCAACCTTACCCATCAAGAGACTTTTTATGGCCAGGAAGCTGACCCACTGCCCTCATGTTCACAGGACTGAGGCCCTGACTACAGCCTCAGTTGGCTTTTCTGCTTTTGTGGTAAGCAATACCCTCATTCCTTACCTCAGAGAAGGAGGCCATGACATAATTTGCCCCTGTAACTGCCACCTGGATAGGACCCAAATATGTACTGCCACAGGGCATCTCAGACCTCAGGCCATCCCACACTAGGGAAAAGGCTCCAGGCATCCGTCTGACACAAAAACATGCAATCAGCCATTACCTCACTAGGACGATCCACTATGCTGAACCCCACCTCCAGGGTGGGGAGGTTCTGGGCACGCTATTCTACTTCCCTCCACTACCCTGACCCACCCACTCCAATGGCTGAGGAGGAATTGCGGTCTTCTAGGTAAAAAGAGAAATTGGGGCCTTTGGCTATCCAAGTTTCCGATGTACTTCTCACAGACTTGGAAAGGTCACCCTGCACTCTGCTAGCCACATAGGTGGTTGTAGGCCTAGGAGCTAGGTTGATTCAGACTGGTAGCAAACAGCACACAGCCCTACAAATTCCTCATGCAAATATCACTAAATATGACTTTCAACTTCGCTTGTGCTTGGGAGAAAAATACTTCAGAACCTGCCCTCTTTCCATTCTCAGCCCCCTTAGAATGCCCAATTCACTAAGAGAGCTGGAGGGTGGGCTTTCACCTGTCCCTGTCGGCCAATCAGAAGGCTGCCTGGCAGGCCTGCTGTGTCCCTAGGAAGGCCAGGCAATGCCTATCATCTGCACACGTTCACTCCATGTCATCCATGCTTCTTCCTGGCCGTTGTGGAGAAGCATTCATATCTCTTTCCTTCCCTACTCAGAAAGAGATGTAGCTCAGTTCTGCTTTGCTAAGCCCTATTTGGCAATATGTCTAAAAACATGCAAACTTAATTAGTTCAGGAGGGGAGCCCAAGCACTTGCAATGACAGATAAAAGTAATGGGAAATGAGACAAGTCAGGACTGGCAGGGAGTTCTTACTCAAGCCCCTTCCCCCAGCAGGCTGCTAATCAAAGGTGATGCAGCTCAGTGCTGGTACCAACTGGTACACCTGTGGGCAAGGGGCAACGGTGCGATGCCCCATGTGCTTCCAAACATAAATACAGAATAGAGGTGTCCAAAGTGAAGTTGGCTGAGGTTTCCTTAAAACAGACCTGAAGATTCATTAACTTGTAACCCTGGAAGGAGGCTCTCAGGCAGCCCCTAATCATCCCCACCACATCTCCTGGCCAACTGGGCTCCCATATCAAATGAACTTAACAGTCCACACCTCTACCGATATCAAATGAGGAACCAACAGCCCACGGTGTCAGAAAACATCCTGAGGCTCTGCCACTCAGTGCAAACAAAGGAGAGGAGAGGGGCATTCCCACCGTGTATCACCAAACCACAGCCCATGAAGGAGGACGGTCAGACAGGACTGTCGTTAAACACATGGTTCTAGAGTCAGAATGCTCAGGTTCAAATCCCTGCCCTGCCACAAACAGGTTATGTGCCCTTGACAAATTACTTACCTCTCTAGGCGTCAGTTTCCTCATTTGTTAAAAAAGGATTATAAAATGAACTTATTCCACAGAACTGTGGTAAGGACTAAATGACATCATATGTGTAAACAGCACAATAGGGCTCCTGGTAAGTAATAAGTGCTCAATAAACACTCTCTTTATTCTCTGATGTTCACTTTTCCAGGAGTCCCAACCCTCAGTTCTGGAGGCACAAATCTCTCAGAGAAAGCATTTCGCACTGCTCCTGGGACCAAGCTCCTCCTCCCTGGCCTAAGCCTGTGGGCTATCTCACCCAGTACTCACCATGGAGGGCCCAACACACAGTGGCAGTGAGAAAATCCAGGGCTTCCTGACATTAGCAGCATAGTTCTCTAACTCTTCACATTCAGGCTGGTGTAGCAAGGCCTGAGAATTCCTCCTCTAGTCTATTTGTCCTGTACACTGGCAATGAATGCTTCCTAAATCTACCTACTAACAGTCCTCTGTTGTTCTTCCTGAGCAGAGATTCCACAGGAACACTCCATTACTTAGTTGTCACTTATTCAACAGTTATTTATTGAACAACTACTATGTGTCAAGCCTTGTCCTTGTCCTAGGGTTACAACAGTGCTCACAATCTAGTGCGAGAGAAAGACAAGTAGAGGCAGTCACAGCACCATTTTATGTATTAATGTGTACATGTGCTCCAGGAAAACAAAGGAAGGCACCTAGAGAAAGAAGAGGGATCACTAGGAACTGGCCAGCTCATGCATGTGGCTGGTGGGGAGGGGTGTGGGGGTGCCACAGAGAGTAATGAGAAGTGAGGCTAAAGATGTAAGCAAGAACCTTGAAAGTCCCAATAAACAGTTTGGACTTTACCCTTGAGGGCAAGGGCAAACCTTGAAAGGTATTAAGCCGAGGGGTGACATAATCTGCTGCAATTAGGAGAATGGAATAGGAGCAGCAAAACTGGACTCAAAGAGACTAGTTAGAAGACTTTTGTAGCAATCCAAGAAGAATATGATCATCTTGACTAGGGCAGGGCAGTAGGGATGGGAAGAAAGGAATAAATCTGAGAAACCTCTGGGAGGCAGAAGCAACAGGATTTGGCAATTAATTGGTGTGGATAGAGAAGGGATAATTTTCAGATTTCCGACAGAACAACTCAGTAGGTGGTGCCAGTCATTATTTGAGGGAATGATGGAGGACAGGGTGTGAGGAGAAAGATAAACATCTGAGCTTGAAGGGGCCTATGGACGTCTAGGTGGAGATGTAGAGTAGGTAGCTGGATACGCAGGTGTGGCGTTTAGGTGGCAGATGAGCCCGATTTCTTTTCTCCAGTTGGAGAAAAAGATTAGAAGACATCAGCATACAGAGGATAGTTGAAGCTATGGCAAAGACGAGATCACTCTGGTAAGTGTGAATGTGTAGAATAAACAGAAAAGACAACCAGGATAGAGATCAAAGAAACACCACTATTTAAGAAACACCAACATGAAAACAAGGAAGGAAATAAGTATTAATATCTACCCAAGTGACTGAGGAGGAGAAGCCAGAGAAACAGAAAACATAACAAAAGTACAGATAAAGATGATTTCAAGAAGACTGAAGTAGTCAGCTGTTGAGCAATGCCAAGAGGACTCAGCCCGACCCGCAGCAAGCACGTCACTAGGCCACCCTTCCAGCCATCTTCCACATCCCCACAGGACGGTCACTACCCCACAGTGCTCGCCCAGGTGCGTGGTTCCATCGTGGCACCTTTCACTCCAGGTAGCAGCAGTCTCTTCAGTGGTCTTGACCGCTTGACAGCAGCCTCGAAGAAACCTCAGTAGCCCCTGCTGAGTGCATGCTCCCCATCTCCAACAGTGATAGTGTAATCTGGGCAAGTATCTTTCCATCTCCAGACCTCCTAAAACCTGAAGTGAACTTCAGGTCCACACCTGCAGAGCACAGCCAGAATGTAGTATGCACACCCCAGCAAGAAGGCAGGGGAAAAAAAGGAAGTCAAATGCCTGCATTTATGTGTTCAACCTCTCTCCTCCCTCAAGGGGGAGGAAAACTTCCTGCTCCAAAACTGAGGCTGAGCCTAAGTGAGGGTCCTCTCACCAGACTCTGAGCAGGCCCCTGGCCCCTATTCCACCAGAGAACAGCATCTGATTATCCTACCCTCTCCAAAGGGGCCTCTTCCCAGACTGCACTAAGGGCTAGGGCCTCCCTCAGGTCAGCTCTTTCCCTCCAGTCTTTCCCTCTTCTCAATCTTCCTTCTTCTCAGACTCACGGCCCACTGGGAAAGCCTCTAGTCTAGGTTCTCAGCCGTGCTGTGCTACATGGCTGGTGAACCTGGATCTTCAAGCTACAGGCTAAAATCTAAGTTCCTCAAGTGGGTGCCTGTGCAGGTGTCCCTTCTCAGTCTACACCAGCGCTAACCCCACCACCATACCAAAGATGGAGCCCTTTGAAAGTGGCACTTTCTACCTGGGTAAGCAGAGAAACAACACCAAACCCTATGGGAAGCTTCAAGAAACACCAAGCAAGGCGAAGAAAAAGTGGGTCAGGTAGGGAAGGCAAGCTGACCAAGAGCCAGACCCACAACAAGTGTTGTTTCTTGAAAAAATTGAGAGGGGAAATTAAATCCACATCACTAAATAAAAACTCGCCTTAGCAGGATCTGTGACTACACAACAAAGCCCACGTAAACTTGGAGAATCAACTCATCTGGCTTTGACAAAAGATGGACATAAAATGATTTGTCAGGATGGGAGCAGATTTCTTTTCTCCAGTGGGATTTATGCTGCCACTTCAGTTCCCATTTCTCAGTGCCCCACTTATCAGCCCCTTTCCAACAAAAGTGATGTGAAGCTGCTGAGGGGAGAAGGGGAGGAGGAGGTAAGGACAGCAATGAGAAGGAACCATGGCTTCCGGAAACTAGAGTGTGAAATGAAAATGTTTGCTGAATTCCTAAGACTTAGTTAAATCTGAAAATGGATGTCAAAATAAGAAGTAAGCCACAGACTAACAAGTTGTGAGTGTCAATTTAACACCACCCTTGTCAGGCTCATCTGCAGCCTTTACCGGGCGCATAAAAAGGTGATGGCTCTGACGAGAGCCATCTGACGAGCCTCTGCCGAGGTTCCAGGAACACCGATTAGCTGTGCGCTGTCACGCAGCACTACTTAGGTTTCCTCTCCGGCTGTTTTTATTTTGTTACACATTTAATTAAGAGCCTTCCCAGCAGTTATGCAGAGACCTGCTTATAAGAGGCAGCCACAGAGCTCCCTCCCCCAAGCCCTGCCACCTGCTTCCTTTCTGAAAACCCTTTTCTGAAGCTTCATCAGCCTTCCCAGTCCAAACCCAAACCAGCCCACAAAGTCTGCCCTACCCATCTCTTTTGGAAACTACACGGTCTTAGAATTCAATTCTGTCTAGCTACACGTCTTTAGCTCTCTGAGCCACAGGGGTTTTTGGTTTGTTTCATCTATAAAAGAAAGACAATACCACCACCCACCAGAGACGGCAGTCAGAAGGTGCGGATGCGGTAAGGTATGCGCTCATTAAGACTTGGCTTCCTTTCATATATGGTTGGGTTCCACAACTCAATCTCTTTTCTTGATGATATCATTTTTCAGGAAGAGGCAGGGCAATCTCCTGGGTCACCAACACCTGTCCAGGGCCCACTGTGCTACAGAACAGGTCAGACCAAAAGAAGACAGCACCCTCTGAAATTCCCTCTCCATCTCATGGGGAGACCAACTCCAAGCTTATAGTCTCCAACCTCATGCACGGGAAAGTTTTCATATACACATATATGTACGCATCGTGCACAGTTAAAGTAGAAGATTCTGAAATGTCTGTGTTTGGAAGGTGAAGACGCCAAAGAGAGAACAACACTGGATGAAGGGAGTCCTGGTGAGGCTACCTGGAGGAAGTGGACCTCTGGACTGGGCCAAAGGGCCTTCCTCCTGGGCCATATGAACCCCAGAATTCTGGGTATCAGCCTGAAACTGGCCCCACCTTGAGTAGCTTCTCTTGGGCTACAGAAATCCACATTAAGTCCCTTCCTCACTTTAAGGACTCAAAGCTGCCCAGGACGCTATTAACAAGAACAAGAGTCTTCTTCCTCTACTCCTTTTCCATGGACTCCTCCTCTGATTCATATCTGCTTCTAGTCCCAGCCTGTATAATTTCCCTGACAAAGAGATGTCATGTGGGAATATGGAGACCCTCTGGAGTAAACCAAGAGGGGTGCAGTCAGTTTGTGTACACACCTGATGGGTGTGGGAGATGAGGTCTCTGTGTGCTCATGTGATTTGGGGCCTTTTCTTCCTCCTGTCTCACCTAGAAAGTTGGGGTCCAATAGCAGGCTTGACACCCACCTGGGTACATAACTTCACCTCAATGCCCAGCATTCAAACGGCTTACAAAGGGCCTTGGTGAGGAGATGACACCTGATGTGGTAGAAAATGTTACTGCAGAGCTACTACACCACACCCCTCAGCAACATCCCACTTTATGCTCAAAAGTTCAAACACACACACACAAACACACACACACAGAGACACACACACGGAATACTTGCTGCTACCTTCAGTCACAATGAACACAGAGGTAATCGATTCTATGACTCCTCAGCAAACAGTGCCCCCACCACCTCCATCCCACTTCGGTTCCCTGGGGGCCATCTGAAGCCATGTATCCATGAGGGCAGACAAGATGCACAAGTGTCAACCCAGCAAAGGAACCGGTTCTGTCTTCCATAACCGGGACAGGATCAGGAGACAAAGGTAAAAAAGCAGTGGGGACAAAGGAGGAAAGAGGAGGCTGGTGACGTGGGCAGCTTCCCGGAGCAGCCCTCTCTCATCCCACCACTGGGCTCCCAGTTGGTTCACCAGGGTCTTGCAGGCCAGATAAAGGGGCAGCATAGTATAATAGTTAAGAGCAAGGACCTGAGTTTGAATCCTGGCTGTGTGTCCTCTGGTAAATTACTTAACCTTTCTGTACCTTTACTCCCTCAGCTATAAAATAGGAAGAATAATAATGCCTACTTTATATGGTTGACAAATAAGTTACTATATTTAATTACATAGTAAACATGGTATTTGGCTTAAAATTTTTTTTTCCAAGACACTCTTTTAACTCCTCCCTTCCAGGGCAATAACACACAGCCCCAGCAATCGGAAGGGCTGTCATGAGCAGTGAGACCTGGCAAAGGCAGGAAGGCCCCAACCATCCAGGCAGGCCCTTGACTTGCCCACACCCTGCTCCAGAGAGGCAGAAGGCAGGGCTCCCAACCGTCTTCTATCCCTGATAGCCTCAAAGACCTGAAGAATCCCTGATCCAGCTGCCTTGTAGACATTTAAGCCTCCAAAAGGCCAGACCTGGTCCCACAGATTCCAAGCCCTGCCAGCAAAGCAGCCCTTCTCATACTCACATGACTTTTAAGTCCCAGTCTCCACAGGTGACAAAAATTGACTTGACGTTTGGATCTAAGAGGCCTTCCTTCGCCATCCATTCATCGACCCTCTGAAAAGTACACAAGAACAAATGAGATTTTCCTTTTTTTTCCCTGAGCCTGTGAAGAGCCACAACAGCAAAACACAGATAAGCTGCTTGTAATCAGAACAGGAGAAAATTGTAATCTTATCCAGCCATGGCTCCACTGTGGGCTCTCAGGCTTGGCTCAGAACCACGGAGGCATTTGGAAGACAAACCCTTAGGAAGATCCTGCAGCCCGAATGTGTAGCCGGAGGGAGCCCCTACACTCGCCTATTGCCTGGCAGCCTGCTCCAGATCCCAGCAAATCAGTTCAAATACCTTGCTCTGACTTGGCTGTTCCTCTCATTGGTCCCCTGGCCCAGCAGACAGGCTGTTGTCCTGGGGCATCAGAACAGGGTAGTAGGAGGCCCCAAACAGGAGCTCCAACCCACAGCTTCACTCATTCATTTATTTGTTTTACTCTTCTACCAAATGTTTATTAACCAAACTTACAAATTTGGTTATTCACCAAATGAAGGTGACAAACATTTTCACCTTAAGAGGCCCCTTTACTGGACTGGAGCCCCATCCTGACACCTGGGACAGTGCTGCCTGCTCCAGTTGCTAAAAGTTCAAAACTGGCCCCCAATTTCGTATTTCTCCTGTTCATGGTTGAGGATTCAAATTCAGCAGAATATTTTGAAGGCTGAGCTCAATTGCTACAAAGGGAGAAAAACTGCTCCTAAACACTCTAAATCTTTCTTTCCCTTCATCCCTTTGATCAGTTTATTTGTGTTCACACTGGAAATTCAAATACTAAAATCAGTATACAACAAGAGAAATATCATAAACAATTCAAGACTGGGTGTGGTGGCTCAGGCCTGTAATCCCAGCACTTTGGGAGGCAGATGCAGGTGGATCACTTGAGGCCAGGAATTTGAGACCAGCCTGGTTAACATGGAAAAACCCTATCCATACTAAAAATACAAAAATTAGCTGGGTGTGGTGGTGCACGCCTGTAATCCCAGCTACTTGGGAGGCTGAGGCAGAAGAATTGCTTGGGCCTGGGAGGTGGAGGTTGCAGTGAGCTGAGATCACACCACTGCACTCCAGCCTGGGTGACAGAGCGAGACTCTGTAAAAAATAAATAAATAATAAATAAAAAGAATTCATGAAGCATTGCCTTTTACAGAAGACCCCAGGCATGGAGAGGGAGTCACACCACTGCTTCTACCCATGCAAGAGATGTCACCCAGGCTGGAGTGCAGTGGCACGATCTTGGCTCACTGCAAGCTCCGCCTCCCGGGTTCACGCCATTCTCCTGCCTCAGCCTCCAGAGTAGCTGGGACTACAGGCGCCTGCCACCATGCCTGGCTAATTTTTGTATTTTTAGTAGAGACGGGGTTTCACCGTGTTAGCCAGGATAGTCTCGATCTCCTGACCTCATGATCTGCCCGCCTCGGCCTCCCAAAGTGCTGGGATTACAGGGGTAAGCCACCACACCCGGCCACGAGATTATTTTTTAAGGCTATCTCACATAGTCATTAAAAATGCAGGATTGGAAGTCAGACACATCTGGATTCCAACCCTCCAACCCTTGGCTATTCCATATCCTGGCTGTGTCACTGATGGGGAGTCATTTAAAAGTCATGTAACCTCTCTGAACCTCAGTTTCCTTCATCTATAAAATCTTACACAGAGTTGTTCTGAGAATTAAATGTGATAATGTTTTAAGTACCTACCACAAAACAGGTAATAGGCTGAGAAGGGGAGAAAGGCAGATCATCATAATACAATAGATCCAGCACTGGAGACGTGACCACAGTGCTACAGGACCAAGAAGAGGAAGTGGCTAGCCCTACCTTTCACAGGGAAAGGAGTCAGAAAAGGCTTCACAAAGAAGATAATTGAACTAGGAGCCTGACATGGTGGAACATAGTAGAGGATACTACAGGTAGAGGCAAAGGTACATGTGCAATAATTTTGTATTTGAAGCAATTATCTGTTTAATGTCTGCCTTCCCTGCGAATATAAGCACCACGAAGGCAGGAACTCTGTCTTACTCACTGCCTTAATCTCTCATTCAGCATAGGATCTACTCAAGAGATATTTGCTGACTGACTGAAAACATGAGTAGGTAAAAGTTTAGGATGACTTAAGTCCACAGTATATAGAAAGAAAGGACAAAGGCTGGAGGACTAGGTTAGGCCAGACCGTGAACGGCCTCGTGTGCTCAGCAGGAAAGAGACAGCCCATGGATATCTTTAAGTATCTTAAGTAAGATTACTTCTAGCAGGTATAGGCTGGCTCCCTGGATACCTCTGAGATGCTAGAGGCCTGGCCCATGCTAAAGTCATCCTTGACTAAGGCCAAGGATCCTACCTAGTTCCGTGGCTATAGCAGCTCTACCAACCAGAATATCAGAGCTGCTCCCCGGTGCCAGACTATGCAGACCATGTGGTCTCTAAACCCTCTTTACAGTCTGTACACCAGAAAATCCTCCTCAGCCAAAGAATCTTCCCAAAAGATAAATTCTGGATCTTCCACTGCTAAATGGTCTCTCTCCTCTGACCCAACTCCTTGCATGTATGTGCACATCGCGCGCGCGCGCACACACACACACACACACACACACACACACACACACACACACACACACACACGTGCAGGAATCCATGAATCCTTTCCCCAGGGTCACCTAAGAAAAGAGGTAAGGTGAAACTAGGGCTCCCTAAATCAGCATAACCTCCCCCAAGCTCACTGTTTTATATCCCCAAGTTAAGTGCCCCACATACTAGAGGGGCTCCCCAGTGCCCCAACTCCTGCACAGTGAAAGAGAGAGCAAGACACAACAGGAGGCCACACTCAGCAAAACTGGGCCCTTATCACAGGAAGCACTCAACACTCAGTGGGGTCCCTGGAATCTTAGGACCCCGGCCATTCGCTTGCACAGCAGCTATTCAGTGAGCACCTTTTACCATGAGTCAGGTAAACATCTAGCTGGCTGCCTGCTAAGGGCCTTGGTTCGGACAAGAAATGAGCTCTTTATCTCCATAACCAACTCAGGACTAATGAGATGAAGCAGAGCCCGGTCCGGTCTCCTACCTGCCAGAAACTCTCTATTCAGGCTGATACCAGGAATTTTCCCTCCTTACCCACAAAGTATACAGAAGTAGCAGAAAGTAGCTTCTTGGGTGAGACCCAGAATTCTTTAAGCACCCTGCTCCAGGGCTGGCCTAGGGTTAACAGGGGGTTGCCTCCTCAAGACCACATCTCCTCCTCGACTGGGGCCACTGAGAAAAAAAACCCATAACCTCAAGAGTCCTGGTTTGCTGCTGGCCCAGAGCAAGTATCTTCCTCCAGGATCCCAGCTACAGATGTTCCAGGAAAAAGGTGCCTGTCTTCTGGCATCCCTCAGGAGCCAGGTCCTGGCTGGGGATGGTGGCTGGGACAGAGGAAAGAATGAGTTCCCTCTGTCTCCTTGAGTCTGGTTTAACAGGGAGCAGTCCATGCTAAGGAGCTCCCTTGGTCATAGGAATGAATCTCTTCAAAAAAAAAAGATGGTCAATATGGCTGGGAAGCATCTCAGAGCTCATCTTATCTTCTCCCAATCTACCGCAGGTGCCCAAACTCTGACTCCCAACCAGACTGGTCACAGCCTAGGTTCCCACACTCCCAGGGACAGGAAATACACTCTGCCACTGAGGTGAGCCTAAACTTGCCTCTCTGACCCTGGCTCCATCCTTGGGGGCCCCACGAAATTCAATCTGCATCTCTCTCCTCCATGGGACAGGATCTCTCGGCTAAAAAAAAGGTATCTTGCCCTGCTCCCTGCCACTACGCTACTTCCTCTAGGCTGCACACCTCCAGTGCAGATGTGCCCTGCTATTCCTGCAGATACTCTGCTTTCTCCTATGCTTGATAAGGTCTGAGCTTTGGCTTTATTGGTCTTAAAAAATAAATAAAGCACCTAATGAGATCCACGGGCTTTTTCTCTTCTCCCCTCCCCCTATAGAGAAAGACATGGGAGGGGGACCTTCTCCCCCTGTGAAAACCTCCAGGCCAGAGGAGGGTGGGAGACAAGCTAAGACCAAGCACTGCCCTTCCTTATTCCCTCGGGCTACAGCGCAAGAAACAGCATCTTAACCTTTTCTAGCTCCCCGAGGAGAACATCCTAGAAGTGTGGTCTCTGCCAAGGGTTTTCAAGTCTTTAATTTGATTTCCCTCACATAGGCAATTGTTGTAATTATTCTGATTAGGAATCATTACCCAGTGCAGCCTCTGCACCCGACAGGCACAATGCATCCAGCGGCAAGCTGCAGTGGGGCAGGCGGGCCCAGCCACAGCTCCTGGAGGAGCTCTCAGCAAACAAAAGCCATCGATGCGGAGTTCTGGGTGAGTTAATGAAGTGCTCACATGCCACAAGAAGCCAACACTAAAGCTAAACAAAAACACCTCCAGTCCCTGGGGCTAGTCCCACAGTACCAAGCTCAGCTCCCCTACTCCCCAGCCCACCCAGCATAGGCTACCCCAGAGTCAGCCAGCATAGGGCCATAGGCCAGGAAGGGGTGGGGGCCCCTCTGCCTGACTCCTGGCAGCACTGGGACATCTTGTCAGAAACCCTGACGGGAACAGCTGGAGATGACAGATCAATGGTTCAATACTCTCAACAGCATGTCACTGATGTGACAGCAAATGTTATTCTAATCAAGCCATAATCATAGTCAAATTACACGGCTACATTCTCAGGAGGGGAGGGAGAGAAAGGCAGCAGGAAGGGGTCAGAGGTCAGGAATTAAAGGTCACTCAACCTACCTCCAGCACTTGCTGCAGGCTTGGCTGACCATCCACCATGGCTTGAATAATCCCGGTGAGCTGAAAGGAAAGAGAAATAGCCGATGGGTAGAAAACCAGGGTGAAGGGACTCAAGGCTGAACAGGACCCCTTCCTTTCTGTTTTTCTCCTTCTGTTGTAAAGGGCTCTGATCTGGCACTGCTTTAGGTTCAGAGCCCACCTAGAAGACTTGGGAATAAAGTCCCAGGACCCAGGACACAATGTGTGCTTCTCCCATAATATCCTGCCCTGAGATGGGTGTACACATACACATGCTGACCACAAGGCGTGTTCTCACACCTGTTTCCACAAGGCATGTTCTCACACCTGTTTCAGCTTTCAGTTTGCAAACAAATTGATGTTACATGTCTTTTGTATTCAATAGGCTCAATAACTTCCCACAATTACAGTCTCAAGTAAATTCAGCTCCTAGCTTCACAGAAGTTCCCGTAAAACTTGGGGAGTGCTCATACAGGAGAGGCACACTTGGTTTCAAGTCCACCCCTTCTCTGAGCCTTGATATCCAGCACTGCCCCCTCCCACACTCTCCCTAACACCTTCCCTAACATCCATGAAGTCCCACAGGCTCCTATCCTTCACCCTGCATACGTGGGCCATCAATATGAACTAGCCAAGCAAGAGACAGAGTCATCTTTAACCAATGGGGAAACTAAGACAAAAAGGCCTAATGTTCAGACTATGACCTAGAGAATTTCTGACTCAGGCCTATGCTCCACCTAGGTCAGGCCTGGGTTCAAACAAGCTTGTTGTTTTGCTTTGTTTTGGTTTGGTTTAAAGTAAAAAAAAAAAAAGACTGGGGATAGATTGCCTACAAGGATCTGAGGGCATGAGGCCCCCATGTCCTGGACACCAACTGGAAATCACCACCCCCAGCATGTCCCTGGCTACTTCCAGAAAGAGCAGTATCTCAGACTTGCTTGGAAACTTCTTTTTTTTAAAGTGTGTTGGGGGGGGGGAGATTAAACTCCAATTAAACTATAATTACACTTAATGAATACCAAATACCCAACTCACAGAAATTGCTGGCTCTAAAAGGGAAGGTTATTTTCTCATGGTGACTTACATGGAATGGTAATATACACCTTTTAGGGAGAAATTTTCATTTTAAAAACGCTGAGCTCCTCTAGGTGGGTTTCTGTAGTTCATCAAGTCATTATTAGGTGGTATTTTAAGGAAGTGTAAGGACACAGCCACTCTATTTTATATTCCAGAAACTGTTTTTATATTAATCTGTATTTTAATTGGGTAACAGCTGCTGCCTACAGACTTCCCATGGTCTAAAAGGAAAATAAATTAGAAAGATTAACTACACTGTTGTTTTGCAAAGCTTTAACCCACAGCATGCCCACCCGGCTGGCACCTCCACACCCTTTCCTTGCCTGGAAGACCAAAGAACTGCCCAGTAGAGGGAGGGCCTGAGTCAAAGAGAAGAAAAGATGGTCCGCTAAGGGCTGGGGGGCTGGGAGTGGGGAAGTGCCCTCAGTCAGCAGCTTCAATAATCTTGGAGTACAAAGGACTCCTCCTTTTATTTAGTCAACAACTATTCATAGAAAGCCTACTACGGGCTGGGCCGCATTACAGGAACTAGAGATCCGGCAGTGAAGAAAAATGTAAAAACTCTGCCCTCATGGAATACATGTTCTCAGCAGCCCCCTCCTACACCCAGCCCCAACTAGTACCGAGAGCCTCTACATCTTCCAGAGCCGCAAACCGAGCAGGCAGTTGCCCTGTTTTGCCTCAGGCATGAAGGGGCCAAAGAGAGTCAGGAGGAGGCTTATTACCAACCCCAGATTAGTGACAGACACCCACAGGCCCACCGCTGCCCATTCTGGTCCAGCTTCTCTCCTGTTAAGCCTAGGGCTTAGACACATCTTCAGGCCTGGAGCTGAGGCTCAACATCAGGACCATCCTGGAAAAGGCGGACCACAGCCACTCTCACTTCTTAGGAAGCTCCAGGGTCCAAATGTTAGTCTTGTGTCTGGTCTGAGTTTCAGGCGGCAAGGTTAGGTCCACTCCTTCTCTTGGCTCCCACCAAGGGTCTCTCAAATGAGCTGAATGCCAAGGGCTTAAAGAAAGTCTCACTCACACAGGAAAGCAATGCACCCTTGCCAAGAGCCCTCCCTCCCTGGAGATAAGGCTTAGGTCAGCACCTGTGTGTACCCCATAAGCCCCTGCCCTGGGCCCCAGGAAAATCACTGATGTGGGGCAAGAAAATCACTACACCAAAATGGAAAACCAGGGTGCTGCTCTGGTGTTCTGCTGCAGGATGCCTCACTGCAGACTAAACCCAACTCTCCCACCTGGAGCTGGGGAAATGGAGCTCCAGCATCCTGGGGCTTTCACAAACTCCACTCCAGTGCTCAGTGATCCTAGAATCATCAGCCTGGGAGGAGCCTAGTGAGGTCAGCTCCTTCTCTCACCATGCTTCCCAGACAACAGCCATTTTCATTTGTGGCTCAGTAAAGCATGGCTCACAGCTGAGCTCCTCAAGGATTTGCATTTAGCCCCCAGAGACACAGGGGCTTGAGCAGTTGGCTCAGCTAGACAAAGCCTTCTCAGGGAAGGCCTCAGGCTCCTGTATTAATCCCTCCAAGGATGGACCACCCCTTTTCAGCTCTGCCAAGGCACTGGACAAAGAAGGGATGAAATTAAAGTTAGTTCTGGGCTGGGCATGGTGGCTCAGCCTGCAATCCCAGCCCTTTGGGAGGCTAAGGCAGGAGGACTGCTTGAGCCCAAGAATTTGAGACCAGCTTATGCAACATAGAGAGACCCCATCTTTTTTTTTTTTTTTTAAGTAAAAATTAGTTCCTCTACCTGATACTAATGACCTATAAGACACGTGTAAGGTTTATACAGGATGCTATGAGGGAACGAGACAATTTTATCAAATTAATACTGGGAAGTTCTATCTTAGGCCTAACTTAAATCCTTCATGTTACAGTTTAAGCCCAGTCCCACTTGGGTTAATACATGTTTGTAAAAAGCTTTCACTCCTTACAATGAAAGGTACTAGAGCAAAGCCAAGTATTACTAAGCTGAGAACCAGGGCTCACAGGCTAAACAGAGCTCAGAGACCTTAGCCACTTAAAGCAGGAGAGGTGAGAGGAAGAATTAATGTGTGCTCTGTGGCTCCTTTCAATGAGGGATTACAGATTAACTCCCACTTCTCCAGACTCAGAAACCACAAGGCAAGGGGCTTTTGACCCTGACTGATAACATGGCTGGTTACTGAGATCCCCTACCCTCACAAGGGCTTTGTCCAGGAATGAGCTGGCTTCATCAAGAACACTAGCAACTACAGGAAGCAGCCCAGGAAACTCAGTGCCAATAGCATGTCAGCATCCAG
Source organism: Homo sapiens (assembly GCF_000001405.40). NCBI lineage: Eukaryota > Metazoa > Chordata > Mammalia > Primates > Hominidae > Homo > Homo sapiens. The sequence continues at coordinate 44,316,554 of NC_000001.11, forward strand.
TGCTTTCTCCTTTCACAGTTTATCTCCAACACAATCGTATTCTGACACCAAGACAGTTTGTTGATTACATAAGCACTTGTCTCTGGTGTGCAATCTGATAATCAGACCCACTCTTTCTCTTCAGACAAAGAGACCAATAAATCTCACCCTTTATAAGTACAGGTGCAAGACAAAGCCCTTTACTGGCACTTAGCAAAATGAGTATTTCTCTAGTTTTTTTTTCATGATAACAACAACAAAAAGAAGACATGGTTAGGGACTGTGCAGCAGCCCAGCTGCTAGAGATAGAGACTTGATGAACTGGAGCAGATTCTAGAGGTCAAAGGGAAAGGGCTCGGGAAGGAATGAAACACATCCCATCCTATCTCTGTCAGAACCACGTCTCCAGGCCGACTCTCAACTGAAACTAAGAAGGGACCTCAAGAAGGGTACTAACACATTCCTAATATGAAGCAGTAAAAGTAGGAGTCTCTCTGTGTGTGCTAGAGACTTGTTCAAACTGGAATCCTTCTTCCTACTGTCCAGCACTGAGCCTGCTTCTCTCCCCAAGCATGTGCCCATGTGTGTGCACATGTCATACGCATGTGCGTGCACACACACACACACACACACACTGGGGTTAAGAACTTCTTGTGCACAAGAGAGAAAATCCTGCCAGAGGAACTACTTAAGTATAATCTGGAGGTTTGGGACTGTTCCTCACACTTACTAATGAGAGATTTTCTCTGGTTGGAATGACCTCCATCCCCACCCGCAAAAGGCACCAACTGCCAGGTTGGATGAGGTTTCAGAATGACAGCCCCCATCCTGTGTCTATGCCTCTCGGAGATACAATTCCATCTGGTATGGAGACAGGGCAAAATATATATGATCTGAGGTTTTCCAAACAAGACTTTACTTACTTACTCAAAATAACAAGTCAGCAGTACAGTTGTTTTTGGGAGAGACAGAAAATAACTCCTTGACAATATTCATTCATTTAAGGGACACGTATCAAGTGTTTACTTGGTAGCAGACCCTAATGATGGGATGGAGATGGATCAGGTCTAGTTTCTTCCCTCAAAGAACTTATAGTCTAGTGAAAAGACAGATAAATAATTATAGTATAAAGTATCTGATCAGTTCTATGTTGGAATAAGCACAACTCAATCTGGGGATCAGGGAAAGTGACCCTAAGCAGAGTCCTGGAGGTCAAGCAGGAGTTGGCGGGGAGAGTGGGAACTCTGTGCAGGCAGGAGGACCATCATGTGAAAAGACAGACTGTAAGAGGGCAACCTCTGGGTGAGGGGAGCTAGGTGGGAGATGAAGCAGAGAGATATGAGGCTGGCCAAAAAAGGATGGACAAGATCATGGCGAGTTTTGAGCTCTGGAAACCTGAGACAAAATGGCAGACCCGGTGCCTACAGAACAACCACATTTTCACTTTTAGAACAGCCTTCATAATAAAGATCCCAACTACCACTCCTACTCCCCTCCAAATTATGTATGTGCATCCTTGGGTGAAGCTTTCTAGAGAGAAGAAACTGTTCATCATAGTCTCACAATCCCTCCTCCCATTCCCACAAAAAGTAGCAGCAGCAGCCTTACTCTAAAAGAAGTCCCTCTTCTTCCGATACTCTCAAGCATCCACTCCTGCCCAGGGTCCAGCTCCAGCAGAATACTGTTACATTCCTAAACAGGTAGCAAACTTACTAAAATTTGGGCCTGCCTGTCTACGTAAGGACAAGAGGACATTAGCCTTTCAAGGCCAGTGGAGGGCTCAGGTAACTGGCTGGCTTAAAGAAAGTCTTTCCTTCCCTTCGCATAAGCAAGGGAATTTTCATCATCATTAAAATGGTGATTTTTCAAAAAGGGCAGAAAAGTCAGATTAGCGCCCCCTGGTGGTATAGGTAAATCCCAGGGGAAAGGGGAAACCCCGGCAGAGGAAGGCGAAAACCAGAACCCAACATCATTAGTTGGAATAACAAAAGGCTTAAGAGGCTAGGCGCCTTGGCAGATGGATGCCTGCAACAAAAGCCCCACCTGGGTCAGCTGGCAAACACTGGCATCGAATTCAGGAGCAACCTCGAGACCTCCTGTCTGGGCTAAGTCAGCCTCAGGGCCCACCAGGGTCAAACAGGCTCATCCCCAGCCTTCTTACCAAGGAGACTGTTTGGGATAACTCAAGAACCCTTTTTCACCTATTTCATTCACATGTAGAAGATAGGTCTCTAAATGAAGGCACAAAGTCTCTAATGTACCTCAGCCCCAGACTCTTAAAAGATTCTCATCACCCCTGCTACCACACATTCTTAACCCCTGATTGCACCACAGCCTGTTGGCCACCACTGAGTGCATTACATGACATGTCACAGGGAAAAGTAGCCACAGAAGACTTCACACAGTTCTGGGAGTTAGAACTTGCAGGGGCTCCTCCCCTCTGCCAATGGCTCTTTTGAGCCTCCAGCAATCATTAAAATCTCAGTTAGGCCCAGTTTCACAATCTGTAAAATGCAACCAATACTAACCTGCTGACAAGGAGGCCAAGTACAGTACCCACCTAGGATAAGCAGATTTCAGCCTTGGCCAGCCAGGTCTCATGCTTCACTGAGACCACTCTTCTCTTCCCTCGGTGACAGAATGTACCTTCGACAAACTCAACCTACGCTTCACACAGGACCACTTTACAGGAGGACAGAGTAACAATGCCAGAAAGCTAAGAAGGCCTGAACATAACCCTGCCTTCCAAGTGGCTGAAATCTTTACCTCTTGCCAAGGGGCCCTAAGGAAAACTGAACTGGAAAGAACTTGAACCCCAGAAATGCCATTCTGCTCCTGGTCTCCAAGTGCCGGTCACCAGGAAGGGATGCTGGGGAAGCAGGGGTAGACTAAGCCACTGCTCTCCCTGGGTCCCCAGTAACAACAGTGACCTGAGTGGAGTGGCAGACTTCATAAAACCTAACTGCTAGGTCTAGTGTGCACTTGCCTTAAGGATTGATAAGCCCTATGCTTTCTCTAAGTGGCCTATATAGAGCACCAAGGATTCCAAAATTCCCCTCCCAGCAGCCCCTGCTGCCCACTTCCAGGGCCCTTACCTCTGTACAGAATGGGGTAAGCTGTGGATGGACTACAGGCTGGACATACATGTGAAAGGTAGACTCAATCTCCATGGTCCGGCCATTTAGCTTTAGGATGGGGAACTCGATGATTTCCTGGAGTGCCAAAGATACAGAAAAGGAAAAATAAGTTATTGTAATCAACCATTTCCAACAGTAGCTCCAAGTCAACAAAGAATGAGTGTTTTGGATTCATTAGTGTTTTGGGTTCATTAGCTCCTGCCAGGCCAAACCCAAGATTGAGTGAGACGGCACCAGCAGTTACAATCCTAACCTTCCCACTGCTAATATCCTCATAGGTTCCAGGGACTGAACACAGCCCTCATCCCCATTGTTTCTGGAAATGGGAAGGAAGACAGTGGTATCATCTGCCCCAGTTTCTCCAACTGGTTCTCTAGCAGAGGCTTGCTAACTTGAGCCCCTAAGAATACGCCCTTCTTTCTCTTGCCCAGGTCCCTGTCCTGAAATGGGTCTGATCTCCTGCCATATAGACAACCAGCCATCAGACCAATGCATAGATTTCCTTGTATGAAGTTTGAACCAAGCTGGTAAGTTTCTTCATTAGTTCTTATTTTTCAAAAAAAGATAAAAAATAAAGCCAAAGGGGATCCCAAAGAGAAGGAGAAAAGAGTAACAGTAATAGGAGCTAGCGCCTCCCACCTTTCAGGCAGCACACACTACCTCTACAACGCCAGCCCAATCGCTTAGCTAGCCTTTCCCAGTCCACTGAAACATAATGGAAGAGAAGGACAAGGAGTGACAATTTGTTTGGTGTCTCTAAGATTAATTTGTCTCCGCTATTTAATAGAGATGCACAGCACCAAGGTCCTGGTGTGCAAACAGGCTTGCAGAACGCTGGCTGTGCAGCACGCCTCATACATCGCTCCTGGGAAGGGAGGAACGCACCAGAGTGGGGAGAGGGCAGAAGAGAGCACGTGCGTACCAGAGAGAAGAGGGAAAGCGAGGAGAGAGAATAAAAAAAATTATTGCTTTTTAATATTCAAAAACAGTTTGCAAAATTTAATCAAAGCAGAGGAAAAGCTAACATTTTTACCACTTTGACATTTTTATTAGCGCTTTCATAAATTTTTAAAACATGAATGGAATTAGTTTACAACACAAAAAAAAACTGCCCTGAAAACATCTGGAAGAGACAAATAGGAAATAATAAAAAAAATAAATAAAAGCAAAATTCTCTGAGTAAAATTAGCATGTGGAAAGGGCCTCCACTGCAGAGAGAAAGGAAGGGGGCTCTGCCTATTCAGTGACCCTAATAGTCAGCTCCAGCAGCACCCCTTCCCCAGGTCCTTCATTCTGGAGAAGACCTTTCCAGTATCATTAAAATCAAGGTAAAGTGGTTCTCTCCAGAGACAGCCTGGAGAAGCAACACGAAACGGATGACACCTGACTGCACTTAGGAAATTGATGGGTGGGAAAACACAAGGAGAAATGGTCAATCTCCTTGATGTCCCAGGAAAGCCAGGTATCCTCCCGGCAAAACATACCCACTAATATTGGGCTTGTTTTTAAAGCATCTATTTCAATCCAACACATCAGGACCGAAAACCAAATCAAGTCAGTCAGACTTCATGCCAGAGAGATTCAAAGATTGTGGTTGCCTTGTCTCCGTGGGCTGATCTCCAAAGATGAGGAAGCTGACAGGAGCTTATTCCCAGAGATAGAAAGGGCAAAATGGCTGCAAGGCTGAGGCAGAGGGGAGAGAAGGGAGGCCCAGACTGCTGCTTAGACCAGGTAATACCTCTCCTTCCAAGGTGAAGAGAGGGGGACACTCATTTCCCAATTCCCTGGACCTTCTGTTCCCCAAGAAGCATTACATACAGAGTAAATGGGGGTTTGGAACTGAATAACAAAATCGAACACACACCAAAAAAATACACATTGGTCCCCCTGCAAAATCAGGTATCCAGGATTCCAAGAGCCAACTCTGAGGTGTTGCCCATGAATCAGGCTCATCTGACTCCTGATTTTTCCGATGTGTCCTTCCTCTTCCCCTAAGTAGAAGAAACACTTCCTCAACAGAAAGAGCTCTATAGCCTGGTGAGTATGGCTGCCCTGGTGTCTAAGGAAACAAATACAGCCAGCTCCTCACTAACAATGTTAGCTGGGCCCACAATGAAATTTAACCTGTGACACAACTGTACTTTTCATTTAAACTTTCATTTGGAGAGCAGCAGTGTTTGGAGACCTACAGTTTGTCCTGCTAATAAAGACAAGTGTTGGGACCTTTAAGGATGCCATTCATCTTTGGCTTTTTATTAAATTCAATTTTCTTAAGCCCATGATACATTATGAAATTAGGAGTTGACATTCCTCTGGAAATAAAAATATCTATCAAACATTAATAGAAAAAAACCCTCTATTACCAAGAATTTATGGCTTAAAGTTGATCTCTTTCCACTTTTTTACAAGCACATGGTTTGTTTTAGATATCCGAAATGCTATTATAGATCTAGGATTTCATTAGTATTTATTATAAAATAGTATGTGCTTCAGCTTCCACTCTGACCAGCACCAAGTCAACATCCCCAGCAGACTCTCTGGAAACTTGGCCTTTGGGTTTCCGCATTGCAGCAAATAACAGCAAATACTGTAGCTCAATATTCAAACTTTCCTGATGTTAGCTTCCTCACCCATAGGGAAATGGGGCCAACTACGTGCTGAAACTCAGTGCCATGCTCCCAGAGAGGAAGAACAAGCCAGACTCGGATCCACGCAAAAAAAAAAAAAAGGAGGGGGGTAGGCCCCTGAAATTCCCAGGGTGCCTACACCCAAGGCTCAGGACACATCAAATTGGGCCTATTATAAACATATCTCTGATAATGCTAGCTCATCAGCCAAGCCTTCTCCCCAAGACCAAGAAGAGGTGGTTTCAAGCACCAGTCTCAAAACGTGACTTTGCAGGGGCCCTTCCTCCACAACATGAGGAGCTGTTATTAACAATGAGCCTACACACTGGCATATTCACTTGAGCTACTGAGGATGCAAAAGAGAAGCTTCTGAGAAAAGACTCTCTGAGAAATTAGAGCAGCAAGGACCTCACTGAGGTACTTCTTACCATCCCATATTGCCCAGCCAGTACTTCCATACTTCCCAGAACCTCAAAATACTGGCCCAAACAGCCCAGTAGTGGGAGAGGTGCCCCAATCTGCACCAAGTTGGCACAACTCTGCAGCCAGGGCACCTGAAGCATGACAAACATTTTGAAGATTTTTAGCTGATAATGATCAGAGATGGAACCCCAACACTACAGGTTAGTGGCATTAATCCCAACACAAAGATTTGTGACAATGTGCCCAAGTGCCAGCCTCTATGTCCAGTTGCTCAGATAATGAAACTGTTATTCCTGACCCTGACCTTTTCTCTCAGCCAATTTCATCATTCCCCTAGGAAGAGGTTTATTTCAGAAACAGTTTTGTGTAAAAGTAGCACCAGGAAGGAAGGAAGGACCAGTCGTATTTACCAGCCCTCTTTCCCTATCCTAATAATAGCTTTACAATTCTTTGCCTTTGTATGCCATTTGCATTCAATTAAACTACCTGAGTGCCTACTTTGTGTAGGCTATCAGACAGGGGCTGGAGCAGGACTAGAGATAAGATGTAGTCTCCACTTTGGAGAAGCACATGGACTATGAGTGGAAAAGATAGGCAAACAAAGAACAGTACACTGTGATAAATACCTTAGTGGAGGGACGTACACAGTGTTGTTTTTCCATTCACAAAAGTGTAGTTTCACATACATTTTCTTATTTTACCCTCCTTAATCCTGGCAGACAGGTTACATCATCATCACCATCACCATCTTCAGGTCATAAATCAATACTATTAAGCATCTACTATTCACCAGGCAGGGGCTGGCTGTAGACACAGAGATGAATACAATGAAAGGTGGCTCCTCTCTCTGAGATGCTCAAGTCTGGGCAAAGGGTGAAGAGGAGCTGGCCTCCAGTGCTCTCCAAGACATGTGGAAAATGCAATCGTTTTATTCCATTTATTGTTTACTACGTGGCAGATACTGTGCTAATAGGAATGATCTCATTTAATCCTCCTAACTCATGAGGTGGGAATCATAGTCATCCCTATTTCACAAATAAACTAAGGCCCAAAGATGTTAACTCACTTGCTGACACTTACACTGCTTGTGAGGGACAGAGCTGGAACTCCAAAATGGGAAAATGAGAATGAGACTTAAGAGTAGGACTAGCAGCTTTCAAAATATGAAGGGTCAAGAAAGATCTGGTTCTCTTAGTCTAAAAGGCTATCCTGTAGAGAACTCAAGTCTACCATCTAGAAAGAGAGGCTGCTCTCAAATTTTAAGAGCAATGAATGTGGACTCTCCAGGCAGAAAAGTTCTAGAGTTTGCTACTGAAAAGACTCCACCATGGCTGCAGTAACACAGATGGCACAGATGGCATCAGGGAAGGCAGGAACCATGTGCCTTCAGTGTGATCTCCAGCACCTAATTCCTATGCTGGCACACAGGCTTCACTCTCTCAACTTTTGTTGTGTAATCACATGAAAGGGCTGCTAAGTGGAGGAGACAAGCCAAAGGCCTAGCTGTACCAGAAGACACAAAACTCTCCGCAGAATCAGAGAGGGGAAATGATCTGCCTAAGATGTCAAAGATGGTCAGTGGTACAGCCAGGATTCAAACTCAGATATTTCACAGTTCAAAGCACTTTCTACTAGATCTACTCTCATCTCTGAGTGGTTTCCTCCCTGAACTACTATAAACCACCAAATCCCAGTCTTACCTAGGGTAATCAACTGTTTGGTTGATCAGGACCAAGGGTTTCCTGCAACATAGACTCTTTTTTTTTTTTTTTTTTTTTTTGAGACGGAGTCTCGCTCTGTCGCCCAGGCTGGGTTGCAGTGGCGAGATCTTGGCTCACTGCAAGCTCTGCCTCCCGGGTTCACGCCATTCTCCTGCCTCAGCCTCCCGAGTAGCTGGGACTACAGGAGCCCGCCACCACATCCGGCTAATTTTTTTGTGCATTTAGTAGAGACAGAGTTTCACCGTGTTAGCCAGGATGGTCTCAATCTCCTGACCTCGTGATCCACCCGCTTCAGCCTCCCAAAGTGTTGGGATTACAGGCGTGAGCCACCGCGCCCGGCCAACATGGACTTTCAATGCTAACACTGAAACACCATTCACAAACTACCTACAGCACTGGGCTGTCTGCCAACGGTGGATGAAAACTGGCCATAACTTAACAGCTAAGAACAAAAGCCTCAGAATTGGGATTTTTCAAATATCCAAGGTTCCAAACCTATTGTACCTACTGTCTCCCTCAATATTGTCCCTGTAGATCTTTTGTTGAGGAGAGAGAAGACAGAAATAAAAATGAAGCACCAAACAAGCATTCATCTACCTTGTAAAATGGGTTGGAGCAGAGATTTTAAACACAGCTTTTTTTTTTTTTTTTTTTGAGTCGGAGTCTCACTCTGTCACTCAGGCTGGAGTGCAATGGCACAATCTCCGGCTCAATGTAACCTCCGCCTCCCGGGTTCAAGCAATTCTCCTGCCTCAGCCTCCCAAGTAGCTGGGATTACAGGCACCCGTGACCACACCCGGCTATTTTTGTATTTTTAGTAGAGACAGGGTTTCACCATATTGGCCAGGCTGGTCTCAAACTCCTGACCTCAAGATCCGCACGCCTCGGTCTCCCAAAGTGCTGGGATTACAGGCTTGAGCCACCACGCCCGGCCCCTGGCTGCTCTCTAATTGCTCAGCTAGGAACCCCCAATGATTTCCTTGATAAACTGAGGACACAACTGCAACAGCATTTCAAATGAAATTTCACACCCACGATCAGTAGATTACAAGAAATAAATGTGTAAGTTGCTTTCGGGGTATTCAAACTCCCTCCAACTGAAGTGTCTGCAGAAATAAAAATAAATTTGAAGATAGAATAACAACAAGAGGATTTAAGCAGAAGGCACTCAGGTTAGACTGTTGGGATTCATAAAACTGGGACAGAGGGTTTATAAATTCTGTTTTTTTGTTTGTTTTTGAGACAGGATTTCGCTCTGTCACCCAGGCTGGAGTACGGTGGCATGATCTCGGCTCACTGCAACCTCCGCCTCCCAGGTTCAAGTGATTCTCATGCCTCAGCCTCCCAAGTAGCTGGGATTACCATGCCCAGCTAATTTTTGTGTTTTTACTAAAGACAGGGTTTTGCCACGTTGGCCAGGTGGGTCTCAAACTCCTGGCCTCAAGAGATCTGTCTGCCTTGGCCTCCCAAAGTGCTGGGATTACAGGCCAGAGCCACTGCACCCAGCCCAGAGGGTTTAATAGAGTAGCATTCTAGCCCTTTTTTCCTAAGCATAGATTCTCCTCTGCCTGAGCTGATGTTTCTATGTCCTATCTGAAATAAGAGAATGAGCAGATCATTTTTCATGGCTTCCCCCTCCCAACCTAGGAAGAAGGAACTGGCTTTCCTTCAAAACAACTAATCTATTCCTTCAACCCTCGGAAGAAAATTCCAAAAAGTGTGTGTCCCTGCACTGAAAGGTTTGATAAAATCTAAAAGCAACACATACCACAAGGTAGAAAATGCAGTCCCTGGAAAACATGTGGGTTTTACCCAAATATTTAGTTTTGGATAAAAGTCTCATGCAAAGACGGGCCCTTTCTCCAAGGATCAAGAAGCCTCCTGGCCACAGGGAAGAGGGTAAGTTGGATGGGAGAAGTGAGGGCTACACTGGGCAATGGGGTATGGTTTGCAATAACAGTTTCTCCCTTGGAAAAAAAAAAGACATTTTATGCACAAGGAGCTTATTTCTTAAACAAACACTCGTGGTTTTGATTTACACCACAGTCTGCTCCTAAATAATTTATGGCGGGTTAAATTTATTGCCAAGCCCTGGCTGGCTGCAAATTCGAATTGCCAAATAATTAGATTTTAGGGCAAAGCTTATAAATTACCCGTCGATTTGTCCGGACTTGTTTGTCAGTTGCTTTGTGCTTCGGGTCATCTTTGGCATTTGGCTGTTTGGGTTTTAATTGCTGATTTACACTTTGACAGATGAGAGCTGATGCTCGAAGTTTCAGGACAAGGAAGGGTAAAAAATCGGAGCTTTAAAAGGCTGATTTTTCACCTACATGTCCCCCTCTCCCCATCTCCATAGACCCCAAAGCAATTAAAATATAGAAAAGAGGCTGAAAATAGACACTGCTATTCTTTATTTGAGGAGAGTATGGGTGCAAAGTGAATTATAATTTACCCTTATTGAAATCTGAATTTTTCAAAAACATAATACCAATAAATGAAGGAGACCAAGTCTTAGAAACCACATCCTCACCTGAGGTGTGCACACCTGTGTCTCCCTCTGTATGTACATGACTCAGAAACAGCCACAGTTCAAACATTTTTACATATTCAATTGTAAATAACTTCAGATATTAGTGGCTTCTGTGAAGCTGACCCTTCAAGGGCACCAAACAACCAAATGATTTGTTTGTAGCTACCTGTAGACACACATTTGTCATGAAATTAATTTAAACAAATCTCAGGTTATGTGCTAGAGAGGTCCCCTGGAGGCATCACTAAGGAAGGGCCTAGAAATGGAAGGGTGCCAAGCCCAAAAAAATCTCTCTGGATAGTACTCTGGTTCTATCAGTATGTTGATAAGAGGGCCTGATCTCTCTGTGTTTCCCAGAGAAGCAGGGCCTGCCTCCCAGTCACCTGCTGTATCTCAACAGCTTATTAGGAGGTTGTGGATCAGAATAATACTAGTACTAGTTCTACTAATAAGAGCTAATACCTATAAGCCATTACATATCAAACACTGTTTTGAGCACTTAATATGTTTAACTCAGTTTATCCTCCCATCAGTCCTATAAGATTGGTACTATTATTAACCCCACTTTGCCAATAAGGCAACTGAGGCATAAAGAGTGCAAGCAACTTGCCCAAGGTCAGACTACCAGTAGGTAGTCAAGACTCAAATCCAGACAGTCCAGTTTTGGAATCTATGCTTTTAACTACTATGCTCTACTGATTCTCATCAGAACAGCGTCTACCTCAGCTTCCCTCACTTTGAAGGTCCAGAGTCCACATTCTGGGACTTGGGCACATGCAGCCAAAGCCTGTTCCATCAGTCACCCAACAAAGTGGAGGAAAGGCATGTGTCTTGCTCAGGATCACAAGATGAATCAGAGGCTTGGTTAGACAAAGACCATTTTTCAAACCAATTCAAATATTGCCTTAAGATACACTAGCTGGGGGTGAAGAAATGGCGGTGAGTAACAAGTGATCAAGACAGGACCAGGCCCACTCAGGCAGACTGAGAATTCTGGTCAGACTACTTGGCCAGGAGCCAGGGAAGCTGGCTGGGCTACAGGAGGCCTTGCTCAATAATCCCCATCCATAGCCCCAGGGACTGCTGATCTCTTCACAGAATACTGCATGCCTGTGGGGTGGTTCATAGATTCCCTGTTCTCTGCCCACAAATGATGGCCAGCAGCCAGGAAGGTAAACAGTTGTGCTGGCATGACAATAGATTTTTAAAAATTCACTGACTAGTAAGCAAGCAATACACAAACGGATACCCGCCCCCCACCCCCGCAATGCACTGAACACATTTCTCACACACTGTCCCATATGATCCCACATCTCCGTAAGCAGGCAGGAATCACTCCCCTGTTTTGCAGATGAGAAAGCTAAGAGGGTCAGCTGTTGTCAAACCAGTCCCATCACTTGAGAACTTGTTAGAAATGCAAATTTCTGGCCTCCACCCTTGCCTTTCAGAATCAGAAGCCCTGGGGATGGGGCCAACAGCCTTGGTTTTAACAGCCCTCCAGGTGACTCTGACGCTCGCTGAAGTCTGAAGTTTGAGAACCGCTGGTCCAGACTACAGCAGTGTTTCTCAGACTTCAAATGACCTGAGGAATGTGTCAGATTGCAGGTTCTATTTCAGTATATTTAGTATATTCAGATTATATTTCAGTATATTCTATTTCAGTAGGGCCGGCATGACATTCTGCATTTCTAACAAGCTCCCAGGTGATGAGGATGCTGCTGGTTCTCAGACCACAATTTAAACAGCAAAGGTGTAGTCTAGAACATTTATGTGACTAACTCCTTATCGCTGAGGTACTGACCAAATGAGAATCAGAGCCCATGGCTCTCAGCTCCCTTCTCAGAGCAAACCCTTACTTGACCCACTTTAAGCACCCGAGTCAAGCCCTCTAAGTCTGCTAACCATCGCTAGCTCTTATCACCAGACATTTCATCCTCCTTGCTGCCAAGAGCTAGGGCAGAAAAACAGGCCTGTCACATCCAAGAACTTCACAGAGTAGACTGGCACATCTCTGTCAGGGAGCTAGCAAAAAGTCTTCTTGTCATGGCAGTGCCTGCTTCCTTTAGGAATACTGTCAAGACCAGGGCATCAGCTACCCTCAGAGTGCTCAGCACACTATTGTCTCAGCCCTCCAGAAAAAAACCTTCCTCTGTCCAGATGAACCAAAAAGCAGGACTGGGTACCTCTCCTATGAGAAGACCGCTCATTACAGACACAAGCCAGGAGCTTATCTGGTCTATCTAACTGCCTCTGGTCCTGAGAAAGGCCTCTCCAACCCTGGCCACAAATTTGGAGCAGGATCACAGAATTCCTGCATATCCTAAGGCACCTACTTGGGGACTCCTTGCTATCCTCACCAGCCACCACATTCAACACCATCAACCATGAATTTCCTTTCAGGTCTGCCCCCGACATTGTTTCTCTAGTCACATTACCTTTCCAGTGAAAGTAGACCTGATCAAAATGCCATGTTTCATCTCACTCATCAGCCCTACCCACCCATCTGTAACTACCAATCCCGTTCAGTTGACCAGCTGGCCTTTAAAATGCCGCTAGTGTTGTGAACAACGCAGACATGTCCCTGCATTTCCAGACAATGCAATCTCAAATCATGGCTCTCAGTTTTATCACACTTTTAGAGAGCAAGATTCCAAGCTTTCTAGCCAGTTATTATCCTATCTACCTAACCATCACTACCTACCTCCTCTAGGCCAATGGCCAAACAATGCATCAAATAGGTCCTAGAGGAATAACTACCCACATTACCACTAAGGAACTCAACTATAACAGCTCTGCCTGTTATGTTCTCCCTGATACGGATCTTCTACTCAGAGTACCCCATTTACAACAACTATAGATTCCATGCGCCACTCCTTAACAAACCTCAGTACCACTGACTCCTCAGTAGGCCACTAGTCTCCAAAAGAGTTATGAGCTACATAAGAACATGGTTCTCAAGCCTGTTTCCTTCCTAGCACACCTAAGGGTTACAACATGTAACTTCTCCCCATTCTCACCATCGCCAACCAACTAACATCCTAGTCCAACCCACTAGCATCTCTCTCAAGTACTGCATCCGTACCAGTCTCCCAACATACATTTTTAACCTCTTGGAACAACTTCCTTTCCATTCCCATGGACTCTGGCTTATAACATCTATTTCTGTTTCTTCTTTTCCACTCAGTAATACATTCAAATTTCCTTTTCCGGCTCCCCAACTGTACCCCCATTGTAGAGTATGAACACTCCTTTACTTTCAGCAACGTCGGCATCTCCAAATAAGTGCCTCTGCCAGCACCTAACCCTCAGATCAGCCCTTGGCTGGAATGGCCTTCCAGGACTAGACACTGACTATACACTACAACAGAAGTAGAGCCACTTGTGTATCAGACCTGTTTTGCCACCCACAGGCCTTCCAGATCTCCTTACTGGCCAACTACATGCAGGGACAGGACCCAAACAGCAGCCTATCCCAAGGCACCTCTACATCCAAATAAAAGCTGCCCTGATGTTTGTCTCTCCCTCCAGATTTCTTCTTTCTGATTTACTTCCTTTCTGACTCTCCCAACACCTAACAGGGTTTTGTCCGTGGCAGGAGCATCAATACATATAAACGCTTTTCTGCCTGTGCCAGCCTGTTCACCCTTCTGCTGCAGACCTGCCAGCCTTTGCTGGGGGTGGGGGTAGCTGGTGTCAATGTGGGTACACTCTTGTTTCAGGCTTTTAGGCTATGGCTCAATTTTCACAGCTAGAGCTCAAAACTCATCACATAAATGTAAGAATGTGGGGGTTTTTTAAGTATCGTGAACACCCAGGATAAGAGGATAAAAAATAATCATCCCAATGGCATCTTAATCAAAATGATGCAAGATCCTTTTTCCCAATGAGATACAGAGATGCAGAAAGGGTCTCCTGATATCAGTTTCCTCATGTCAAACAATGGAGATCAGTCTACAAAAGAAATATAATCAAGAGGGGAGAGGAAAAGCAGGGCAGGATGGAGGTAGGGAGAAGTGAAGCCTATGGACTTAACCTAAACACTCTTGGATTTCACTTCCCCCACTGTCCCCGCTTTCCAACCTGCTGGCTTTGCTTTCTATGGCTGTACCTGTTGCCAATGCTCAGAGGAAGCTCAGCCTCCACCCCCATGCCCTCCAGTCGCTTCTGATCCCACCAATCTCCACATTACCCAGACCTTCCTGCCTCTTCATCAGTCATTCCTTCCACACTAATCTCAATGTTAGTCAGCCAGCTATTTATCTTTTTGAAGGGTCTAAACCTCCCTGGTCTATTGAAGGTAGGTCCTAGCAGATCCAGATCCAAATTCCCAATTTTTTTTTTTTTTTAAGCAGGGGGAAGGTGAAGGGGAGGCGTCATGTCATTCCCCAGCCTTTGACTCTCCCTAGAGACCTAGCAGCCCACCCAAATGCTATGCTGAGGTATCAGCCTCCTGATAATGCCTCAGAGCCTTAGCCTTCTTGACAATACCTCAGAGCCTTAGCTTACACCATATCCACTTTCACCCACACCCCTTTTACCCACACTTTATTGGGTAAAATGCTCTTAAGCCTCTTCTAGCCTTTGTACTTCCACTTATAGCATCACAATGACACCTTCTAGCTCGAATGTGAGAAACAGCGTAAAACTGATATAGATAATCCAACTAACTGAACAGTGAAATACTTGCCAGGTTCAAAGTCTTTATTCTCCTTTTACCTCATTTTCAATATTTCTACAAACAAGCCTGTAATCAAGGTCAGTTTTTCCAGACTTAGGCCATTTCATTCTGGCTTACTGTGTGAACCCCTTCTTCTCTTCCTGCTATAACAGTTCTGAATGGCCTCAGGTCCACTTGGCCCTTTCTGGTCTCCTGAATTTCTTATAACATGAAAACTATGCAGCCCTCCCCCACACTGTGAGCAGGGTTGATCATTCCCATCCTTTGTGCCCCCACTGTACCAAGTACTTACCATGTCATGGTGGTTATCATACAGCCTAATGGTTGTTACACAAATGTCTGCCCTCCTTGACTATGAGCTCCTTGAGGGTAGGGACCATTCCTTACTTGTCTTTATACCCCTAGCATCTAACACAGAGCTTTAAGTTACTATCCAAAGAGTAAAAAGAAGCCTTTTCATTGCCTCTAAGGTGGTTATAATGAGGTCTTCCCCATTCCTTTGCTGACTTAGGCGGTTTTTTTATGTCCAACAAAAACTTTAAAAGGCAGCTCAGTGTCACTGTTATTTTACGGTCCCTGATTTCACTCACCATTTATCAATGGCCCTATTCTTTAGAGCTCTTCCCCACCACCAACCTTAGCCCAGTGCCCAAAAAAATCTGCATTCCAACAGCTATCTCAGCCCTGGGGAGGCCATCAGGATAATAAGAGGCTAGGGGGGATGTTTCCTGATTTGCACTAAATTATGTGGTGATTTTGTTACCAGTGACCCAGTGTTCCCCAAGGAAAGTTCCTGGCCCCACCCCCAGACAACTCCACAGCCTGCTACACACCATGGCAGCTTAAAGGTATAAACCCTGGGGAAGGTGGAGAAGCAGTCTGAATAGAGCAAATAAACCGCTTCGATCCTGCCTCTGCTATGCCAAACACACAAGCCAGGGCCACCATGCATCAGTGCTCCATTCCCCGAGATGTATATTTTGCTTCTACATTGCTATGTCTGCTCCAAATACAGACAGGCCCTTCGGCTTTCACGTGAAGTTGCAATACAGCCAAGACTCGGACACAGCAAACGCTTGTTCCCATTCCGGGAATACTAGTGAGGAGCCATAGTGGGAGCCAGGCGGAGGCCCATCCTTATGAGGGACCACCAGGAAACAGCAGCCTGTGGAGGAAGATGGCTTTGGAAGGAGGAGGGGCAAGGACCACATTTATGGAGGCAGTGACAAAAAAGACAAAGGGGCCTAGTGGGCCACCCCATTCCCACCATCACTGGCCATCAATAGAGGAATTCATTTATAGTGACCCTGAAAGAAGAGATGTGTTAAAGTAGAGATATAACTAGAAAGAAAGGCAATAATTGCTCTGATGGGCAGGGGAAAAATTATTCCAGGAGTCGGGAGCCTGTACAAGAACACTTACAGCTCACACAGTCATCATAACTCAGCCCCCTCAAGCATTTTGTGCTCTGCTTATGGTGTTAACTTTAATGTCTTAACATATAACACCATCCACACTAACACAAAATACTACACACGCCAGATGAGGCTAAGTTATAGTTGCTGTGGGAAGCATAACTTTGAATTTCCTGATTTTGGTGCATTTAATCTCAACCATAATGTTACATTAACGTCGGTTTTGCATTTCATTTTCCAGTTTAGAAGAATAGCGTCAGCGCCTTCGCCTGTCTGTACAGAAAAAAGTACATGCTGACTGGGGCCACAGACAGAGGGACCACAATCCAAGGATTAGGCTCTCCAGGAAAAAGGCCTGGGCCCCATCCCTCCCCACTGGAGGAGCTACAACCAGGACAAGCACATGGGAAGGGAAGGGTGGGTTCTTTCTCCAGGGAATTGCTTTTCTGTCCACTTAGTCACGGCAGGAACCAAGAACAGAGAGAAGGAAAGAAGCTAAACATGGGGCAAAGAGCAATGTGTTGGGCAGGGCGGGGAGGCAGCACGTGGGGTTAAGAGGATTCCTGCCTTTCAGCCTCGAACGAAGGAGAAAGAAATCAATATAGTTTGCTTTGTAGGGATCTTAACCAATTTCCTGTAAAGTTTTCCAAAATGTCTCTTTCACAAAAGACTAGTAATGATGTGGCAACTCTAGGTCACACGGAAACCCTCCGAATCTCTTCTACATTAGCCATCTCTGTTACCACCAACCCTCCCCACATATCCTTCAAAAATAACAGCACCTGGACAATTGTCTGGAAACGAGAAACTCCTTTACTCATAGTTCTAACTCAAAATGCAGATGGACTCTCTTCAAGGTTTCCGTAAAAAGGAAAAAAATGCTCCTGTGGACAAAGACCAAACACTAGAAACCTCAACCCCAAACGTCATTTTTCTCCAAAGTTATGGGCACTTGAATACAGATGAGAAGGCAAACAGTCAGTAGGGCTGCTGCAGAGCAGAGACAAAAAGACTATGCAGGAGCCTGACGGATGGCCAGAGGACTTGGGGAGGAAAGTGGGTAGCCGCCAGGATGGCAGCTCCTCGGATGGGGAGAGCTGTGCTGCACCCTCCCTCCCTGGTCATCCAGACAGCTGAGGTTACCTCCTCCTCCCAACGTGCTGTGGCCTATACCTCATTTTCCTCACTTACATTTGCTTTGGTCTCTTCTGAACACTGAGGTGGTGAGTGAACTTGCCCCAAGGTTAAAGATGCACAATTAAAGATCCCACCAAAGCTTTCAGGCTGCTCTCTGGGCCTCAGGGTCACAACAACCATCACTCGGTGCACATCCACACCAAAATGAGCAAAATGAACTCCTGCTAGCGAGGACAAAGGAGGCATAATTCTCCTAAACCAGATAAAAAACTGCTTCTATGTCAGGAAACAATTCCTAAAACAAGAAAGGAGCCACATTCCTGAAATTTGGACCCTCTAAAACATTTTAAACCATCTAAATTACATTTAAGTGAAAAAAGTGTTTTCAAATGAAAAAGTCTCCTATTCAACCAATACCTATCATGTTAATCTGAATCAAAACATGTAACACAAATAAAATGAGTGCAAAAACCAGAACACCAAAGCCTGTAACTGGCAAGCCAACCACTCCAGTTTCACCTAGCTGAATAAAGTACAAAAATAAACAGCAAAACTGATGACAAATGGAAAATATCATGTTTTACCATGTTTATAACCAATGCTGTTACTCACCCAAGTACAACAGGGCTTACACCTGTTAGTTTTTCGTGATGGCATTCCTTTAAGATAGTCCCAATAAGCTGACTCAACTAACTCAGGAACTTCTGGAAATCAAAGATAGATAAAAGAGCCCCACATTAAGCCTCCAAATAGGCCATGGCCTAAAACTGTTTCTGCCTCCTATATACTCAAGGGGTATGACACACTGTCATAAAAACAGAAGTGTACCATGCAGGATCTTGAGTACTGAAAGTTCCTGCTGGCTGTGGTGGCTCACACCTGTAATCAGAGCACTTTAGGAGGCCGAGGTGGAAGTATCATTTGAACCCAGGAGTTTGAAACCAGCCTGGGCAACATAGTGAGACCCCATCATTATAAAAAATAAACAGAAAATTAGCCAGGCATGATGGAGCATACCCATAGTCCCAGCTACTTGGTAGGCTAAGATGGGAGGATCGCTTGAGCCCAGGAGGTTGAGGCTGAAGGTTGAGGCTGCACTGAGCTGTGATCACACACTGCACTCCAGCCTGGGCAACGGAGCAAGACTCTGTCTCAAAAAAAAAAAAACAAACAAAAAACAGAAAAGGGAGCTGGTCAGGAGAGGAGCCTGGATGGTTCTCATTCATAAGCCCAGCCCTACTCCCAGGAGGCATGCAGACCTTACTCATAAAGAATCAGGCCGGGGGCAGTGGCTCATGCCTGTAATCCCAGAACTTTGGGAGGCTGAGGCGGGTGGATCACCTGAGGTGGGGAGTTCAAGACCAGCCTGACCAACATGGAGAAAGCCGACCTCCACTAAAAATACAAAATTAGCTGGGCATGGTGGCGCATGCCTGTAATCCTGGCTACTCGGGAAGCTGAGGCAGGAAAATTGCTTGAGGCAGAGGTTGCGGTGAGCCGAGATCACACCATTGCACTCCAGCCTGGGCAACAAGAGCAACTTGTAGCCTGGGCAACAAGAGCGAAACTCCATCTCAAAAAAAAAAAAAAAAAAGAATCAAAGAATCTCTGTCAAATGGACAGCCATCAAGCCGTTCTGAGACAGCACTAAGGAAGGCTGATCTAAGGTGTATACCTTATTCCGGTCCTTTTGCTGTCTCTTCTGGCAGTTCATTCTCATCCCAAATCTCAACCTTTCCTGCTTCCATTTAAACTTCTTTCTTTTTTGTCCCTATTAAAATCAAGAGCAAGTTGTTATCGTACTCCTTGGAATAATTACTCCTCACATGATGAATTTATTCAGTCTGAACAAGAAATCAGTCACCAAAACTATAATCAATTTATTTTCTAAGTTCTATTTTTGTGCCTCTAATGATTTGTGGTCCAATTCCTGAGCTTTTCCAATTTCTCCACTTCCCTTGTTGACCAGAAGACCTAAACAGCACAGGGGCTCTAATAAGAACCGGACCTATGTTGACCTCAATGGAAGGATGCTATTCTATCTAGGACTGACAACTTCTCCAATCCGTCTTCTTGGCTTTCTCTGAATCCCATCAGGATCCTGCTACCTGCAAACCTTAAAAAAGCTCTCCCATAAAAAAGGGAGATTTTAAGTTGCTACTAACAAGTTTCAACCTGCCGTCCCTTTCCTGAAGGTGGTCTGATGGGTAGTCCAACACAGATGTCTGGCCCCAAACTCACCTTCCCAACTGTTGATCACAGCATTGTAGAGGTTTAATGAAGTCAAGATGCATTACATTTATCACTTGCCCTAGATCCACTCAAATCCATCACTATGTCACAGCAAGAAGTTAAGATTGATCTGACAGGATTTGCTCTTCTTCACAAACCCATGTAAGTTATTACTCAGTGCCCCACGCTCTTCTAGCTGTTTGCTGATTGATTATCTGACGATCAGGTCAAGTATCTTCTCTGGAATCACAGTAAACTAACGGGTCTATAATTTCCAAGATCATTCGTATTCTCCTTTTAAAGATAAGCAAGACAGCAAATGCTTCTTCCCGAGTTCTCTAAAGCAACAGCTAATGCTTTGCTAATAATGAACCAGGGCAGCCAATTCCTTAAGTGCCCTTGGAATCACATCATCAGGGTTCATTGATTCTGGAGATAATCTTTAATCAGGCCCAGACCCTGGTAAACAATGTGAAGCCCTAACTCAGCCTGGGTCTGGAAGGTCTTGGTGCCTAAGTCTGGGAAGGAAGTTGGTGATACAAGCTGTTTAAATCTGTACTGCATGATGTCTTCAGCATTGTGATAAATAAATAAGTAAAAATAAAGCCCTTGAAAGAAAGATGAAAGGTGACATTGACAGACCAAACTGAGACATGATTCAGGCTTCACCTTCAGGAATATTGGCAGGACCCTCTGCAGGACAAGAAAACAGAGCTACATAATTATCTGAGTTTATAATCTAACTGAAAAGGTAAGAAAATACACATATATAAGCATATGCCAGAAAGCAGTAAATGCCATAACAGAGGTGCCAAGCGATTATGAGGGATCAGAAGAGGGATGAATCATATGTGACAGAGATGTGTTAGATTTTAGTCTCATGTCCCACTAGGGCTTACCCAGTGACTGAAATAGAAGAAATAATATGACATATTAAGATTTGGATCCCTAATTCCCAACATGGGAGAATCTTAATAACCAAAATTCCCAGCATAAGCACCAGCTGCCCTCACCACACCAGAGAAAATCCAGTAGTTTGGGGAGGCATGGAAGAAGACTACAGTATAGGCAGGAGCCAGAGGCAGAGAACGTAAGTGTGGCTTGAGTAGCTCCCAAGCTGCATTCCCTTACACCCAAAGGACCTTCCTTTAGGATATTCTCCTTATCCAGCTCCTGGGTTCCCAGCCCTCAGTAGGCCTCATTCCAGTGCCTCAAAGGCAGACCAATGCATTAAGGGAGTATAGGAAAGAGGAGAGGAGAAAGGGAACACTAGAGGTTGTCATACCTGCTTTATGTAAAATAATTTACCATTTTGAAGACAGATCCCTTCCTGAAAAAACCAACCATGACAGACAAACCCAGTTTATCTTTAAATGGACCACACTCCTCCCTACCTTCGAAGTGCCCGATGCTGAGGTCCCCTTCTCTCCCTCCTCCTTACGATTGAAAGCTGTTCCCAGAGCAACATGTCTATGCATCACACACTCTATAACCTAACCCTATAGAGAAGAGTTACAGTCCTAGAGCCAGACATATTCAATGCACCAACACTACAATGAACTGCTACATCAGCCCCCAATCATTCCCTCAAAGCAAACACCACATACTTCAATATCACCTGCAGCTAATCCAAGCCTCCTAGCAGCATTAACTTAAAAGCTAAAAGGTCTTTGAACACAGCTGGTGACTAATGAAAAAAAGCAAGCAAAGAAATTGTCCTTTCCAACAGACCAACAATGGTACTTGCTCAGGTTATCTAATGCTGCATAACAAATCATCCCAAAACCTGTGGCTTAAAACATCAATAATCATTTGTTATCCCTCACAGTTCCTGTGAGTCAGGAATTTGAGAGTGGCTTAGCTGGCTGGTCTGGCTCAAAGTCCCTCCTAAGGTTGAAGTCACATGTCCACCGGGGCTGCAGTCATCTGAAGGCCTGACCGGGGCTGGTAGATTCACTTCTAAGATAGCTCATTCTCATGACTGGCAAGTTGGGCACTGGATTTTGGCTAAGAGCCTCAGTTCCTACACACATGTGCCTCTCCACAGGGCTGCTTGAGTGTCCTGGCAGCATGACAGCTGGCTTCCCCCAGAGCAAGTGGTCCAAAAGAGCAAAGTGGACTGCAATACTTTTTATAACTTACCCTCAGAAGTCGTACATTATCTCTTCCACTGTATTCTATTAGCTATACAGGAATATCTTTGATTCAGTGCAGGAGGGGAACTACCAAGGGTGTGAATAGCAGGAGTTAAGAATCATTGAGGTCATCTTGGAGGCCAGCTACTATAGCACTCCTTAAAGGAACAAGTGGCAGTAGCAGGAGAATGGAGGAAAGAAGAGAACAGAGAAAGGAAGGACGGGAGAAGGAAATATTTTGATTCCCAAAAGCTGAGACTAGAGAGAAACAATGTACCCAGTTCTCTCCAGAGACTTCTCAGGTCTACCTTACACTAGCATACCTGAAACAAGTCCTGCTTCCTAGACAGGAACTCTAAATGAGTAGCTAAAAGACAGGAAGGCATGAGAAAGCTCCTTTGTGTCCCAGGAAGCAAAACTATCCTCCCTCCCTCCTTGCCCCCCCCACCTTTTCTAAAGCAATGATGGAACAGTTACCTGAGGATGAATCTGTGGCTTGTCGCACGTGGCCTCAAAGTCCAGCACTAAAAAGTAGTGATACCTCTGGGGAGGGAAGGACACCATTGCCGCCATGGATGCGCCAAAGCCGTGGGCCGCCAGCTTTCTGGTGGATATGGAGCAGAACTCCGGAACACCACAGGGAGAAAATAAGTGGGAGCCCAGCACTTTTCTTGCTCTTGAAAGTAAATACGAAGAAAATCGAGCTGCTCCAGTCTGTAAAGGTGCTAGCATTGAACATCCAGAAGCATCTAAAACTTAGGGGAGGAAAGTTTAAAAAAAAAAAAAAAAAAGAAAAGAAAGAAAAAAAAAAAAAGAACAGAGAGCCTGGGTTACTCCCTCCCACTGTGGCCCTGTTCCATCTAGTCTTCAGGAATATCCACGCAACATGGGCCACTCCCCAGTGTTTCTGGGCCCCTTTTCTAAATCATAGTATTCGTTACTAAAGTTCAAGACCCTAATAGCAGCACCTGCAGCATTATTACAGCTCTGAGTCTCCCAGATCATTCTCAAAACAACATGCAACACTGGCCTGCATCTTTAAATGGAGCTCTAAAGTTCAAAAGAGAGAAGAGAGAAAAATTGTGCAGTCACTTCTCAGGTGGCAACAGTTAACATTAAAGCTATGGGTCCAAAGTAACGTGAGGTGACCCTGTTGTACAATGAGTCCTGGAAGCTAAGTAGACTCAGACAAGCAGCAGAAAATGTCCAAGGTTCTTTTCTCAGCTCCACTAGGAGCCATTTGCCCCTGGCTTTCCAGTCTGTATCTTGATGTCTCCACATACCCTCCTCCCCTCTCCCAAGGTGAAGGCAAACAAAGCGAATCACAGGGGTTTGCTCTGACATTCTGGTGATCCCCCAACCCCCACACTAGTAAGTGGCACCCTGGGGGAATGAACAGTGCCTGGAGAGCACAGCTGGCTGCAGCCTTAGGCCTTCTCATTTGCTGCCTTAGACTCGGTCTCTACTCGAGGCCCTGAATGACTGCGGGACTTTTTAAATAGGGAAGAAAAAGAAAACCCAGATGTGGCAGTAATAGGAACATGGCTAAAAGTCTAGTAAAGTTTTCTGAGTGAACATGTGCAAAAAAAAAAAAAAAAAAATCAAATCACTTTTCCTTTAAGTTTTCCCCTTAAATTTGCAGAATGCCTGCTCCTCAGAGGCCTAACTAAATACAAAAATCAAAGCCTAAGTTTTACTCACGAATAACTCAAACTTCCTTAAAAAGAAAAAAGGAACAAAGCAGAAATGTTGTCTTTCTCCCTTTAATACTCAACATTCAAATTTCTCTCAACTTTAATCCTCAAATAAGAAATCTCACTGTACAATACAGTAATGGCCATAGTTTGTGCTTTCCGAAGCCTCATTCCAACACAACCAAAGGCTTGCCTCTGATGGCTGCAAGTGGGCACCTGGCTCCCTTCACATAGGGTAGAGGGATAGCACCCTGTGAAGTCCAGCGCGTACTCAAAGGCAATGAGGCCACTACCACCTGAACAGAAGCAGATAATGCCAAGTATGGCTGTCTTCCCATCTCTCTCCTGACTCACTGAATGAGCTACAGTAACTTGCCTATATATATAGTAGGATATACGCTAGTGTAGGTCCTCAATTTCCCTATCCCTATAATGAGATTTCAGGGGGATTCAGTGGAGCTAAGACCAAAAAATATTTTAAGTTCTTCATGGATCCTGCACAAGCACAGCACTTGTTTTCACCACTGCTTTATAGCCTCACCAAAAATACAGCCAAAACTCAGCCCAGGTAGACAAACGCTGGCTTGAGTTTCAATATGGAGTCTCCTGGAAGGGCAAGAGGGCCAATATCCCTTTGAAAGCCAGAATCTTCTCATCGCCTATTCCTGAATAGTACTGGAAGCCTTAATGAGATGGAAGACACCAGTCTGCTCAAATTACCCATTCTAGTTTGGATCCAAAGTCCCTCAAGGACTTAGACTCTTCTCTAACCCCATAAAAAAGTGTAAAGACTTCTGAAAGTCCTAATGTTCTACAGTGTGCACAGAATATGCGTAGTATATACAGTCAGTCAATCCTGTCTACCAAATACTATAAGCAATTAAGCATGATGAGTAAGGAGGGCTTCCAAGTTTGAATCCTAGCTTTACCACTTACTACCCATGGCACCTTGGGCATGCTGTGTTCTTCAATTCCTCATCTGTAAAATGACAATAACAATAGCACCTACTCCTTAAGTGAGAACAAAATGAGACAACACATGTAAAGCACTAAGACCAGTGCCTGGCATATAACAGCCTAATATATATTATCCTAATGTTATTACTACTATCCTATTGGGCTATGCCCACCTGGCCAAGCCTGGATCCCCAGATTCTGGGCCTACAAATCCAATTAATTCATAAGGCAGCCTCAGAGAGTAATATCGATGTCTTCTGCAACCCTAAAATGCTCCAGACCTCTGACAGAGCATACTATATATACCCTATTCTGATGGCCAGTGGTCCTCTTGCCTGCAGGCCTTGCTTTCTCACCTGATTTCATCTACATCAAAAAGCTTCTTTTGGCCAAGCACAGTGACTGCACCTGTAATCCCAGCACTGTGGGAGGCTGAGGCAGAAGTATTGCTTGAGCCCAGGAGTTCGAAACCAGCCTGGGAAACATAGTGAGACCCAATCTCTACAAAAAATAAATTAAAAATTAGCCAGGCGGGGTGCTGCATGCCTGTAGTCCCAGCTACTTGGTAGGCTGAAGTAGGAAGATCACTTGAGCCCAGGAGGTTGAGGCTACAGTGAGCTGTGATGGAGCCACTGCACTCCAGTCTGGGTGACAGAGCAAGACCATAATTCAAAAACAAAACAAAACAAAACAAAACAAAAAAACTTCTCTCGTAGGAAGTCTTGAGAGTAGACATTAGGAGGTCAGGCCTCCACATATCAGCAGTTACTGGATTCCACACTTCCCTTACTTCTAACAACCAAGCTCAGTTCAAGTCAAGAAACAGAGGGTAGCTCTTCCTCTTCCCTTCCTGAAAAACTCAATCCTAAAGCCATTAGGTGCAGCAGAAGAGGGCAGATATCTACAACGGGTGGAGTAGGGTGAGCCAGAGAGGTCTGGGGGACACTGTCAGAGCCCAGGCAGGGTGAGGAAGACATCCTTGCAGAAGTGGGAAGGTGTGGTGCAGCATGTCAGAGCCGAGGGGGATGTGGAGAGCATCCATGTCGGCTGGCAGTCTGATGTGGGGTGACACACGCAGGGTAAAAGAGGCACTCATGAAGGGTAAAGGGCAGTGGCAGTAATGAGGATTAGCTACCTACAGAGGAACTGATCAAAGAAGTGCATATATTAAGCATAATGGGACCCAGGTTTCTCACTGTTAAGAGAAAGGAGTTAAAATATGGAAAGGGAGAAAATCTGTGGTGTTGGATTGGAATTGGCAGGAAGAATGTGAACTCATGGTTTCTGATTAGATGTGTATCAGATAGATAGATGGATACACACACACACACAAATATACACACATATGCATATATATTTTCTAGCTCTATTTAAGGAAGAGCCAGGGAGCAGTAACAATGGCAATGAGCACACCTAGCACTCCATTGCCTTCTTGTTTTTTTTTTGAAGACAGGGTCTTGCTCTGTTGCCCAGGCTGCAGTGCAGCGGCACAATCATAGCTCACTGCAGCCTCGAACTCCCACGCTCAAGCAATCTTCCCACTTCAGCCTCCCAAGTAGCTTGGACCACAGGCATGTGCCACCACATCCAGCTAATATATATATATATATATATATATATATATATATATATATATATATTTTTTTTTTTTTTTTTTTTTTTTTTTTTTTGTAGAGATAAGAGTCTCACTACGTTGCCCAGGCTGGTCTTAAATTCCTAGGCTCAAATGTTCTTCCCACCTTGGCATCCCAAAGTGCTGGGATTACAGGCATGGGCCACAGCACCCAGCCCCAGTTGCCTTCTAAATACCATTCCCCACTAAAAGAAACAGAGGTCCTTAGAGAAATGGCTGATTCCAGGGATGCAGCAAGAGAAATACAAGATGAGCGCATAACATCTTGTATCAGAAAGCAAGGAAACACCCAAATAATGATGGGAACATACCAAAAGGATACAGAAGCCACCCACTGGCCAAGAAACAATGATAGTAATGGATTATAATGCACTGAATAGAAAACCATGAGTCCATAAAGATATAAATCAATAAAATTAAACTTTGATGTGAGATATTTACATAGTTTCAAAGTATCACCCCACAAAATACTTATTAATTACAACTAGTAGTAATTTTATGATGGAGAAGCCTGGCAGACATCACCTTAATCAAGTGATCAAAGTGAACATTATCAATAATGGGATAAATCAAAATCACACGACGAGAAGAACAAAGCATCATTTCTGTTATATTCCTGAAGCTACACAACCTAAATCTAATCATGAGAAAATGTCACACAAACCCTAATTGAGAGACAATCTAAACAATAACCAGCCTGTAATCTTCAAAAGTATCAAGGTCATGAATGCCAAGGAACGTTTACTGAGGAAAGTCTAAAGGAGACTAGAGACTTGATAACCAAATGCAACCCACGATTCTGAACTGGATCACTTTGCTGCAAAGAACATTCCTAGGACAACTGGCAAAACTTTAATGGGGTCCAAGGTTTATATAGAGGTTTTATATCAATGTTAATTTCCTGATTTTGATGGTTGTATTTTGACTAGGTAGGAAAATGTCCTTGTTTATAGGAAATGCACACCAAGCATTCAGGGTGATGGGGCATTAGGTCGGCAACTTAACCCTCAAATGGTTCAGGGAAAAAATTCTTTCTACTGTACTTACAACTTTTATGTAAATTTGGGCTGTTTCAAACGTTTTTTTAAAATTGTTTTTTAAAATCAGCTGGGTGGGGTGGCTCACATCTGTAATCCCAGCACTCTGGGAGGCCAAGGCAGGCAGATCGCTTGAGGTCAGGAGTTCAAGACCAGCCTGGGCAACATGGCAAAACCCCATCTCTACTAAAAATACAAAAATTAGCCAGGCATGGTAGCACACCCCTGTAATCCAGTGACTCAGGGGGCTGAGGCAGGAGAATCGCTTGAACCTAGGAGGCAGGGTTTGCAGTGAACTGAGATCACATCACTACACTCCAGCCTGGGTGACAGAGACTCCATCTCAATAAATAAATAAATAAATAAATAAATAAATAAATAAATAAATAAAATTGTTTTTTAAAATCCATGTGCAATGTGGTTACAATTTTAAAATTAAAAATATCACACAGACAGTATTTGAAGAGACAGATCTCCCTGTAATGCCCACAGAAGGTAGGCTGCATGTTCTCTCTGGTAGAGAGGCTCAAAGCATCTCTCAGCCCAAACAGTATCTCTATCCAGCCGAGTTTCCATCAGAAGAGCCCCTACTCAATGCCCACTTCACTGGCACTCCTGCTACCATACAGCCTTCTCAGGAAACACACCTGCTCCCTGCAGCAGCATCCCACTTGCCCTTGCACCCTCCGGTGTCTTAGGGATTTCTCTTTTCTATTGATGTCTTTATGTTTTAGTCACAAATTTGCAGGCTATAAGTCTATAGCTTATAATATCAACTGGGACTTTGAGTATCTAAATGAGGGCCAGAACTCAAAAGAAAGTTTATGATTCTGCCTATTTCTGCAAACTATCTTTCATCAGAGACTAAGATTTATACACATTTATTCTCAGACATCCTTTTCCGTCTCCTAGCAAATTAAAGGTATTAAGTAGCCCATGGCAAGGAGGAAAATGAATGATTCTCTCCTCAATATGAAGGGCCCAGGTCCCCAGTGGGGACAGGGGAGGGGTAAATGGGACTGCCACGGGGCCAGCCCGATTTGGAGAAGCAGGCCTGCGCCAGAGCCCCTGGAGGATGGTCTCTGTGCAGAGTATTTACACAACAGACACCAATGGCTCCTCTGCAGCCATTACTGTCTATCAGGTAAATAACACATGTGCCAAAACACACATTTAATGAGGGAAATAATATGCCTTTATAAAAAGACTCAATCTGTATTTACCTGAGAGACCAAAGAAGCACCAAATCACCAGATTAGAGGAACCACAGAGGAGTCGTTCTGGTGTCTTGGGTAAATAGACATTTTATAGCCTCCATTACTGGAGGGGTGAGCAGAGGGGGTCAACCTTTAACATCCACACACACAGGCCAAGGGAGTCCTCAGGATGGGAAAACAAGAGGAGGCCACTGTGAAACAGGTGGTCTACTCCCACTTCCACCTCCCCAGCCACATGTACTTGGGATCTCTGGGATGGTGTATGTTTATACCACCCCTGGATTCAATTCATTCCATTAAAAGCCAGACTAGGAGGCAGGGATACATCCAAGTAACTCCAAGTTACCTGCAACAGGTTCTGAGTCCAGCTGACTGAAAGCACCTAGGAATACAACAATCATAGCTTCCTCAGTTCTCAGTCCTGGTGTAAGTCCCCAACCCAATCTGACCTGCAGTATCACAAGTGCTCAGGCACCTGAGTCACAGAAACAACAACAAAAAACACAGTAATACCTGTCTGGAACTCAGTCACTGGCTTTGTCTCAAGCAGCTAAAAATAGCCTGGGAAAAAATACAAATAAACTGCATCCCTTCAAAAGTCATAATCTTCAATCTAATGAATATATCCTTACTGCCAGAGCACTCTCTGTGTGAAAAACAAACTGTCAAAGGTGAAAGAAAACCTAAGAGGCAACACAGTCCAACCAGCCAGGGAAAATGAGATTAGAAAGAGAAAAGGACTGCCCAAGGTTCACACTGCAAGAAATAGTAAGAATAGAACCCAGGCTCTCAACTCCAAGGCCAGGGTCTCAGGCTACTGCTCCAACACAAGGAAAAGGCCTCACTAGTCATTTCCCAAGCTATGCAGTCTCACAGAAGAGGCCAAGAGCCTGAGGACTCTGTCTAGTTTGTTGAAGGCTAGAGGTTGAAGACAAAACAAAGCTTGACATGCCCTGGAAGCTCCACATGGTCCCAATGCGGAAAGGAAGCAGGAACTCTAAAACTGAGTCCTCACCTCAACAAAACAGTCTCCTCTTCTCTACACTCAGTCCCTGCCTTGGCCTGTAGCTACAGCTGCTTCTGCTCCAAGGCACAGCTATGGAGAGCTCCCCCAACTCAGAAGCAGCTGCTAATAATCCCAAACTACCAGCAGAGCTAAAATCACTAAAGATCTTCAGGAACACCAAATTCTGAGGGCAACATCATAGGTCACAGCAGGCTTGCTCTCCCCTTCAACTGGTCTGTTTCAGCAGCTCCAAGAAACACATAAAAAGAGGCAATTGTTTGTGATTTGCCTGCTGTTTGCTAACCCAGCAGCCATGCCCAGTAGCTTGGGCAAACTCCTTTCAGCGGCCAAAGCTTGAAGACATCTTTTTGCAAAGTCCTGCAAGTCAGTTGCAACCTCATCACACACGAGAAGGGGCAAAGCCTTGCTTCCTAACACACCATAAATAGACTAGAGATGGATGGAGGGCAGGGTATGGTAGCATCATCCCTTTAAGCACCTCTCACATTTGTAGACAGCATCTGATCCCAGAAGAGAGGTACCCAGAACTGTTAAATACTTCCTATACTCCTGGTCCCAAGATGGGGAACTGCTGTAAAAGCAAGGAGTTATATAATCTAGTGTTAAAACACTGGTAATAGACAAACCTAGGTTCAAATCCTGACTCTACTACAAATTATTTGTAATAATAGCTATAATAATAATAATACCTATGTCTTTGGGATTCAATTCAACCGTGCGATGTACAAAAAGTGCTTTGCACAATAGCAAGCGCTCAATAAAAGGGAGCTGTTACTACATGAGAAAGAGAAAAAGCAAACACCCTTTTCTGAAAATCTACTCCAAGCCAGGCATTGTATCGATGATTTACATATTTTATTTAATCCTCCCAAGTATCAAGCAGAATGGGTAAGAATATTCGCATATCACACATGAGGAAACTAAGGGCTCGGAGGTGCTCAGCTCTTTGGGGCCCTGTTCTCTACCACGTGTGATGGCCCACATTTCCCCACATGACTGATTCCCTCCATCCGACAGAGGACCAACAATGCATATCAACTGCAGTTTTTCTTTTGAGGCAAAGTGTAACTTTAACTAAAAGTAACTCAACCTTAAGCAATAATTAAGTCTATCCAAATCATCCTAACTAGTTTTCATATTTTTTTATATTTAAAAAGAAAAATTACAGGCCTGAGCACAAGAGCAGAATTAAAAGAACGGCAGCACAAGGAACTCGAAGTCTCTTCTCAAACAAAATTCCACAGGAGCAAATCTTTCCATCTTACAGAGTGGAAACTGGCAGGAGGCAGGGTTATAACCAATTCTTACTCAAGTACCCAAATGTGACGTTTCCTTTTACAAATTTGTGCTTTGGCAAACGCTGCTCCCTATTTTGGAATGCACTTCCATTTTTTGCCAGACAAATTATGACTCCTTCCTTAAAATCCAGCTCAAATCTCCCCCCTTTTGGTGGCTTTCTCTGACACTCCATCATAAAGCTAATTGTTTAAGTATGATCCAGTGGCACAGTTTATTCCTACTTCATAACTTTTATCTCACTATGTTGTAAGATATTAGGTATGTTTCTTCTACTACCAGTAATTTTCAAAGAGTTAAGGAAGAAGGATAGAAGACAGCAGTATAGGTGAATGTGTGCATGTGTTAAAAAAAAAAAAAGCATATTTGACATAATTCTTTGACTTGCTTGTTAGACTAATGCATTTCAAAATTTCAAATAGCATTAAAGAAGAGCATGAGATTGTTTTGTTGTGTGTGTGTGTGTGTGTGTGTGTGTTTTAATCTAAACTGTGCTAAGTCTCAGAGTTTTTAAAGCCTGAGAAACACTGAGCTAGATCCCTAAGGGTAAGGACCACATTTTATTCCTCTGTATTCCCAGCACCCAGCACAGGACCAGGCACAAAGTAAGCAAGAGTAAATGTTTGCTAAATGAATTAATATGCCCACAGTCATGATGCCAACTGCTCTGGAATTAGAACATGCTAATTAGAACAGAGCAGGGCCTAAGCAGCAAACAAAGCTTCTTCTCTTCCTTTCTTTATCCTTCCTCCTAGCCCACCCCATTCTGTCCTCCCTAGTTAAAAAGAGCGAAAAAGAGTGAAAGAAAGAGTGAGAGACACAGAGAGACAGACAGGGAGAGAGAGAATTGCCTTGGTGCCGGAATACCATTAAAAGGATTAATTTAGGGACCAGTGTTTGGACTGTCACATCCAATCACTACCCACAGATCTACAGCTTCCCAAATCAGGCTCATGCAAAGAGGAATCAATTGCAAGGACACAGAGGGTCTGAACAGGCATACTAATGGCCTCCTGAGGTGCCAGCGGCCAGCTCTGACACTCCCATAAATTATCCGCCTTTTGATTTTACCTGTAGCTGTGGGGCACAAGGCACAATTTTGAACACATCAAAGCAATCCCTGGTAACCCAAGGCTCCTCAAGGAATGTCCCCAAAGAGGAAAGCCTAAAAACAATGATCCAAAAGGGAGTCTGCTTCCCAACAGTTCTGGTTCTAGCAATCATTAATTAAAACCCAACAGAACCAAATGGATAATGTGGGACCCAAATCAAACCTAGTAGATCTGGACACGGCATGCATCAGACTGCAGTTCTGCAATGACTATGCACCTCTCACTCAAGGAAAGTGAAATCACAGCAATAAACTAACACACTTTCATCTGGATGGCAAATCTGCCCTAGCTTTGACAGTACCTCGCAGCAGGACCTCAGGCAACTCATTTAACCTTTCTAGGCCTCAGTTTCTTCATATGGTATCAAGGACAAGAATGCTGACCACCTGACCCACTTCCCAGAGTGCTGGTGAAAAGTAATTTTAAAAAATTTGAGAGGCACTTTACAAAGATGTAAGGCCACAGGGTATCAACACTAATAAATGACCCCAGACAGACAGGGAGGAATGCTGGTCACACTTTGGTGAATTTCTATCGGGAAGCTGCTCACTCGATTTGCTTTACTGATGGTGTTGGGACTAAGGTCCACACTGAAAAAAGTTCTGGGATTGTTTTTTGTTGTTTTGTCTTGAGATGGAGTCTCACTCTGTCACCCAGGCTGGAGTGCAGTGGCTCGATCTCAGCTCATTGCAACCTCCACCTCCCGGGTTCAAGCAATTATCCTGCCTCAGCCTCCTCAATAGCTGGGACTACAGGTGTGTGCCACCATGCCTGGCTAATTTTTTGTATTTTTGTAGAGATGGGGTTTCACCATGTTGGCCAGGCTGGTCTCAAACTCCTGACCTCCTGACCTCAGGTGATCCACCCGCCTTGACCTCCCAAAGTGTTGGGATTACAGGTGTGAGCCACCACGCCTGGCCAGTTCTGGGATTCTAAATGAACACCCATTGTCTGAAAATTTTCCATTATGAAAAGCAGTGCCTTGCTTTAGTTGTAAATTCCTCCTGTCTGCTGGCTGCCACCACAAGCAGCTATCTTTTTAGCATATGTTCACAACGACAACTGTGAGGACACAAAAAATATGAAGCCAAAAGCCAAGTCACCCAAATACTGGCTGCTTTTTAAAAACTTATTAATTATATAAAATTTGATTAGTGATAAAAGTTATCAAGACACTGTGCAAAGAGTTTTACATTATTAAATCCTTCAGCCAACTCGATTGTCTCATTATCTCCATTTTACAGATAGCAAAGTGAAGCCCAGAGAGGAAGGCACTTGCCCAAGGTCACATAAACACT
The DNA here is from genome assembly GCF_000001405.40 of Homo sapiens. Classification (NCBI taxonomy): domain Eukaryota; kingdom Metazoa; phylum Chordata; class Mammalia; order Primates; family Hominidae; genus Homo; species Homo sapiens. The sequence goes on from NC_000001.11 coordinate 44,349,839, forward strand.
GCTATCAGAAACCTACACTAGGGCTTGTAGGATGAAGACCTCCTACAAAAGAAAAGTAGGAAGAAAGGGAAAGTGCAGACATGGGACCCTCAGCTCTAACCTATTCATCAGACGCTCACCAAATACAATACTTTATTTGGTCCCTGTCCTTGACATATACCATCATACCTGAACTAGGAGACATCTCCAAAATGTCTGGAAGAGGCCATCAGTCTTCTACAAGCAAGGAAAGGAGAAACCAAATAGGACATATATAGAATGAGGACAATTTCCTGGAAAGCTTAGGAAAATGGGTCATCCTCTGTGTGTACAGTTCAAGAAGTTCGAATTAATTGACAATAAGCTATGAGCCCTAAGACCAAGACTCCTTCCAGGGCTCCGTTTATTCCATACTTCATTAAAATATAGTTTCCAAAGGATTTTAATCTTTTTTTTTTTTTTGAGACAGAGTCTCGCTCTGTTGCCCAGGCTGGAGTAAAGTGGCACAATCTCGGCTCACTGCAACCTCCACTTCCCAGGTTCAAGTGATTCTCATGCCTCAGCCTCCCAAGTAGCTGGGATTACAGGCACATGCCACCACACCCAGCTAATTTTTATATTTTTAGTAGAAACGGGGTTTCGCCATGTTGGCCAGGCTGGTCTCAAACTCCTGGCCTCAAGTGATCCACCCACCTCGGCCTCCCAAAGTGCTGGGATTATGAGCATGAGCCACCGTGCCCAGCTCTTTCAATTCATTTTATACCATCTTTCCCTTTCTACATCTTTTCCAGTCTGTAAAATAGAAGCCAGTATCTCCAACAAATTCTTTGGTAGACATTCTAGTAGATGGGTAGGAAGTTAGTAAAGAGAACTGTTATATATGCAAAGATTCAGTTATACTCTTTTTTTTATTTATAAGAAAAGCGTATTTATAGATCAGTTTTGTTGTTTTTGGTTTTTTTGTAGAGTTGGGTCTCAGTATCTTGACCAGGTTGGTCCCAATTTCCTGCCTCAAGCCTCAGCCTCCCAAAGTGCTGAGATTATAGGCACGAGCCATCGTGCCCAGCCATATACTCAATTTTTAAGGACCAAAATAATGCCACAGAAGATAAAAATAAAATGCTATCCACGTAATTGCCACAGCCTCCTGACTAGTCCTGCTGCTTCCAGTATCATCTGTCCCCTTCAATCCATTTTTCACAATGAAATCAGAGCAAACTTTTTTTTTTTTTTTGAGACAGAGTCTTGCTCTGTCACCCAGGCTGGAGTGCAGTGGTGCCATCTCAGCTCACTGCAACCTCCGCCTTCTGGGTTCAAGCAATTCTCCCGCCTCAGCCTCCCAAGTAGCTGGGATTATAGATGTGCACCACCATGCCCAGCTAATTTTTGTGTTTTTAGTAGAGACAGGGTTTCAACATGTTGGCCAGGCTGGTCTCAAACTCCTGACGTCAAGTGATCTGCCCACCTCAGCTTCCCAAAGTGCTGGGATTACAGGCGTGAGCCACCATGCCGGCCTGCCAACTTTCTAAAACATAAATCTAATGTCAGTCTACTGCTTAAAACCCTTTAATGGCTTCTTACTGTTCTTAAATCTGATCCAGAGGTCAGCAAACTATGTCCCATGGGCCAAATCTAACTGTCACCTTTATTTTATAAATAAAGTTTTACAGGAATACATCCATGCTCTTCCTTTTCATACTGTCTGTGGCTACTTTCATGCATAACTGCAGAGTTTAGTAGAGTTGAGAAGTTGTGACAGAGACCCAAAGCCTAAATATTTACTATCTTATCCATTACAGAAAAAATTTGCAGAGCACTAATCTAATCTTTTTTCTACTCCCTGGTCTAATCCTAAGAGTTTATAAGGCTAAGGCTCTGGCCTCTGCTTAGCTCCTGCTTCATCTCTCCCCATATCCTCCTGTCCCCTGACCACTAAGTACTCTGTTTCAGCCACATTGAACTTTCTCAAATTCAACAAAGCTCTGACACTTGGTCCCTCATGTCTTCACCTAATTTTTTTTTTTTAATTTCCCGTGTTCTTTGAGGGTTCGTTTAATTCTATGTGAGGAGGTTTACTTCCTCTGAGAGGCCTTCCCTGAGTCTACAAGTCTGGGTTAGAGACCTTTCTGAGTATTCCCAAAGCCTCTACACTTCCCTTACTATAGCACTCTCAGATCATATCATAACTGCCTTTTTACTATCAGTCTCTCCCATGAATTTGTAAGCTCTATGGTGTCAGGGAAGGTGGCTTTCTTGTTCACCACTACAATCCCAGGAACTAGCACAGTGCCTGGCCCTTAGCTATTGAACAAACAAGCTCGAGTCCCTGGATATCAATCATCCAGAGTATGCCTCTTTAGCTGGTCCCTGATCCTTGTAAAACAGACAGGTTGGAACTAACCACCCACCAAAAGGTGACATGCAACCTAAATTAAACCAAGATCCCAAAGGCCTTGGTCAAATACATTAGCAAAAGCCAAACGAGAGCCAGGTGTAGTGGCACATGCCTGTAGCTCCAGCTACTTGTGGGCAGGAGATCACTTGAACCCAGGAGTTCGAGCCCAGCATGGGCAACCTAGCAAGGTCTCATAGATAGATAGATAGATAGATAGATAGATAGATAGATAGATAGATAGATAGATAGATAAATGTTTAAAGCCAAATGAAGATGTTTCTTCCTATTTTCTTAAGATGTGTATTTCTCAGGATAATGGGCTATTCTGGTTCTATTCAACCATCCTGAACCTAAAGTAGGTGCTCATGAGATGCCCATAAAGCAGTTGTGACAGAACTTGACAGTCTGGATCTCCCACCTCCAACTCTTACCACTTTAGAAACTTTAAGTAAGTTTCTACAGACTTTGAGCATATGTTACTTTATCAGAAGAAGCTACAAAAAAATATGATTCGTTTAGACTTTGGGGATACATGGGAAAAAAAATACAATCTGCATCAGCCCCCACCCCCTACCCTCCAAGCCCAAATACTCAGAAGAAAATAAAGCCAGACTTGACCATGCAACAGGATTCTCACCTCTCCTTACTTCGAAGATGCCAAGACCGGCAGCTGGGGATGCTGAAGGTTCTGTGAGAGCTGGAAAGCCCCAATGCTGTGGATAAATACACATCTCTGCAACAAGTCTATTTCAATACCAAGGATCAAATCCCCATGAAGGATACTACACCTCAAACTCTAAACTCAAACTTCGGGATAACTGCTATCTATGTGCAAAGACAGTGCCCCCACAGAGCTTTCAGAAACTATTAGTACTACATTTGTAATGATTTTCATGTTCTCTAGTCATATACTTTTGCTCCTAAGGAGGCTCACCTCCTAGAAACACTAAACATTTACCGAGAAAGATAGCTATGAAGTGGTGCCTCTGGGTAGTTTCAGAATCCTAGTCTAGTCAAGGAGGAAGACACTGGTAAGGCTGACAATATTCAGAACTAAGGAACTAAGGCTGGGCCAGGACTGGGGTAGGGGTTGGTTGCCACAAATCCACAAGCCATACTGAAAATGGCCACATAGACTAGGAAACACTTTCAGGATAGTTCCAAGCCTGCTTCAAGCTCTAAGAAAGTCAAGGTAACTAAATCCCAAGTCAAAACATCAATAGATACCTATCATCCTTTTCAACTAATTCATATCCTCCAAAGGACCAGAAGTTGCAGAGATGCCCCTGTTAGTGATGTCTTTTGCATAAAGAAACACCTAGGGTTGGAACTAATATATTCCTGTCTACCATTCCACACATTTAAGACTTTCTTCTACTCAGATCCCCTGGGAAAAGGCCACTCACCAATTTACCCCACCACAAAGAAAACACTTTTTAAAATGAAAGGGAATAAAAGCACTTTTATTTGGAAATTTCAAGTTGGAAGAAAAGCTCTTAGCCAAGCTCTATGACCTAGCTAGCTGATTATTTACAGGATCTTTGGGCAGGAATTGTTAATGAGCTTTTAATTTGGAGTGCTTAAGTTGCCAAAGTGCTCTGAGCTCCAGTGAAGCACCACAGAATCTATAAAGGAAACCTTATCAATCACTTCCCGGCAGCTCCCTTCCCCCAACCCCCACCTCCTGAGGAAAAGGCAGCCAAGTGGGTTTCTAACCAGGATCACAGACACACATTAGTGGAGTCACACTCCAAGTCCCTGTTTATAAATTGGCTTTTAAATGGTAGGAGATTCAGGTATAATAAACTAAGCTCCAAGCAAGAACCCACTAAAACAAGGCATGCTGTATATGATAAAGTCAGAATAAAGCAGAATTTGATGAAGCCAATTTCTGGAAGAAACTCTACAATCAAAACTCATTTAGCCACTCACAACCTACTATAGTTTGAATAGCGTACACTCTTTTAGCCAATAGGATTCATGTTTTGCTGCCCTTCCGCTGGGAGACTGATTAAATGTCTGACAAGAGTAAATGCCATTGAAGTGGCCAGAGACCTCTCGCAGACACAACGATGGGCACTATTTGTTGCAAAATCCAGCTCTAAGGACAAAATCCAAACCCCCATTGAGGGGCCCCACATCCAGCATCTTCCAAGTCAACAAGGAGCAGTTATATTTTGCAAGAACTCGCAGTCAAGCCTCAATCCAAGTTCATGCTTTTTTTAAGAAAACACCTGTTGCTGGACCATTTGCAAGACAGGCAAACAGAAAGCTAGCCAGGTTAGGCCCTTATTCACTCCTTCCACCATCACTACTACCACCGCTTCAGATTTACAAAGAGGTAAACTGCTAACCTGGTGTGTGGGCATGTGTTGGCGAGAGGGTCAAGGGAATGTTCTACCCACAATCTCCATGCTCCATTTCTAGCCTCTCTAGTCAAACCTTTTTCTTCTCTAGTAATCCCAGTAAGTCAACCCCCTTAATAAACTCACCCATCCTGTCTTGCAAAGCTCTGCCCCGCTCCCCCTCCGCCAGAACATTACTCAGTAGATTAAGTAAGCATCCAGGGTAAGCACATGGGCCAGCACCCCAGGTTGCATAAATTCTGCGCACCGCGACCCTCACCCCGCATGCATTAACCAGGGCCCAATCTTGGCGGGGCCATTCAGCATCACCCACCCCGGGGTGTTGCCCCCAACTCGGGCCCATCCAAGTCCAGGGGAGAGTAAGGGGAGGGGCGGGGGGCCAGGAGACCAGCCCTCCTTCCCAGGGCCGCCCCCGCCCCCCGTCAGCAGCGGGAGAGGCTGTCGCCATGGCAACGCCCCCTCCTCGGGGCCAGCGCGGCAGGCTCCCTCCAGGTGCAGGCCCCGACGTCTCCCTCGGCCTCAGCAAGCGCTCAGGGCAGTTGGCGGCGGCGGGCGCGGCCCGCGCCGACTGCGGCGCCGGCCAGGCAGAGGCAGGGCCAGCTCCGCCCGCTCCCCACCGCCCGTTCCCGGCCGCCTGAACAGCGGCAGCCAGCACCACGAGTCCACAACACACCGACTCACCTCCGCGCACTCTGACCCCGACCGACGCGGCGGACGGGCGGGCGCTGTGGCCAACCGCTGAGCCCGCTGCCGACCCCTTTGACCAATGGGCTGCAGTCAGGCGGGGCTTCTTCTCCCCAAACGCTCGCTCTCCCGCCGACATGCGCGCTAAGGTATGTCAAGATGGTGACTCCCGGCCGCCGGCCTTATGGGACTTGTAGTTTTGACGTTGCACAAACTCAGAAGAGAAGACGGGGACGGGGACATCACTTCTGATCTGTGAAAGGAATTTTTTTAAAATGAAACTTTCTATGGCCTACAGCGATCTAACCAGGATCACAGACACACATTAGTGGAGCCCCCCATCTCCGTTTTCCCGCCCTCCAATATACCCGTAAGGTGAATGTGGGCTCACAACGTGACAGAATTCTATTTACATGACTCCTCATGATTCGTTCATTCAACAAGTAATTATTGTCATCTACTTTCGGATGTGGGCCTGGGGGAGACCTGAGACAAGGAGGGATTAAGCTAAGAGGAAAATGCTTAGATTTGTGAAGGGCCGTCCTAAGGAAGAGGGAACTGGCTTGTTCAGGTCCACTCAGAGGAAACTTCTGTTTAAAAGGTTTCTGGCCTCAGCTGTGAGGAGCTTCCCCAGTCAGTCTCTCCAGTAAGCTGGAGAGACCTGTGTTTCTTCATCCTGGTTATGCCTTTCTGGGTAGTCATGGGTCCCAGGTTATGAGCTGGGAATGATGGCTTTGACAGCTTCCCAATCGGTCAGGACCCCATCCTCTGGGCCCAGCTTCAGTTACCAAGCCCCTCTGTGTGCTGTCTGCATACTTACACTTAGGATGATGTCATTTCTGGGCCCTACCACCTCTGAGAGCGGACCTTACCATAACGGTTTCCACCTGAGCTGAGAGTGCCTGGTAATCCCCATATCAGGGAATGCCTTCCTTAATCCCACCCACGTCATAGGTTAGGTGATTCTGCTGTGGACCTATAGCATTTATCATATTGTCTTATAATTGTCTGTTTCCTTGTTGTCGCTCCCACAGGGTTTTAAGTCCTTTAGGAAAAGCATTTTTTCCATATTGTTCATGTTGTATCAGTAATACACCGCATAGGGCAGGTATAAAGAAGGCCCGCAATAAATGTCTGCGAACAAATGAGGGAATATCCAGCAGCAGGGACAGACTTATCCCGAGGTCAGTAAAGTGGAGGCACTATCCCCCAACTCTTGGAGCTGGAACAGATTCTCCTATTATTACCTACACATTAACCCCAGTTGGTCAGTCAGTCCATCTGTATTTATAGTGCCTCTCTTAAGTGTCAGGCACTGTTTCTGTTGCTGAGGATTCATTGATGAATAACGACACACCTCTATTCTCAAGGAGCTTTTAAATTGGAGAGGGAAGCTGGGTGTCGTGGCTCACGTCTGTAATTCTAACACTTTGGGAGTCTGAGGCAGGAGGATCCTTTGAGACCAGGAGTTCAAGACCAGCTTGGGCAACATAATGAGATTCTCATCTCTACAAACAAGTTAAAAATTAGGCAGGCATGGTGGCACGTGCTTGTAGTCCCAGGTACTCAGGAGGCTGAGGTGGGAGGATCACTGGAGCCTGGGAGGACAAAGCTGCAGTGAGCCATAATAAATAAATTGGGGAGGGGCTGTAGGAGGAAGAATAGATAATAAAACAAGTAAATATAAAAATAAGACAAGAGGCAGTGAGATAGCTTTGTTATATACTGAGTTATGGCCTGAGAGTAGGGCACAGCCAATCTTCTTGGCTGTAAGAATGAAGTAAATCTATAGTATCTGGATTCAAGGCTTTATGTAATGCCCAGCCCCAACATCCTCTGTGGAGCCTTCCATGGTCCCCTTGACTTCCCCAGAATGTGTTCTTTCCTCCTTGGTGCACTAGGGCTCAACTGTACAGCTTCCAGGACTTCACCACACTGTAAGTTCTTTTTGTACAAAGACCAGGCAAATTGATTCAAATAATAGAACAGTTTAACAGCTCAGTATACACTTGGTATCTTACACTGCCGCCTAACACAGCACTTGGCTTTCTCAAGCCATGGCTCTGTTGTGTGCTATCTGGTTCCCTAGAAAACAGAGCCTGGGCCGGGCACAGTGGCTCATGCCTGTAATCCCAACACTTTGGCAGGCCAAGGTGGAAGGATTGCTTGAGCCCGGGGGTTCATGACCAGACTGGTCAACATAGCAAGATTCCATCTCTATAAAAGAAAAAAAAGGAAACGGAGCCTGAGGCAAAACTTATGTGCTCAAATTTAATTGGGGAGTTCAATCCCAAGGCATCAAGAGTGAGGGGAGCCGGGTATGGTGACGCATGTAGTAGTCGCAGCTACTCAGGAGGCAGAAGACTGAGGCAGGAGGATCGCTTGAAGTCAGGAGTTCAAGGCTAGCCTGGGCAACATGGCAAGACTCCGTGACTTAAATAAACAAATAAATAAAAGAGTGGGGGAAGGGGGGAAGTGAAGCAGGGAAGGAGGGAAAGAACGTACAAGATAGTGTCTTACTGAGAAGTTGGCCAGTGCCTCAAAGAAAATACAACTAGTTGCTCTGTCGTACAAGGTGTGTAGAACCATCCTGTGTGACAGGGAGAAGGAAGGGTTATGTTACCCCACCACTGCCGTAGCCACAGGGGGTGCCAGATTCCACACCTGGAAGCACAGTCATTCATTTGAGACTAGAAATGGTGAGAGGAATCAAAGCCTCTGGTTGGGTCAGATTAGGTCCACTGCAGTCCCGCCACAGTGGGCACATTGGAGGCTGTGTCAAAACCTAGCCATCATCCCAAGGGAAACAAAGACAACCAGAGGTGTTAGTAAATGAGGTGGGAGTGGCAGTTGAGCTGTGCAATAAATAAGTGGCCAATGGCCAGAGTCGGGGATGCAGATGAGGCAAGGGCAAGTGAATTTGGGGAGGCAGATGAACTGAGTTCAATACACAGACACACAGACACCCTAGCTGCTGGATTGAGCGACTGAGCTAAAGTGAACACTGAGAGCAAGAACAAAAGAGAGGACCAAGTTAAGCCTTTTTTTTTTTTTTTCTTTTTGAGATGGAGTTTCACTCTTGTTGCCCAGGCTGGAGTGCAATGGCGCAATTTCAACTCACCGCAACCTCCGCCTCCTGGGTTCAAGCAATTCTCCTGCTTCAGCCTCCCGAGTAGCTGGGATTACAGGCATGCACCACCAGGCCTGGCTAATTTTTGTATTTTTAGTAGAGACAGGGTTTCTCCATGTTGGTCAGGTTGGTCTCAAACTATCGATCTCAGGTGATCCACCCGCCTTGGCCTCCCAAAGTGCTGGGATTACAGGCATGAGCCACCACGCCTGGTCAGTTAGGTCTTCTTATACCCTGTCAAACCACCAGGAAATGCAGCAAGGTGGTCATCAAAGCTAGGACCTTAACCAGCTGTCAAAGCGCAGAGAGTGCAGGACCCAAGGATAATACATGGCAGCCCGCAAACCTTGGCACAGCTGAGAGAACCCAGACTGGGTCTGAAACCGTTTTATGTGGCAACTGGAAGACCTGCTACTGCTGTCGTAGTCCCTGTAAGCTATGTAAAACAGCATAGGAGGGTGGGCTCAGAGAGAACCTGTTCAGGTTTGAGTCCTGGCTCCATCTGTGACCTTAGGCAAGTCACATACCTCTCTGAAGTTCAGTTTCTTCATCTCTAGAATGTAGATAATACTTGTATCTACTTGTTATTGGAATTAAATATACAACTGCTTAGCACTATCTAGAATAAAGAGTTCAGTAAACAGTGGCTATTACTATTATTCTCACCCTTCCCCTACCCCTTTCTCCTGCCCCTCTTCCCACCATGACCACCACCACCCCACCTCCTCTTCTCCCCAACCCAACCCCCTAGCAGTCTTCTGCCACTCCGGGAGGAGTCAGGGCTGGATCTGGCCATGCCGCCTTCTTCCTGCTTTTCCCCAGAGCTGTTCCCCAAGAGCTTGAGCCATTCATCTCCCTGGTGACCTGAATCTGAACTAAGAGATGGATGTGGGGTGGCAGAGGCCAGGGTGGTAATGTGCTCCCTTATCTCCGTGCCCCTCACTAGGGCCTAGTTAATTTTCCCTTTGATTTTAATATAGATTTATTGAAAGTTTCAGTTATCAAAACAAACTGCAGCAGCAAATTGGTGTTCTTTGCAGGCCTACAAGTGCCTATAAAGCTGCCATGCTTGGGAACGAATGGCGCTCTCCGGGAGGTCAGTCATGGCAACAGGAAGTCCCTGGGGACACACACACTGCAGTTTAATATTTTTCTTATTAGCCTTTTTCTTCTTAGCTATCTAAGCCTCCCCTTTAAATCGGAAATCAAATGGAGCCACCTGCCCAGGGAGGTTCTCTTCCTTAGGCTGTGACACTCTCTGCCTACTCTCTGTCCCCTCTCTAGTCCCAGTGTCCTTACCTCAAATCCTGTGACTCCACCCTGATTTGCCCCCGGGCCCAGAGAGAGTCATGATTCACATGCCCCAGAGGTGTGGCTCACAAATGTCATGAATCCCACAGCTTTGTCCCAACTGTACAAAGTCAGTTTGGGCTATCTAGCCACTAGTCAGAGGCAAAGCAGCCCTAGAAAAGATTGGGGCCCCAGATTTCTTCCATATCTTATGCTCAGAAGGGAGGAAAAAGCAAAGTTTGAAAGCAAAGCAGTTGCTTTCAAAGAGGCAGACGATCCTGCCAGGATGTATTGAACTCAACGGAAGTAAAAAGGAGATGGTGATCCTAGAGAGTGTGCAAGCTCTCCTTCCAGCCCAACAATTTTCCAATTTCATTCTCGTAGTCCCAATGCTACTCCCAATATGGCTCCCCCTCCTCTCAATCGCAGCTTGATTTTTGAGGCTCCTCTCTCTGGCCCCAATTTGCATAAGGACCAGCCAGCACTCTCTAGTGCCCCAGGGGCTCCCGTAGCTAGAACCATTCACTGCCACTTCTAGGATCTGAATCAGTCCTGTCCTAGCGGAGGGTCTCCATGCCTGGTAATCTCTTTTTTTTTTTTTTTTTTTTTTTGAGACAGGGTCTCACTCTGTCACCTAGGCTAGAGGGCAGTGGCTAAATCACGGCCCACTCCCAGGCTCAAGCACTCTTTCAACCTCAGGCTCTCGAGTAGCTGGGACTATGGGTTTGTGCAACTTCGCCTGGCTACTTTTTATTTGTTTGTTTGTGTTTTTTTGTAGAGACAGGGTTTTACCATGTTGCCCAGGCTAGTCTCAAACTCCTAAGCTCAAGTGAACTTCCTGCCTCAGCCTCCCAAAATGCTGGTATTATAGGCATGAACCACCCCACCCGACCCACACCTGGTAATCCTGAGGGCACCGTCATCCTTTCTGGGTCTGATATGCAGCTGCATCACGTTTGTGAGCCGCATCCCAATTCCCAATGTCCTCGCCTCGTTCTTAAACATTCCCTGCTAGGCCGGGCACAGTGGCTCACACCTGTAATCCCAGCACTTTGGGAGGCCGAGGTGGGTGGATCACGAGGTCAGGAGTTCAAGACCAGCCTGGCCAACATGGTGAAACCCCGTCTCTACTAAAAATACAAAAATTAGCCCAGTGTGGTGGCACACGACTGTAGTCCCAGCTACTCGGGAGGCTGAGGCAGGAGAATTGCTTGAACCTGGGAGGCGGAGGTTGCAGTGAGCCGAGACCGCGCTATTGCACTCCAGCCTGGCGACAGAGCAAGACTCTGTCTCAAAAAAAAAAAAAAAAAAAATCCCTGCTGGTAGCAAAGGCTACTACTGCCCTTCCTCAGAACTCAGACTATGACTTAAGGGTCTGGACAACTATAGCTGTGTGCCAGAATGGTGGAAGATGCTGAGGTTTGGACCCAGACAGTGCAGGATTTGAATCCTGGCTCTGACACTTACTGACTGACTTTGTGACTTGGGAAATCTCTTTGTGGTTTCATTGCACCTTCTGCTTACATCTACTCTTGTCTGGGGAGCACAGTAATAGAGTGATTTGCCTCGTGTCTCTATCCTACAATATTCTGAGATCCTCAAGGAACAGGACTGGTGTCTTATCTTTATATTCCATGTGCATATAGTTGATGAATAACTGAAGACAGCTTCTCTGAGCCTGTTTCCTCAACTGTAAAATGGAGATAATGCCTATATCACCAATATAGTGAAGAAAGTGCCCACCCAGCATAAGGTAGGTACTTGCTGAGTAAAGTTTCCTTCATCAATTTTCCTTAGAGTTTCGTTGTCAACCACGAACACTCCTACTTTTCTCCTGTTCCCACCTCAGCTTCAGGTTCAGCTCTCTCTTGTTGTCTACTAGGGCTTTCGCATCACTGATCAGAGGTCAGCATTCACCTGGGTCCCTTTGGAGTGGTGCTGACTTCTCTCCTCCAGGCCAGGCTCCCTTTATCTTTCCAAACCCACTCAGAAACTGCTGCCTCCTGGTGGCTCTGTTTCTGGTCAAAAGTCAGATTCCCTAGACTGCCTTGTAGTTCATCTGTAGCAATGCAGATATTCTCAGGCCAATAGTCTATACTGGCTCATAGTACAAATGTGTTTACATTTACATTCATTCATATACCAGTCTTGCTAATTGTAGGCATCCACCTGTTCCTATAAAAATACCAATCCGGGACAGGCGCAGTGGCTCATGCCTGTAACACCAGCACTTTGGGAGGCTGAGGTGGGCGGATCACCTGAGGCCGGGAGCTCAAGACCAGCCTGACCAACATGGAGAAACCCCATCTGTACTAAAAATACAAAATTAGCTGGGCATGGTGGTGCATGCCTGTAATCCCAGCTACTCAGGAGGCTGAGGCAGGAGAATCGCTTGAACAGGGGAGGCGGAGATTGCGGTGAGAAGAGACCGTGCCATTGCACTCCAGCCTAGGCAACAGGAGCAAAACTCCATCTCAAAAAAAAAGAAGAAGAAAAAAAAAATCCCTAGCAGTACTCCTCCCAAATTCTCAATTGTACCCATCAACTCAAGGTACTGTGCTCCACTGGTTTCTACCACTAGGTGCGTTGTGGATGCTGTCCTTGAAGTTTCTGCTTAATGGGCCCAATTCTTCTGGTACCACGACAGCATGAGAACATGGCACTCTCCTTCAAAGAAGACAATTCCCTCCACATTACAGGTAGGAAGATGTGGAGCCCCACAGCAGGGTTGTTCGAGCTCTTCATTCTTTCAGAGACAGCTGTTTCCACATATTCTAACAGCCCTTTTTCTTCTCACGGTGCATCTCTACTACCACCAGAGTTGCCAAGGTAGGATGAGTTTATTTAGAGCCGTCATGCTGAACCAGAGGCGTGATCTCTTTTCAACCTTTAATCCTGTGGAAACTGGCTCACTCTGCCAGTCTCTACCCTCCTCTATCATTAAGTCACTTGCTGGAGCTCTGCTGTCCTTCCAGCAATTTGGTGTCCATTGGTTTAACCACATACCCTTACTCTAATTGTGCTGGTATATACCTGATCCAGTTATGGGCTTGGTTCAAATTTACTTGCTTTGCTCTGAGAGGCTTTTCAGCCCCCATGCAAATTAGTGCATTGAAATAGATATTTGGGTCAGACAATGTTGCTTCCCTTCCCACACCGGATGTAGCCAAGTATTGGCTGCAAACCTACTAGGACTCCATTATACTACATGCTTCCCCTAGGATTTAGTGAATAAGCTGCTTTTACTGCCAGCTGCCTTTCCCTGCCTTCCCAGACTAGCAGGGCCTGTTCATTATACTGGACTCTTTGTGGTTTCATAGGTCCTCCTTCCTGGTCCTGATTTGGCAGTCAGATCCTCTATCCTCATGCTTCAGCCTCTGCTTCCAACCTCATTTTCTAGTCATTCTTTTAACTCATCTTCTCTTCCAGGCCCAAGGGACAAATTACTACTCGTCAGGGTGCTTTGCACTTTTCAGCCTCCAAGCCTTTGCTAGCATTGTTCTCTCAATGGGGGTGCCTACCCCATTCCTATCTCCACCTGTTGAACTCCTGGAGAATGATGCCCTGCTCCAAGAAGCATTTGCTTAGTGGCAGTTCCTTCCCATCTTCTGAGTGCCCCAAGCCCTTCCTGCATCTTCTGCCCTGAACAGCACTCTGTAATCCACAGGGCAGGGGCTTGCTGAGCAATCTTAATGTCTAACCAGTGTCTGACCACAGCCCCAAGACCTGAGAGTTCTAGAGGGTTTTTAGGAAGGCATCTGAAGCCTTCAGAGCATCTCTTCTAGCAACCCCAGCAGAGTCCTAAGACCTTGAACCCATTCTTTTCCAAGTATATACTTTCTCAATATTCAACAAACATTCTTCGAATACATATGTTGTGCTATGTTCCATGAAAAAGCACAAGACAGGAACATGAACAAGAGACACAGTCCCCGCCCTCATAGAGCTTACATTCGAATGAAGGAGACATACTGGTAAAGAAATAATTGTCATTCAGAGTGACAACTGTGATTATAGACAGCATTTGCAATAGGGATTTAAAGATGAGGCATCCCTTACAGCCTGGAAAGCCCTCCTAGAACAAGTGACATTTAAGTCAAGTCTTAAATGTTGAGTAGGAATTTCTTAGACTGAGAAGGGATTGAAGAGGGGAGAGCATTCCAGGTGAAGAGAATAGCGTGAGCAAAGGCACTAAGCAAAGAAATGGCCCACGTGAAGATGGAAAGAAAGTTAGTAGGACTGGAACAGAACGTGTGCAAGGGGAGTGATGAAAGAGGAATTTGAAGACATAGGCAAGAGTTAGATCCTGCATAGTCTTCTGAGAGTTCTTAAGGTGTTTGGACTTGGTCTTGAGGGTAATAGAGAGCCACTACTGGAGCTTCTGTGTTAGGGCAGTGCTTCTCAAACTTTAATGTGCATTCCAATCACCTGGGCATCTTGTTAAAATGTAAATTGTGATTATGTGGGTCAGGAAAAGGCCTTGACTCTGCATTTCTAACAAGTTTCCTGGGGAGCTTGTGCTGCTGCTCTTCAGACCACACCTTGAGTAGCAAGGTTTTGAGGGCACCATCATCCTACTTTAGTAGCGCTATCTCTCTGGCCTACCTTCCCCACCTTCCCACCTTCCCACCTCCCCTAAACATGTCCACTCACATCAGTAGGCACAGAGCATTTTTCTTTCTGCTGAGTCTGGTTTAAGACTACTGTGACTCTTACTTTTTTTTTTAGCATCTATATTTTAGAAGCCGTTTATTGAATATTTGTTCCATATCCAGCAAGGTATCAGGTAAGGGGTAAGGGGGGTGGCTGGGGGAAGATAAAAAGCAAGACATTTTCCTGCCCAAAAGTGTTTGGTGTCATCTCCATCTCTGAAGGGGCAGCTTTTCCTGAGCTGCCCTCTGCCAGACCTGTCATAAACATGCTAAATGAGGCCTGTCTCAGCAGTGCTCCCTGGGGTCCCACCGCTTCTGCAGCCCCATCCAGAGATGAGCCTGTTTATCCCTAACTATTGTCTCTGACCTCTAAATCAATTCCCTATCTGATACAAAACCTCAGTCCTCCTCTACCCTCCTCCCAATTCCAAGCTAGGTCAATTTGTAAAACCAGAGGCAGCGAACGATGACAGTGGTTACGCGTACGGGCTCTGAAATCAGACTGCTTGGGCTCATAGCCCAAGTCCACTACTTATTAGCTGAGTGAACTTGGGCAAGTGGCTTAACTTCTCTAAGCTTCAGTCTTCTCATCTGTAAATTGGGGACAGTACTTTGGCCTGTACCATGGGGCTGTGGTGATGATCAGATACAACAATGCATATAAAGCACAGCCTTTGAAACACGCAGAAAACACCCAATCAGTGTTATCTGTTGTTTTCATAGATACGAAAAGCTATGTGCATGGAAGCTTATCAAAGCTCTTTGAAAGCCTGTATATGTAAAAGTCACTGTTGTCCATTATACACCTGTGGCTTTTCCTACTTGTATCATCCCCTCCCTGATGCTGGGGAGGCAGAACACAGCCGGAGATGTTCATCCCAGAAAAAAGGCCTGTTGGATGAGGCAGCCTTCAGAAAGCTCTTATGGGACAAGAGGTTTCAGCTCCCAAAGCTGAGGCTCAGTGTTGGAGGGGGGATGCTTTGCAGATCCCCTCCCACCTCAACCCCATCCCCATAGTGTCCCCTCAGTCCAGGGTCACCCAGGCTGCCCTCCTTCCAGCTGCAGTGAGAGGCAGCTTCAATCATTCATCTTGATGTCTCTATTAAGCAGGGTTATGACCAGGACGAGACAAGAAACAAGGTCTTTTAGTGTAAAAACACAGCTCCAGGGCTTGGTCCCAGGGGACTCCTTCTTGGCACTGCTGCTGCTCCTGGGCTACTGCTGCTGGGGGGCCACTGAAGTTCCAGATTGGGCAGGAAGATTCTGCTCTGAGTTCTCTCTCTTCTCTCTTCCCTTGAGCCTCCTAAGGGCCTGCCCAAAGCTTCCATTTCCAACAGGAAAAGCAATGACTTGGCATTTGGAGGCAGCCATGAGACCTCCAGGCTGTCTTTGTGTTAGGCCTGTACCCTGACGAGGGATCACTGTCCTCATCATCATCTCACCACTCACCAGCAACGTGGAGGTAGCCGCAGCCTTAGCCACTGGGCCCTGGGCAAAATAGGCCCTCACCTGGAGTCTGGGCTCAGAGCCTAGGGATAATAAGAGTATTTCTGATTATAGAAAGACCCAAGGAGGAATCCTAACAAGACTGCACCACAAGTCCTTGTCACTCATATTAGAGAAGGTTTAGGAACCATCAGTGGACTAAGCATGTGCTCAGACCAAGACCTGGGCTCCATGGCAGTAGCTGTCAGCTCAAGGAGTCCAGTGTTTACCGACTCTCACCTACACTCATGCATGGACAGCAGCAGGTTAGCCCACTCACCTGGAGAAATGGGCTGAGGCTCCTGGAGAACCAGAATTAAAAGGCAACTACCGAGAATCCATTTGGAAGGACTCAGTGGGAGCTGTGTGTACAGGCTTACCCTTCAGAGGCATGCAGAGGGTTCCCAGGTAACTGCTCCCAAGTGTTAGTAACATCGCCGTTAAAACACGAGTCCTTTAACTGTAGAACCCACAGAGGTGAAGGTACAAAAGAGAGAGGCAGGTCACCCAACACAGTTTGCTGACTGCAGTCCTGCTAATCCTCAGGTCACCAACTGCTATTTCCCACAGTGCTGCTGCTGTCTCACTGGTCCTCATTTCTCTTTCTGTATCAAGACTTATCCTAACCATAACCTCCTCCCTGAGGTGGGCTGGCATAGAGGTAAACTTCAAGCCAGGGATCCAGGCAAACCTGGGCTCACTTCGTGATTCTTCCTCTTCTGAGCAAAGTGACTCTGGGCAAGTCATTGCTGCTCCCTGAGCTTCTGCTTCCCCTTTTGTTCCTTAAGGTCTTGAGTGAATGAGACTGTACATGTTCAGCTTAGTGTAGGACCTGGAATACAGTGGAAGAAGGTAAGGGTGGAGGAGAGAACTGGGAGTCTCGTTCCACTCTGTGCAGAGGAAGGAAGCCTCTGTGCCTAGAATGCAGGGGCGTTCTAGACTCTCCTCGCTGCAAGCTGTGGGTGGTAGGACTGTGAGCGCAGCAGGGCTGCGGAGGGAATTGCAGAGCAGCTGAGGGCAGCACAAAGTCAGAGTGAGTTAGCACTGGTCCCAGGGGTTGCACGAGCAAGGCAGGCTTTTACAGAGATATCCAGGGAATAAGAAATACCAGCAAGGAAGTTGCCCCATTAATAAATAAGAAGGTGGGAAATTAATGATGGTCTGAAAATGGCTGAGCTGCTGAACTCATTCTTTAAATCTGTCTTTAACAAGAAAAATAAAGAAAAGAGATTTGGCCAATTAGGAGGTAATGAAGACATTGTGGAAATAGCACCTGACAAAAGCGCACATGCGGGGAGGGGCTGAATGAGCTTCCAGAGGCCTGGACGCCCCTGCCCCTCACTGGACAGAAGGAGGGTGCCAGTGGAGGGGCCTCCTGCTTACAAGCAGGGAGGGTGGAGGATCGTCCAGGGCCTGGGAAGGGACGACGAAGAAACAAAGATGGGGAGACTCCAATCTGGGCTTAATGGATGTTTTTCAAGAACCTGTTGTGAGCCTGGGCAGGATGCTCCACATTCTCTGACACTGTCTCCTGTGAAGGCTGAGAATGAAGGTGAGGAACTGGGGGATAAAAGGAGAGCAAGAATGGGGGCAGATGTAGAAATAAAGGGGACCCAGGAAAGGAGGGATCTCTGGGGGATGGGAAAAAGCAGAAAGGCCCTGCTCAGAACTACAAAAAGCTTAGGCCCCTGACATCTAGGATGGTTCCTTCTAGGGAGTTTATACCTAGAAAAAAATTAAGAGAAGGAAATAGGAGATGAGGCATGGAAAGGAAAGAGAAAGAAGTCAAGAGGAGAGACCTGGAGTCTAGAAGAGGAGAGGGCAAGGTAACACATGGAAGAAGGAAAATTGGAGTCAGTGTCTAGGCAGAGCTTAGGAAAGGAGCCAGGGTGGCTCCCACCCAGGAGGAAAAAGAGCCATTCTGCTAAGTTCCAGACAAACCACACTGCTTGCCACACTGACCTAACTCCGGTATTCCACTGAGGTCCAGGTGGCCCTCCCTGTGAGCAGAATAGCAGATTCGGTGAGGTCTTGAGTAAGGGAGTGAGAATACAGGTCCAATCTAACCCCGGCCCTACCCCTTCTTAAACACAAATGAACCTGGTCCCATGGCTAGAAAGGGGATCCAGTGCTCCCTTAGCCTTCCCCATCCTTTCCCAACCAGGGCCTACGACCTCCTGCTGCCCCTGGGTGAGGCTCCAGGGTTTGTCTCCAAGTGTGGTTCCAGAATTCAATCCAAAGTGGCTGGGCTGTAACCCTGACATGGTCTGTGGTGGAGGGGAATAGGGGGGGCCATGAAACTGCAGAAGAAAGAGAGGGCAGCTGGTGATGAATAGGGGCAGCCAGAGGCTTGTTAGAGAGGGGTGTGGAGAAGAAGGCCACTGCAGGGATGAGCCCTGGGCCTGATTTATCATCTTCACAGCTGATCTGAGCAAGAGGGGTTAAGTAGCAAGTTAATGAAATCTACAGATGCTGCTAAATGGGGGAGAGCTGGGAGCACCAAGGCTGGAGGGGATACCAGGCAGGACACAGGCAACAAGTTGGCCACCAAAGAAAGAGGTTCTTCTGGAGGGGAGAGACAGTCAACATATTCCAGCTGAGGGAGAGATCCTGTCTTAGTCTCTGAAATCCAGTTTTGGCAAACCACGGAGAGAGAAGTTAGAGATCAGAATGCAGGAAGAACCAAGGTCGCATCCCAGAGATGTCCTCAGCCAAACTTCACAGCCCCCGCTCCAATCCCAATGGGCTTCGTCAAACACTGGGCAGCCCCCGAGCCCTAGAGACAAGGAGGTGAATCAGACCAGTCTCTGCCGTCTCTTCTCCCAGACTGAGTGGTGAAACAAGTAACTACAGTTCTCTGCGATAAGTGCTGTTCAGCAACACAAAGGAGGGAGCAATTCATCCTGACAGGGGAGGGCAGGGAGGTCAGGATGACATTAAAGCAAGGCTTGGTAAGTATGGATTTCACCAGGCAGACAAGGGGAAAGGGGGATTCTGGGCAGAAGGAACAGCATGAGCCAAGGCCAGGAAAAGAACAAGGGAAGCTGAGGGGAAGGAGCTGACCTGGTGGAGATGCCTGTTCAGGCAAGGAAACGGGCAAGGGAAACCAGCCCAAAGCTGCAGGCAGGCCAGAGCAGCAGGTCCTGCAGTGGTCTGGCTGTGTAGGACAAGTGAGGCTGGGGGAGTCAAGGGGCAGCAGAATCCTTCCCGAAAGAGCTGCGGCTGCATGTCAACTGCATTCTCCACCTCCAGTGCTAGCGCAGGGCCTCCATTGTAGCGTTGCCCCAAGGATGAAAGAAAATCGTTCCTGTATAGGGTTTGACACAAGGCCTGGCATACAGTAAGTGCTGACTAAATGTAAGTGTTTTTTGGGTTTTTTTTTTGAGACGGAGTCTGGCTCTGTTGTCCAGGCTGGAGTGCAGTGGCATGATCTTGGCTCACTGAAACCTTTATCTCTCTGCAACCTTTGTCTCCCAGGTTCAAGCAGTTTCTCCTGCCTCAACCTCCTGAGTAGCTGGGACTACAGGCACACGCCACCACGCCCGGCTAATTTTTTTTTTTTTTTGTATTTTTTAGTAGAGATGGGGTTTCACCATGTTGGCCAGGCTGGTCTTGAACTCCTGACCTCAGGTGATCTGCCTGCCTCAGCCTCCCAAAGTGCTGGGATTACAGGCATGAGCCACCGCACCCAGCCTAAATGTAAGTGATTATTATTGTGGTGGTTAATATTCCCAGGCTGAATTAAAAAACCTGGCCCATGGGTCTGACTGCAGCTCCAAATGCACCCAGGGAGTGGCAGAAGATTGAGTGGACAGGTGGCTACTTAATAAGTAGAAGCTCAGGTGCATGAGGCAGAAAGTCATCAATAGCTCTAATGATGAGGTGGGAGAGGGTACTGCTGAGACATCAGGGACCCGAGACCTCTGAGAAGGGGAAGACTGACACACAGGCTTATATCAAAAAGAACTCTGAGGACCAGACTGTCAACACCTCTCCCCAGGACCTGCAGGGCTGCTCTTGGAAGCAGGGAAGGAGAGCAGTTTGCGTCTTAGGGCCAGATGGCCAAGCCTTCTTATCCTTTCTCCAGCCCTTAAAGCTATCCTGGGCAAGTGAATACCTCCTTTCCTACAGAGGCCTTGCTTTCTCTACTCAAAATGTGAGTAGCAACCCTCCCCTTGTAGGAACACCCTCCCTAAGGGAAGTTGCAAGGGTATAGAAGCAAAACATCTGTCTCAGTCCTTTTTATTCTGTATCAGAGAGGTATTCAGTGAACGTTTGCTGGATGTAGGACTGAATGAACTGGTAAGAAACTGGAGGCTCTTCAGCATAGCACAGCACAGCCGCAGCTAGAAAAGGTTCCTCTACTCCCCATCGCATACACACATACATACATACACACCTCTTTCCTCGTTTTATCTCATGGCAGCTGGTGTTGAGAGAATGGATAACAGTATGGCTATTTAAAGAATAAACCTTGGAGTCAGACAGTCCTGGGATTCAGACTTTGTTCCACTACTCACCAACTTAAACTCCTAAGGAAGTTCCTTAACCTGCCTAAATCTCAGTTTCCTTCTCTGTAAAATGGATATAATGATACCTACTTCATAGGTTGTGTAGATTACATCAATAATACATGTAAAGAGCCTAGAAGAATACCTGCCACACAGAAAGTAACTGTTCTACATAAAGCAGGATCAGTAAAATGAAAACAGGAGACATTTGAATTCTCCCCTTATCTCCACTGTCCTTTCAAACCTTCTCTATGGGCCTGTACTCTCTCTGCCCCTGCATGATTTTTAATGCAGGTCATTTAACTCTATAATAAAAACTGGGTTCTGGGCCAGGCACAGTGGCTCACACCTGTAGTCCCAAAACTTTGGGAGGCTGAGGCAGGAGGATTACTTGGGGTCAGGAGTTCAAGATCAGCCTGGGCAACATAGCCAGACCCTGTCTCTACAAAAATAAAAATAACAAACTGGGTTCTGAGACCTACCAAGTCATAAGATTAGGCAGGCCAAGTAATAATTCATCCTAAGATGGAAGAGACACATGGTGAGATTGAGCATGAACAGGACTAGAGGACACAAGCAAGCTGCAGAGCAGGTATCCCAGCCCCCCATGTCATCTACCACATGGCATCAGTGCCTCTCCTCTGCTTACATATAGGTTGTGTGAAGAAGTGCCTTATGATCAGGGAAGAGGAGGGTAAAGCCCTACTTTGATGGATGGGTTTACCCAGTATGTGGGTACAAGCTGAAAATGGACAGTGGCTGCGCTGAAAGACAGAGGTGAGGGAAAATCATCCCAGTGAATAAAGCATTGGTCATCTACTTTGGAAAGAGAAGTAATTCAAGGTTAGAATATATATGGACTCATGAGCAGTGGGCAATGATTGGGATGACTGGCCAGGGCCTGGAAGCAATATTGGAGGACCACAGACAAGACAGTCTGGGGTAGTAGCAGGTGAATGGACATATGAGGATGAATACAAATTGTGAAGATCTTTGTATCACCTGTTAATGCCCTTCAGAGAGCATCCACCATGGAAGAGGCACTAAACCATCAAGTAAACAAAATGACTCAGCCAGTTGATATCAGCCAGCTTCTGTCATTGGCTGCCCTGATGTTGGTGCAATGAATGCATAGATGAAGTAGCCATGATGGCAGGGATGGAAGGAAGTTATGCATGGGCCAACTAACACAGGTTTCCAGTTACCAAAGTTGATCTAGCTACTGCCACTGCAGAATGTCCAACCTACCAATGCTAAGGCCCCAAGATGGCAATGTCCATTGAGGAGATCAATTGGCCACTTGTTGGCAAGCTGATTATTTTGGACCCTTTACATCCTGGAAGGAACAGAAATTCATTTTGACAGGAATAGACCCATATTCTGAGTTTGCCTTTTCTGCCTTGTAGGGCTTTAGCCAACACCACTTAGTGAAGGCTTACACAGAGTGTTTAATCTACCAGCATAGGATCTCATATAGTATCCACCACATCAGAAAAAAGGACCTACTTTACAACAAAGGAGGTGCAACAGTGAGCCCATAAATGAGATCCGTTGATTGTACATATCACATACTACAGAACCCAGGAACTGCCAGCCCAACAGAGAAATGAAATGTTCTGTTGACATAGCTGAAACGCCAGCTACGATGTGATATTTTATGAGAATGGGGCACCATTTCTTGGATACTGGCTCTCAACTGGAGACAATTGTGCCTTCCAGGGGACACTTGGCAATGTCTGGCGATGTCTGGAGACTTTTTTTTTTTTCTCTCTGAGCTCTGTCACTGAGAAAATGGAGACACGGCCGGGTGTGGTGGCTCATGCCTGTAATCCCAGCACTTTGGGAGGCCGAGGCAGGCAGATCACAAGGTCAGGAGTTCGAGACCAGCCTGGCCAATGTGGTGAAATCCCATCTCTACTAAAAATACAAAAAAATTAGCCAGGTGTGGTGGTACACAGCTGTAATCCCAGCTACTCAGGAGGCTGAGGCAGGAGAATGGCGTGAACCCGGGTGGCAGAGGTTGCAGTGAGCCGAGATCGTGTCACTGCAATCCAGCCTGGGTGAGAGTGAGACTCTGTCTCAAAAAAAAAAAGGCCAGATGTGGTGGCTCATGCCTATAATCCCAGCACTTTGGGACGCTGAGGTGGATGGATCATCTGAGGTCAGGAGTTCAAGACAAACCTGGCCGACATGGTGAAACTACGTCTCTACTAAAAATACAAAAAATTAGCCGGATGTGGTGGTGCATACCTGTAATCCCAGCTGCTCAGGAGGCTGAGGAAGGAGAATCTCCTGAACCCGGGAGGCGGAGGTTGCAGTGAGCTGAGATTGCACCATTGTACTCCATCCTGGGTGACAAAAGCGAAACTCCATCTCAAAAAAAAAGAAAAAAAGAAAATGTAGATACATGTTTTACTGTCACAACTGGGGGGTAGGGACAGAGAGGAAAGATAATACTACTAGCATCTAGTAGGTAGAGCCCATGGATGTGCATCCTACATGTAGGACAGCACCCCCTAACAAGGAATTATCCAGTCCAAAATGTCAATAGTGTCAAAGATGAGAAACGCTGTTCTAGGACACAGTATATACTTTAAGTCAAAGACCTTTATATGGAGATGTGTCTGCAATTGGGTCTGGGAACCAAGGGATAGAAGCAGGAGTAGCCCCATTTACCATTACTCCTAATGATCCACTTGTGGAAATTATGGTCTTTGCAAATTTAGAGGAGCTGGTTGCCAAAGGGGAAACACTTCTGTTCGGAGACACAGCCAGATTCACATTGATCTATATAATATGGTTCCTGCCTGGTTATAATATGGTTATAATATGGTTCATGCTAGGGGACCAAGAGGCAAGAAGAAAAGTCACCCTATCTTGGCAGAGGTAATTGATTCTAATCATTGGAAGGCAGTAGGGCTGCCATTACACAATGGGGGCAACCAAGAGTGATCCACTTGGTACTTGAGCATTTATTGATCCTGCCTTCCTGTTTTGATGATATATGGACAAGTGCAACAACCGCAGTTTGAGAAGGGCATGGTGACCAGCCTGAGATCCCTTAGTGATGACAGTCTGGGTCATACCACAACTGAAGCTACCAAGACCAACAAATGCATTACCTGAGGGTAAGGGGAGTCTAGAATTGTTAGTAGAAAGGGAATATAATAAGTTGCGGCCCTAAGACTAGCTGTAACAGTGGGATCTATAGTCTATTCTGAAAACCTTTCTCTTCTAAATTTTTCTTAGGAAGAGAGGCCTACCAAAATCCTTGAGGAGATGTTCTAACAATTTATATAAAGAAGTGAATCCGGCCAGCCATGGTGGCTCACACCTGTAATCCCAGCACTTTGGGAGGCCGAGGAGGGCAGATCACTTGAGGTCAGGAGTTCGAGACCAGCCTGGCCAACATGATGAAACCCCATCTCTACTAAAAATACAAAATTAGCTAGGCGTGGTGGCACACTCCTGTAATCCCAGCTACTCAGGAGGCTGAGGCAGGAGAATTACTTGAATCCGGGAGGTGGAGGTTGCAGTGAGCTGAGATCATGCCACTGTAGTCCAGCCTGGGTGACAGAGCAAGACTCCATCTCAAAAAAAAAAAAAAAAAAAAAGAAGAAGAAGTAAATCCAAGTGGCACCAGGAAAAATTGCAGTAGTCGCTGTGGTCTGTTGCCTAGATCCACCCTAGATCCACCTTCAGGAAGAAAAGGAATTATTTCACCAGTTGCTGGGAGTGCTGTTTATGGCTAGGCCTCAGCTGTGTTAGCCTTGTTGAGGGACTGCTGCAGTTGAAGAAAAACTTCTTTGGCTAACATCCTTTCTCCTTCTAGGGGCTGATCAACACTAGAATATAAAGATCCCAGCCCCCTTATCCCAATTCAAATAATTTTGAAAGACCACTCCAGCTCCAGAGCTTCCTATAGGATTGTTTGAGGCCTTTGTTGGGACTGCATCACAGCTCAACTTCTCCCTCTGCACCAATACTGCCTCCCTCACTTCCATCGGTGT
The DNA here is from genome assembly GCF_000001405.40 of Homo sapiens. NCBI lineage: Eukaryota > Metazoa > Chordata > Mammalia > Primates > Hominidae > Homo > Homo sapiens. The sequence continues at coordinate 44,374,341 of NC_000001.11, forward strand.
TGATCCCAAGAACACTCTTTAAAAACCACTTGCATGCTACACTTTGTCTCAGAATCTGCTTCCTGGGTAACACAACCTATGACAGTCAATAAACAAAATAAAATCACTGCTATGGTCTGAATGTCTGTGGCCCACCCCGCCAAAATGTATACGTGGAAATCTAATCCCCAATGTGAGAGTATTTGGAGGTGGGGCCTTTGGGGAGTGATTAGATCATGAAGGCTCAAGGAATGTGATTAGTGCCCTATAAAAGAAATCCCATCCATACCATAAGACAGGGTGGGAAAAAAAAAGATAAAAATAAAAAAAACAAAAGCCCAGAGAGATCCCTTGCCTCTTCTACCATCTGAGGACACAATGAAAGATGGCTGTCCATCTATAAACCAGGAAATGGGTCCTCACCAGAACCTGAATCTTCCAGCACCTTGATCTTGGCCTTCTCAGTCTCCACAATTGTGAGAAATAAATTTCTATTGTTTATGAGCCATCTGGTCTATGGTATTTTGTTATAGCAGCCCAAATAGACTAAGACAGTTTCTGTCCATGTTCAGCTTACTTTCTAAACATGGAGAGCCAGACAAAAACCACAAATATCAGAAATAAGTAAATCATTAGATATGTTTGAAGATGATAAGTTCTAAGGAAAAGAGAAAAAAGTAGAGTAGGGTAAGGAGATCAAGAGTGTCTGGGTATAGGAGTAGGCAATGGTAAACAGGATGCAGTATTAAATCAGAGGTCAAGGTATACCTCACTGAGAAAATAATATTTGAGCAAAATTTAAAAGAGGTGAGAGAATTGAACAAGTGGGTATCTGGAGACATTACAGGTAAAGAGAAAAGCGAGAGCACAGACCCTGAGGCAGGAGTCGATGTGTTTCAGGGGCACCCAGCAGACCAATGAGGCTGGAGCAGAGTGAGCAAGAAGGGAAATAAAGTGATAGGAATAGAAATTAGAGAGGGAATGTGGGAATTGAGAGTGTCAGATTGTGTAGGCTGTTTTTTTTTCTTTTTTTTTTGAGTTGGGGTTTTGCTCTTGTTGCCCAGGCTGGAGTGCAATGGCACAATCTCTGCTCACGGCAACCTCCGCCTCCCGGGTTCAAGCAATTCTCCTGCCTCAGCCTCCTGAGTAGCTGGAATTGCAGGCATGTGCCACCACGCCTGGCTAATTTTGTATTTTTAGTAGAGACGGGGTTTCTCCATGTTGGTCAGGCTGGTCTCGAACTCCCAACATCAGGTGATCGCCGGCCTTGGCCTCCCAAAGTACTGGGATTACAGGCCTGAGCTACCGTGCCCGGCCTATGTAGGCTATTTTAAAGACTGTGGGCCATTTTAAAGATGTGGATTTTGCTTTGAATAAAATGAGAACTGTATGCTATTCGTCCTCCTCCAGGAAGCCCTCCTTGACTGTCTCTGGTTAGATTAGGTGCCTCTGTACTCTCACAGCCTCTTGGGCTTCCCCCATAGTAGCACTTATCTATGGTAAATAATTGCTTCATTATCATCTGTATTGCCTGCTCAATTGTGAGCTCCATGAGGACACACTGAAATTATGTTGATTATAGGGGATCTTTGTGAGGATATAGACAGAAATAAGAAAGTCAAGTCAAGATATATAGCCACACGGTTAGACTTCACAGAGATCATAAAAAAACTTAGAGAACTAGAACTGGTTCAGGATACAGCATAGTTCTAGAAATTAGGTGATTTCATTGCTGCCTCTGAATTGGGCATTCATTGATCTCTACTCTTATGTTTCACCGTTATGGTCACTTAGTACTCTGTCCTTGCTTCTATGGCACCCAACACTTCCAACCAATAAGAGTTTATATTTCCAAGGAAAAGGATCTTGTTGGTTTGACCATACCCTAGTCACTAACTCTGTTGGGCAGAGATTTCTTGTTGAGCCACACTGTGGATTCTTGGTCAGCCAATAGATTGGCTGTCTTTGGGTCTGATCTTCATCTTTTTTTTTTTCTTTTCTTTTGAGACAAAGGTTTTCTCTTGTCACCCAGGCTGGAGTGCAATGGCGCAATCTTGGCTCACTGAAGCCTTCGCCTCCTAGGTTCAAGCAATTCTCCTGCTTCAGCTTCCCGAGTAGCTAGGACTACAGGTGCGCACCAGCACGCCCAGCTAATTTTTTTGTACTTTTAGTAGAGACACACCAATTCTGGTTTCAACATGTTGGCCAGGCTGGTCTCGACCTCCTGACCTCAGGTGATCCGCCCGCCTTGGCCTCCCAAAGTGCTGGGATTACAGGTGTGACCCACCGCACCCAGCCAGGTCTTCATCCTTGATCCAGTTTGCTGTGGCCAGGGTGGTAAAGTCACTTAATACCACATGTGGTCATCTATACATAAGAAAGCACCCAGGGCCCCTCCTCTTGGTCAAGAGCTGTAGATGTAGCAGCCACTCATCGGATAATAGATTCCTCTCCAGTACAGCTTAGCATAGTGATTGGCAAATAGGAAATATCAATAAATCCATCAATCTTGTATAGAGTCCTCCTCTCTCAAGGGCCCAGCACAGTCCCTGGAACAGAGTAGACTAAAATAATTATTTTGGAATAGTAGGCCAGTGTATCCAGACAGCATAGCACAGAAAGAAGCAATGTAGAGTAGTGGTTATGCATGTGGATTCTTGTCCTAGACTGCTTAAGTTCAAATTCCAACTCTGCCACCTAGCAACCCTATGACCTTAAGTAAGCTACGTAACCTGTCTGAGACTTAGTTCTTATGCCTGTAAATGAGGCCACAAATGACCCCAACACCATAGGAGTGTTGGGTGCATTACATGAGACAATACACAAAGTACTTTTCTGCATTCCTGGCACATAGTGGTGCCTCGATGGATAGTAGTGCCAGTGCTATTATTTTTGTGAGACTCGTGCTAATGAACATGGAGCTCTAGGCCAAATACTAGTCTGGAAGACAGTAGTCATCATACTATGCAGAGAGCTTCCTAAGGACACACCAGTTCTGAGATGTTCAGGGCCATTGTCACTAGCAAACCCACTGTCTTCCCTGTGCCCTCACCCACCAGGTTATAAGTAACCTGGAGTTTATGGGTCATCCAGACAACTGTTGCTGACTTTAACAAAGAAAGATACTAGGACCCAAACCTTTCTGGGTCCATAATAAATATATTAGTTATTGGTCAACCCGCTGCTATACCTTTAATCTGAAGTGAGGTGGTATCCAGGCAGAGTACGGAGAGAGAGGGAGGCGGGGGCAATGACCACAGCCAAGGATTCTGTAAGTCATAACTCGGTTTCTATGCAAGTTAACCTTAATATATCCAGCATGGAGAAGCCGACTGGTCACCACTTCTAGGCACAAAAGGATCAATGAGAAGGTCGAGGCAGAGACAGATGTCTGCATTTACATGAATATAGACATGTGTGAGGTTGGGGGCTCATTCAGGGCTGGGGCAAGCCCTAGCCCTACACCTTCTTGAACCCCTCTTCAGGCTGGCATACAAACTGGGACTGAGAGCAGATGGAAGGTGAGGCTCTTCTTTGGGACCTACTTAGTCAAGAAGGGCTCACAATGGAGGAGATGACAGGAAGGTTTAGGGAAAGGAATAGGAGTACCTGCCTTGGCTTGGGGTGTGTTGAGGGGTTGGAGGGGTGATGGGCACTGGGAAGGAATAGAGAGAACAGATGGAAGATGGAGTCCCTGCTGCAAGCTGAGCCCTCAGTAGACTGGGCAAGGAACAAGGAGAGATCCCCTTTCCACCAGAGCACCGTAGTGGCCTGCGGTGGACAGGAGCCTGAACAGCTTCCCTTTAGGGCTTTCTGGGGCAGTATGGCCAGGCCTCCTAGTTCCCTCCAGGTGCTCCAACTGTGACAGAGCCTTCCATTTGGCCTGCCCGCACAAGGAGCACCACACAGCCACGCCAACTCCACCTTTACTGTGCACAGCACCCTTGTGGCTTTCAGGCACACTTGTCAAGGGAGAAGCTTTTATCCAGGCAACTAATTGTCTGTTTCCCCACTAATTCAGCTATGAATTTCCTTTGAGGAAATGGTGCCTCAGATACCACCAGGGGGCACTAGGGCCTCTAGGCACCAGGGGCCAAGGAAAATGAAATCCCCTTTCATGAAGGCCCCAAGTCCAGGTTCTGAGCCTCCTGCAGCAGTTCTCTCCAGCAACACCTTGGCGCAGCAGACCAGGGAGGCCGCGTTGTTGGCTTATCTAATGAGAAATGAGAGGACTGGGCCAAAGAGCCCTATTTCTGTCCAGCCCTATACTACCTGCCATAAAATTAAATGATCACAATGAGTACATTAATTACCTGACACGAATGCTTTAACATAACAAAATTATTAGCCATTCTAGATTTAGTGTTTGTACAGCACTTTATATTTGCAAGGGCGTTGCAATAACTTACGCTGCTGAGGGTGCGTTTCAGGCCCCAAACGACATCCTAAAGGGTTTCTTCTGGCCAGCCAGCTGTCTGGCCTCTCCACAGCTGGTCCCCTGCCCTTCTTGTCTTCACTGACTGCTTTTCTTCTCCAGCTGCCACCTGGCGTCTCCTCCTTGCAGCTCCTTCATCTGTTCACTGAATCCCTTTTACCTCAGACAGCCATGAGACAGTGTCTTCACTTGTGCCCATGTTACCTACCTGATCCTGCATCAGAATTAAAGGGCTTAAGGGCAGCAGCCATGGGTCGGGTGGGTCTTGGTGCCCAACAAGCCTCTCTCCTGTTCTGCTAGCTGTGGCTGCAAGTGTGGACACGTGATGGACTCTGCAAACAGTAGGGGCTCTACTATGTAGGGGCTCCGAGTTTTGGGCCTGATGTTGCTCGAACTCCACAGGAACTGACTGCACGTCCCGCCTCAGTTCATTTGTTGAGTGCTCACCTTACCCACATGAGAGCAAGCCCCGGGTCCTTGGGGAGCATGGCATTGAGGAGACTCACTACTGTGCAGATTCAATTCCAGACTGGATGGGATATCACAGGAGACCGCACTAGTAAAACTTGTTGCAGTTGGCTTGAGTGTGAAATCTGCTTCCCAGGCAGAGAGATCAAAGCCCAGTTGATGGATGTGTGTGTACCCAGCTCTCCTTGCTTGCTTTCATCTTCCTTCCAGAAAGAGGAGTAAACATTCAGCTAGTGAGCACTGCAGGTGTTCCCTTGAGTGGAAAGGAATATCACTGACAGCACATAAGACCACCAATGAAGGTATCCATGAGGATACCAAGGGCCTCAAGGAGGATCAAAACGAAGGGCATTTGCAGCAGCAGTTCTAGAATTTTAAGGTAGGAGCATCTTTGGGGCAGCAGCCATTTGGCTGGAAGGCAGCTGGGGAGATGTACCTTGAAGCTACATTTGTATAGCTCATATGATACAGATCAAATGTTTCCTAACGTGTTTTTAGTCATACTTTATGGAAGCTGAGAAAACATCTATTTTTATTTTTATTTTTATTTTTTTATTATACTTTAAGTTTTAGGGTACATGTGCACATTGTGCAGGTTAGTTACATATGTATACATGTGCCATGCTGGTGCGCTGCACCCACTAACGCGTCATCTAGCATTAGGTATATCTCCCAATGCTATCCCGCCCCCCTCCCCCCACCCCCATGTCCAAAAACATCCATTTTTAACATGAAGTATATCATAGTGCATAGTATAGTGGTTAAGAGCAGAATCAAGAGGTGGACTGCTTGGCTACAAATGCCACCTTCATCATTAACCAGCTAGGTGACTTCAGGCAAGGGCTTTAGCTTCTTTGTGCCTCAATCTCCTCATCTATAAAATGTGGATAACTGTAGTGTCTGCATCAGACTTGCCGTTAGGATTAAGTGAATTAATCCACATAAGCCATTTAGCATGTGCTCATTAAGAGTTAGCTGTTATTATTTATTGAGACAGACTTGGAAGGGCCTGGTATTTGGGAGTAAATTTCCAAGTCATTCAAAGTGAGGGAGATAGGGAGAGGGATTCAAGATTTAGGCTAACAGGGGTGTGTGCTGTGGGGTATTGAGGAGCCTCCTAGTAAAGTCCAGAGAATTCCACCTCTAAAGGGGTCTTTGAGGGGAAAGGGCTGTGCTCCAGGTGATCAAAGACCCTCAGCCTTTCTGTGTGCATCAAGTTTGGAGGTTGGGAGCTCCCCAACAACTCCTTTGACTGGACTAGATGTTGCACCAAATGGTAGTAAGGAAAATGAAGCATTCTCTTGCTTTTCCAAGCATAGTCTGGGGGACTCTCCCTAGTCCAAGACACAGCCCCCATCAGACCAGCTGGACTGGAGGACCCTACTCCTCCTGCCCGCCCCCACTGCCCTCCAGGCTCTCTGCCTCCTAGAGACTCTGAAACAGTGGCTGCACCAAGGGAGGGGACATCTGGGTTCCTGGCCCTGACCCAATGGGGAAATGGAGTAGAAATGAGCCAGGCATGCAACGAAACTTCGTCCCTGGTGAGGTCCTGGTAAGTCCCAGGCCCACAGGCTGAGGGTCCTGGGGCATGTAGTGCCACATCTCCCTCTTCAGTGAAACAAGAGGCTCTCACAGAGTTCCTCTGAAAGCCTCTTTCATCAACAAGTCCATTTGTGATTCTGTCTCTTCTTGTGGTGACCACCAGGAAAACGAGAGAGCAGAGCTGCATTCTAGGGTTTTGCTATGACTCTTCTAGGCCCAATCTTAAAACTGAGATGATCATGCCAAACCCCCAGCTCCTCCCCTACACTCCAGACTCAGAGTAAGCTCATTCACCAGGCAAGTGCAAAAAGACCTAGAAGATCTGCCCAGCCAAGAAGGTATGTATTTCCTCCTTGAAACAGCATTTTCAGGAAGACTCTAGATTAAGAATTAGAAAGCCAATGGGAAAACTTCTGACCTTATTGCTTGAGGCGATCCTCTTGCCTAGAGGTCTTCAAAGGTGATTCCTTAGGTCAGGAAGAAAATAGTAGAACTACAATTTATATGTAGTTTTACTGTTAAAATAATGAGCTTTACTGATATTTTACATGAGCATTGAGATGGACATCTTCACTCTTTAAGTCATTTGGTCACCTGTCATGTGAGGGACACGATGCACGCTGAAGGCAGATGGAGATCTCAACAATGTAAGAGTTGACAGTGGTGCCTATGATATGTTGCAGTTAGCATGTGCCTAGTTAAGCGATTTGCTGATTATGTTAACCAGTTTTAGCTAAACATGTCCATAGAATGAACAGATGGTTTAAAAAGATTCCTGCAGATCGGGCATGGTGGCTCACACCTGTAATACTAGCACTTTGGGAGGCTAAGGCGGGTGGATCACCTGAGGTCAGGAGTTCGAGACCAGCCTGGCCAACATGGTGAAACCTCGTCTCTACTAAAAAATACAAAAATTAGCCTGGCGTGGTGGTGGGCGCCTGTAATCCCAGCTACTCAGGAGGCTGAGGCAGGAGAATTGCTTGAACCTGGGAGGCGGAGGTTGCAGTGAACCGAGATCACACCATTGCACTCCAGCCTGGGCAACAAGAGGGAAACTCCGTCTTAAAAAAAAAAAAAAGATTTCTGCAAAGAAAATATGACTTGAAAATAATACAAAAATTCAAACACAAGCCATCACGTCTACTCCTAGTAGGAGCTGTTAGCCAGATGATCAGATATAAGCAATTACAAGCTAATCAGATCTGACAAGAAGTCAGCAAAAACTTTTTGAAATTATTAAGAAGAGTATTTGAAACATAGATATACATACATTCTAATGAATTCTGCCCTAAGCATATATTGTACCATAAGACATTAGCTGATAGTGATAATTTATAAATAAACATATGTATATTAGGGGAATGTATACTTTTTTTACAGATAGGTAGACATGATCAAGAAATTGGGGACCACTATTTTAGCTTATCTGTGGGTCAGGTTTTTTCATCATAAAATGAAAAGGATTATTGTTTTTCGGAAAAGTGATAAGATGAAACTTTATTTCTCTTAATTTGTGATATGTTATTTAGTGTCTGCACTGTCATTTTCTAACTATGAAAACTTGTATGTTTCTTAAAATTATCTGAACTGTGCTTTGCTATATCTATAGATCATTATAGGGTTGTTATGAGAATTATATTAAAAATTTTAAATGTCTGCCATACTGTGGGCCCTTAATAAGTGGCTATATTACTACACATAAAGATATTGCTGAGCAGAAATAATAGGATTAATAAATTAATAAGATAATATTTTGGCACAAAAATTTTTTAAGTGCCTTGAAAGTACCAACTCACTTGAAAATTGCTATGCTGATTAAAATTGACCACTTACCACTCATCGAAAACCACCATGCCAGGCTTTAGGCTAAGTGCTGAGGATAGAGAGATGAGTTTGTCATAGACTCTGGAGACTAGAATTTGGAGCTGGCTTAGTTTAGATGACTATAACAGCCTCCTGCCTAGTCTCCCTGCCTGCATTGTCCCTCACTATTCCCTGGCTCCAGCTTCCACCATCATGTGACTGACAAACCAGTCTTCCTCATCATTTTCATCATTCATTCCCATGCCTGAAAACCTTGTGCTATTACCTCTTCATTTGCTATATACTATCTTATATTATTCAGTAATTTTTATTCCAGTTACTCTTCTCATCTCAGCTGAAACTGTTATAGTTAGTACTTAGAACTTATAGATAAGGTTGCCTTTGAGAGAATTTAACTTAATCAACAGGTGACGAAAGGAGCCCAACCTCTCTGAGGCTCTTGGGAACAGCTACTTGACCACTAATCAGTGGTATTAACACATCTGAGGAAAGAAAGATGTGGTCTGCAATGCGACTTGGAATAGAGGAAAGCCAGAGAGATAAACTTTAGCTGGATGCACCCAACATTATCTGTGGGACAAAGATATTGGAAATAGGGGAGCCTGGGAATTTCAATCATTCCTTCAGGCCTATTTGTTTCTTCTGGCTGGTAAGAGGTCCTGCTTTATGTCTGTTATATTTCTCTGGTTAAGGTACTTAGCATTCTTCTCATCTTTGATCCCCTGGATGAAATATTCTCTTTTTTATTGTGAGTTGTGAGAATACCATCAGGGTACTAGTTTACTAATTCTACCTTCCAGGTACCCACAGACTGAGGTGAGGTGTCTCTGCTAAGATGTAATACATTCTGGTCAATGGAAAATTATATCTTCATTGTGACTTAATTAGCTGGTATTCTGGTTTACACTTCTGAATTTATTCTTTGTGAGTCTGATTATCTAAGTCTCATAATCTCAGTTTATGTGAATCTGATAGTTAGGTAAAGGTCTTAGTGAAAAAGATGTAATTATGGACCAAGAGAAAATATAGAACATTTTTTAAAACTTGTGGTTGAAATGCTTCTTTTAAGTAGGACATAAAATCTCGAAGCTGTAGAGGAAAAAAATTAAAATTTAAAACTGTATAATAAAAAACTATAAACAAATTTGAAAGACATGATAGGCTGGGATCACATATTTGCAACATACATAATAAATAAAGGATTAATAGCTATAATATATGAAAAGAACCTAATAATGAATAAGGAAAAGCCAACCCAAAAGAAAAACAGGTGAAGGATATGAATTAGAAAAGTCACAGAAAATATGTTCGATATTAATATGTCTAATAAACATTTGAAAAATAGTTCAAGTTCACTTTTAACTAAAGAAATGAAATTAAATTAGCAGTGATATGCCCCTTCCATAAGATTGATGTAATTTTAAAAAGATACATGAGAGGGTGTCTTAGTTTGGGCTGCTGTAACAAAGTATCATAGACTGGGTGGCTTATAAACAACAGGAATTTATTTCTCAAAGATCTGGGGGCTGGAAGCCTGAGATCAGGGTTCTGGTGAGGGCTTGCAGACAACACAGTTGCACACAGCCAACTCTTCTGGGTTGCAGACAGCAGACTTCTTGTATCCTCACTTGGTTGAAAGAGGACAAGAGAGCTCTCTAGGGTCTTTTTTGCAAATGACCTAATTAACTCCTGAAGGCCCTACCTCCTAATACCCTCACATTGGCGGTTTGAATTTCAACATATGAATTTGGAGGGGACATAAACATTCACTCCATAGCAGAGAGATGTGTCACTGCTATTCAACTGAAAAATTGATATACAGTTGATGAGGGTGTGGGGAAACCGATATTTTCAAATACTGCTAATAGGATATAAGTTGGTACAGCTTCTTTTAAAGCATTTATCAAACTGCCTCTTGCTATTATACTTGAAGGACAATCTGGCTAACAAAATTCATAGACTTTATTTTCTTCCCCTCAGAACTCGAAGTCATTGTCCTGTTGTTTCTCTGACGTTGCTTTAGTTCTTTTACCCCAGTAGCTTCATTCATCTCGGTTGGTTCAACTTAAGTATTTTTTTTCCCCAGAAAAGCATCTTATGCCCTTTATTCCCTACATTCTCACTTGTTTGAGAATGTCTGTCTTTGGCTTGTATAAATAAATGACAACTTGACCAGATATAGTATTCTCAGGCTCACTCTATGTCTCCTGAAACTGCAACCATTGAATGTTTCTGTGAGGTCTGAGGGCCAGCCTGATTCTTCCTTCTTTTAGGTGACCTGCTTTTTCTGCTTGGATGACTGAGGAGTTCCTTTTTCTTTTTTATTATTATTATTATTATTATACTTTAAGTTTTAGGGTACATATGCACAATGTGCAGGTTAGTTACATATGTATACATGTGCCATGCTGGTGTGCTGCACCCATTAACTCGTCATTTAGCATTAGGTATATCTCCTAATGCTATCCCTCCCCGCTCCCCCCACTCCACAACAGTCCCCAGAGTGTGATGTTCCCCTTCCTGTGTCCATGTGTTCTCATTGTTCAATTCCCATCTATGAGTGAGAACATGCGGTGTTTGTTTTTTGTCCTTGCGATAGTTTACTGAGAATGATGATTTCCTTTTTCATTCTTAAAGTTGAATAATTTAATCAGGATAGATCTTGGTTTCAATTATGCATTATCAGTTTTTCTTGGAGCACAGTATATCCTTTTAATGTAGAGATTCAGTTCTCCATAGTTCTTCATATCAGAAAAGTTTCTTCTGTTATATATTAAAACACCTCTTCTTGCCAGGCACAGTGGCTCACGCCTGTAATCCCAGCACTATGGGAGGCCGAGGGGAGCGGATCATGAGGTTGGGAGATGGAGACCATCCTGGCTAACACAGTGAAACCCCGTCTCTACTAAAAATACAAAAAATTAGCCGGGCATGGTGGCAGGCAGCTGTAGTCCCAGCTACTCGGGAGGCTGAGGCAGGAGAATGGCATGAACCTGGGAGGTGGAGCATGCAGTGAGCCGAGATAGGGCCACTGCACTCCAGCCTGGGCAACAGAGCAAGACTCGTCTCAAAAAAAAAAAAAAAAAAAAAAAAAAAACCCTCTTCTTTTTAATTTGTTGTGTTCTTCAAGGATGCCAATTTTCTTTTGGCTATATCATCTTTATGTGCCTTCTTTTTTTTATTATTTATTATTATTCTTTTTGAGACAAGGTCTCACTTTGTCACCTAGACTGGAGTGCAGTGGCACAATCAGAGCTCACTGCAGCCTCAACCTCCCAGGCTCAAGCCATCCTCCTACCTCAGCCTCTCAAGTAGCTGGGACTACAGGTATGTGCCACCATGCCTGGCTAATTTTTTATTTTTTGTAGAGAAGTGTCTTGCTATGTTGCCCAGGCTGGTCTCGAACTCTCAGATGCAAGTGATCCTCCCGCCTTGGCCTCCCAAGTGCTGGATGACAGGGGTGAGCCACTGTGCCCGGCCTCTTCTATATTTTTAAATCTTCTTTCAAATTTTTTAGAAAATTGACCATTTTCTCTTATTCACTATTATTAGATCATGAATTTCTTTATTTATAAGTTATGCATAGTGTTAACTGGGTCCCTAATTTGTCTCCTCTGCTCTACAGTGTCTCTTTTCATCTCATTCTGTTGTTTTATCATGTTGTCTTTGCATTCTTTTATTTAATTATTTAATTTATGGTTTTTTATTCCTTTCTTTTTTTTCTTTTTTTGGCTCACTGCAACCTCCGCCTCCCAGGTTCAAGTGATTCTCCTGCCTCAGCCTCCTGAGTACCTGGGATTACAGGTGTGTACCACCATGCCCGGCTAATCTTTGTATTTTTAGTAGAGACAGGGTTTCACCAGGTTGGCCAGGCTGATCTTGAACTCCTGACCTCACGTGATCCACCTGCCTCGGCCTCCCAAAGTGTAGGGATTACAGGCGTGAGCCACCGTGCCCAGTCATTTAATTCATGTTTTTTTAAATTTCTTCTATGGCATGAAGCACTCATGGACAATTTTCTCTTCCTCTGGTATTACTTTCAACACTCCACTCCTTATCTTTTTTTTTTTTTTTTTCACTCCATGGTTCCTTTCCTTCTTTGTTTCTTTTTCCTTTTCATTATGCTATGTTATATTTTCACATTTATTATACTGATGTTTTGGAGGAATTCTTCCATGATATCCATCCAATCTTATCTAGTCTCAGGAGTGGGCACATACGCAGGCAAGACCAATCAGTGTTCCAAGACAATTGATAAATATATGTCTTGTTTCTTTTCTACATTATATTGCCTTGGTTTTGAATCCTCAGAAAAGTGCTTTATAAAATACTTCGGATAGCAGTCATAGCAGCTAAGCACTCCCTTACCCTCACCATATATTGTCAGGCTACAGATATGTAGACTAGCCTAGTCCACCCTCAAACTCTAGCTCTTAGGTAAAAAACAAACTCTAATTCACAGGTCATCTCCTTGAGGGGCTTTCTCTTACTATCTTTCCTAAGGATACCCAAACTCTAGTTACTCTATTACAGCACTTCTGAGGAGGTCTTTGTGTGTCTTCAAAACGTTTGTCACTATTTCAGAGTATCTTATTTATTTGCTTATTATTTAATGTTTCTCTGACTCTTGGAATGTAAGTTTCATGACAGAAGGGACCTTGTCTCTCTTGTTAAGTTTCTGTATCCCCAGCATCAAGAACAGAGCCAAAGAAGATAATTGTTTCAAAAAATATTTATTTTCAATTTTATTATAAATTATGAAGTGAACATTCTTAGCATACATCTTTTTGAGTCATTTAAATGATCTCTTTTTTACTTTAAGTTCTGGGATACATGTGCTGAATGTGCAGGTTTGTTACCTAGGTATACATGTGCCACTGTGGTTTGCTGCACCTATCAACCTGTGATCTAGGTTTTAAGCCCCGCATGCATTAGGTATTTGTCCTAATGCTCTCCCTCTCCTTGCCCTTAAATGATCTCTTTAGAGTACATTGCTGGAAGTAGGATTACTATGTCAAGAGGTACACACATTTTATATTATGTTACCCATAGCCAAACTATTTCTAGAAACGTGGTTCACACTTATACCCTCAAGAAAAGTGCAGGTGAGTGCTCATTCTCCTCACCTACAGTGGATTCGGTCAATCTTCCTAGTCTTCACCAACCTATAAGTAAAATATAATAGTTCATTGTTTTATTTATTTTTTTTATTTAGGCTATTAGCCATTTGTAGTTCTTAATTTGGGAATTGTCCATCATGCAATTTCACCATTTTCTATTGGGTTGTTAGTTTTTTTTGTTCATTTATGATCTAATTGGATATATGTTATTAGCTCTTTTAAATTGAATATTATAAACATTTTCTCTATTTGTTATTTGTCTTTCAGTCTTATTTATGGCCTTTCTTGATAGGCAGAATGTGCACATTTGTATGTAGTTAATATTTTCCCTTTATGGCTTCTGGGTTTTGGGATATGTTCTGAAAGACCTTCTTCACCTCCAAGATTATACAAATATTTACCCATGTTTTCTTCAAGTATTTTTATGGTTTTATGTTTTTCTCTAGGTCTAAGGAGTGAGGTAAGGATACAGCTTTATTTTTTTCCAAATGACTGGACAGTTATTCCAAAATCTTTTGCTGAATTATTCAGTGTATCTCCACTGATAACATTTAGTGATTATTTATCATGTGCCAGACACTAAATCCTCTACATACCTAATCTAGTTTAATCCTTACATCAAGTGGTGACAAAACGAGATTTGCATTTATAGCACACACTCGCACAGTTTGTCTTTAATGTAGAAAATAGATTGGCGGGGCATAGATAGATAGATAACGGGATTATGGGAATCAGCTGATGCAATTATGGAAGCCAAGAAGTCCCACAATATGCCTTCCACAAGCTGTAGATCCTAGGAAGCTGGTGGTGTAATATATCTGAGTCCAAGGTCTGAGAACTGAGGAGCCAATGATGTAAGTCCCAGAGTCAGAAGGCCCAAGAACCTAGAACTCTGATGTCTGAGAGCAGGAGAAGATAAGTGTTCCAGTTAAGAAGAGAGAAAGTGAATCCACCCTTCCTCCATCTTTTTGTTCCATCTGAGCCTTCAATGATTGGATGATGTCAGCCCACATTGGTGAGGGTGGATGTTCTTTACTCAATCTACTGATTCAAATGCTAATCTCTTCCAGAAACAGTCTCACAGACACACCCAGAAACAACGTTTTACCAGCCATCTGAGCATCCCTTAGCCCAGTCAAGTTGACATATAAAATTAACCGTTGCAGTGGGGGAAAGAATGATTGCAGGAAGACCCATTATTTATGTCATCCAGGCAAGAGGCTCCTTTGAAGCTCTGTATTCTAGCACCTTACTGTGCATGGCACATGGTAGGTAACAAGTGGAATGAAACTTTTCCATGAAAAATGATAGTGACTTGAACGGAGGTTGGGAGGGATGGCAGTAGAGATGGAAAAAAAAGTGAAAAAAATTGAGAAATAATTTGAAGACAGAATTAACAGGCCTTCATGATTATTTAAATATGGAGAGATGAGAGCAGGAAATGTCAAAGATGGCTCAGCTTTCTGGCAGAGATAGATTTAATGGAATATTGATGAGTTTACTTTTGAACAGGCTGAGTTGAAGGTACCTTGGAGATATCCATTTGAAGAAGTCAGGTAAGCAGTTAGATATATCAGTCCAGAACTCCAACAGCAAGGTATATTTGAGGAGCATATGCATGTTGTTAGTAACTGAAGCCATAGGAAAAGTTAAAATTACTTCAGGAAGGGATATTGAATGAAAAGGGAAGCACTCCTAGGACAGATCCCTGAAAAACTCTCCTACTTAAAGGTTTAATAGAACACAAAGGAGGAGTCAGCAAAAATGTTTGCAAAAGGGCAGCTGGAGAGATAAGAGGAATTGGGAGAGTGTGGTGTTTCAGAAGACAGGAAAGAGAATAATTAAGGAGAGAGTTCAGGGTAATTCTAAGAGAGCAAATGAAATGATGGGCCATGAACTGTAAGCTCGACAAATGGGGAAGTGAAGACAAGAAGGGAGTAATAGAAAGAAAGGGGTCAATAAACTGATATTCAAATGAAAGGGAAGAATAGTTGCAGTTGGACTAGCTTAATAATGAGCTGGAAGCATAGGTGCTTGTGGTCAGAAAGTAGACTATCTGAATTAGTGATTTTAGAAGTAGAGAGAATTTTAGGTCATGATGACAAGATCCAGGGGGTGACTGTGAAGGCGGGTGGTTGAATAGCAATGTAGGAGGACATGGGAGATACTCTGGGTCTCTCTTGAGGATTCTGAAGTCACTTAGGATGATGGCAGTACTCATGGCACAAGAGAAGACAGTAAGCCAAGTGCCACTGTCTTCTGTGAGGTGGGGAGATTACAGTTACCAATCACGGAGAGAGTAGTAGGGGTTTTCACAAAAGGGTGGAAAAGCAGTGGACTCTGAGTAGCACTGGGAAGCATCCTCATCTCCTGACAGTACATAGGTGTAAGAATATGAGCGGATCTCTCTTGAGGGAGCTGCAGGGTAAGTGGTGTAGAGAGAGCCAGGTTTAGATAAGGCATGAGGTGGCAGGAACATTCAGAGAAAAGTGTTTGAGGGCACAGGAGAGTTGAAATTCCAAAGGGCAAATGGAAGGTTTTGGCAGGGAGAGAAGAGAGGGGTTGGATACTTCCACACTTAAGGAAGTATGTAGCATTTTAGGAATGATAGCTCATATAGGACAAATATGGGAAGAGACAAAGTATCTATATTTGGAGCTTTGACCTATGACAATAGGAATGAAACTTGATAGGTTTAGTCTCACTTAGCCCTCAGAGAAGAGTGGACACAAGGGCTTAAAAAAAAGTCAGCTGTGGTCTGGAAAGTCCTGCAAACATTTCTTCTCACGCAGAGATGTGATTAGTCATAGGAGATGCAGCAGAGGATAATAGTAGGGAACAAAAAAGCTTGAAGTTCAAGGCTCTTTGAGGAGAGGGATGAACAGTGGCTCTAACAAGATTGGATTAGACCCAGGATCCACTGGTACCCTGTTTAATCAAGGCTTGGAGGTCTGGATGTTTGTAGCTTGGGATAGGGTGGATGTGAAAGGAGGAAGTGAAGGGTGGCCCAGGAGTGCTTCGGCAGCACATACGCTAAAATTGGAATGATACAGAGATTAGCATGGCCCCCTGCACAAAGGATGACACAAACATTTGTGAAGCCTTTCATATTTAAAAAAAAAAAAAGAATGGCCTTTTCTTTTTTCTTTTTTTTTTTTTTTTAGACAGAGTCTTGCTCTGTAGCCCAGGCTGGAGTGCAGTGGCACAATCTCGACTCACTGCAACCTCCACCTCCCAGGTCAAGAAATTCTCCTGCCTCAGCCTCACGAGTAGCTGGGATTACAGGCATGCTCCACGATGCCCAGCTAATTTTTTTTGGCATTTTTTAGTAGAGATGGAGTTTCACCATGTTGGCCAGGCTGGTCTTGAACTCCTGACCTCGTGATCCTCCTGCCTCAGCCTCCCAAAGTGCTGGGATTACAGGCGTGAGCCATCGCGCCTGGCCAAAGAATGGTCTTTTCTTGACCCTAGATCTATAGGTGCAGATACAGTTTAGAACTTCGGATATCTGTTGTATTACAAGTTTTAATTTTACTCCCCAAGTATAGATATAACAGCTAAACTATTATTTTTAAATATTTTCACTTGTTCTTACAGGTTAAATATTTAAATTATTTGGGCCATTTTCCCCAAATTTTACTCTTATTTTAGCATATTCTATATTTGCTTAATTTTTAATTTAAGTAATTGTTTTTATTAAGTTAATGTCAACAATAAAAATTGGTTTCGAGTTGGTATAGTGATAGAATTCAGAAGTCTTAACAAAACTGAAAGTTGTCACACATTTCAGGAGGTAAAGTATAAAGCTTAGTTTTTAATTTGTCCTTTCCTTGCCAACACTTTATAGAATCAATAGAAAATACATTAGCAGAACTAGGCCAGTATCATACACAGTGCACTTTCCTCACCACCCTCAGCTCCTTGTAACTTCTTGCTCCACTGAATTTCTGAGAACCTTTTTGTCTCTAATACTCACTTGGTACTTTTTACGGATATATTCCATTCTTTTCTCTCTGTGGAAGCTTTTTGTTTTTTATCTATATATAATCAATTTAAGATGCATATTTTTCCACATTTTAACAGCTCTGAAATGGGGATGCATCTTATAATCTAAACTATCTTTGATTTGATAATGTACAGTACTTTGTATCACTCCCCCAAACAGCCTAGTATAATTCCTAACACACAGTAAGCACTGAAAAAATGTTTGTTTATTGATTGATTATATGTAAATTAAGAAGAGGTCATATAATTCGAATTATTACTTAAATACAAATGTTAACCTGACCTCTAGCACATCCTCGAACTCTTAACGTTCATAAGTTTTTAATTCAATAAAATGTGAGATCATTTCAAAAAAGAGGAAATGGGCCAGGCATGGTGGCTCATGCCTGTAATCCTAGCACTTTGGGAGGCTGAGGCAGGTGGATCACCTGAGGTCAGGAGTTTTAGACCAGCCTGGCCAACATGGCAAAACCTCTACTAAAAATACAAATTAGCCCAGTGTGGTAGCGCATGCCTGTAATCCCAGCTATTCGGGAGGCTGAGGCAGGAGAATTGCTTGAACCTGGGTGGCAGAGGTTGGCGTGAGCCAAGATCATGCCACTGTACTCCAACCTGGGCAACAGAGAGAGACTCCATTTCAAAAAAAAAAAAAGAAAAGAAAGAAAGAAAGAAATGAATAAGGAAAATTTAATTATTTGCCTGCTTTTATAATATTTAAAAATGGATTTAATATTTAAAAGGCATTCCTTAATAATACCTACCTTACTTTTGTGTAAAATTTGTTACACACACAAAAAAATTTCTGCAACACAGGAAGAAAAATCTATTAGAAGAGAGAGTATATGATTTACCTGAGTTCTACAACTAGTAAATGTCTTGGCTTCTTGCTTATAGTACTCGTTCTTTTTACTAGACTCTCTTGTTCCATGGAAAGGCAGATATACAAAATGCATTCTTAAATGCAACCCGTTTTTGCAGAGTGCTTTTTAAAAGTGATTGCCATGAAGTGAAATTCTAACTGCATATGTGCTGCTGCATTCATTTCTTTCTAGTCTTCAAAAGAAAGGAATGGAAAAGATACAACAGAGCTGAAGTATAATTGCTTATTAGGTGTCGTTCAATGAGGGAGGCAGTAAAAAGTGAAACTAGTATTATTGCATAGTAAAGAGCACCTTATTTAGCTCTTGGGAAAGATTGAAGGATATTTACTGCAAAAATGCAATTTTCTCCGACTTCAAAGGAATCATCACAAGAGTCAACCCATTTTCCAACTTAGAACCTTTAAGTCATTCCCATGATGTGTTTCTATTCCTTTGTCTCACGTGGCTCCTCTGCAATTCCTCTTTCGTGCCACTCCATTGCTTAGCTTCTATTCGACTTTTGGAGGAACTTTCACTGCTACATATTGATTTCTGGGCTCTCCTTAGGTTAGGTTACCCCTTTCCTGCTTTTATTTTTATTGCAATAATATCTTTTTTTTTTTTTTTGAGACGGAGTCTTGCTTTGTTGCCAGGCTGGAGTGCAGTGGCCCAATCTCAGCTCACCACAACCTTTGCCTCCCAGGTTCAAGCGATTCTCCTCCCTCAGCCTCCCGAGTAGCTGGGATTACAGGTGCGTGCCACCATGCCCAGGTAATTTTTTTTCTTTCTTTCTTTTTTTTTTTAGAGACGGGGTTTCACCATGTTGGCCACGATGGTCTCGATCTCTTGACCTCAGGTGATCTGCCCGCCTCGGCCTCCCAAAGTGCTGGGATTACAGGCGTGAGCCACTGTGCCCGGCCTGATCTTCCTTTTTCAATTATTTCTTTATATTTAGTTAGTTTGTTTTGCTTTTTTAGCCATGTTAACTTTTTGAGAAGGTTACTTGATCTGAGTTTCAACTGTTTTATCTGTGAAATATGGATGAAAATACCTACCTATCAGGGTTTTTTTTGTGAAAATTAAGTGACACCACTTACTTAAAAGTGGCTAGTGGAATACCTGCTTCCTTTCATAGTTGGCTCTTCATAAAATATTATTCAGTTCAGGCTGGGCGCAGTGTCTCACGCCTGTAATCCCAACACTCTGGGAGGCCGAGGCGGGCAGATCACCTGAGGTTGGGAGTTCAAGACCAGCCTGACCAACATGGAGAAACCCCGTCTCTACTAAAGATACAAAATTAGCCAGGCACGGTGGTCCATGCCTGTAATTCCAGCTACTCGGGAGCCTGAGGCAGGAGAATTGCTTGAACCCGGGAGGTGGAGGTTGCCGTGAGCCGAGATCACGCCATTGCACTCCAGCCTGGGCAACAAGAGTGAGACTCTGTCTCAAAAGAAAAAAGAAAAGAAAAATTCAGTTTAGTACATCCCTTCAACGTGAACTCACTTTAATTCTTTGCCATGCTCTTGTATTAAATGCTATTGCCCGTAATTTACTCAAATTTTCCAAATTCATGTAATCTTCTTGCAGGCCGGCCGTGTAACTTATCTGGACACTTTGAGAGTGTAAAGGGGCAGGCACCATCAATTATTATGTTAAGACAACAGGTGTTAATTGGGACTGTCTTAGGCAAATTAGAATGTAGCCTATCAGCCCTCTCCTGGCTGTAGCAGACTCTGCTTTCTACCTTGGAATTACTTTCATGGTGCCCTTTTCAGGACCCCATTTCTTTTCTAACCTCTTCGCTGAGTATAAATTTTCCCCTTTGTCACCGCCACTATCAGTACCTATGCTTGGAACTGCATATGTTTGCTTTCTAAACCACCCAGTCTCCTTCACCGACTTCTCCATTTCCGTCAAAGACTAGAGCACACTTCAGAGTTTATCTCTGATTTTCCGTATTCCTTCAAGTCTCATATCCGGTCAGTTGGCAGTTTGTTTATTTAATTCTATAAGTCTTTATTGAGCATTTACTTTGTGCCAGATGCCAAGTGAAGCGCTAGGGATAAAACTACAAATAAGATATAATCCTGATGTACAAGAAGCTCATTTTTTTCAGAAAGAGAGTTAAAACAGATGGACGCAGTAGCCTGTAATCCCAGCACTTTGGGAGGCTGAGGCAGGTGGTTTGCTTGAGCTCAGGAGTTTGAGACCAGCCATGGACAACATGGCAAAACCCTGTCTCTACAAAAAAAAAAAACATAAAAAATTAGCCAGGTGTGGTGGTATGCACCTGTAGTCCCAACTTTGGGAGGCTGAGGTGGGAGGATCCCTTGAACCCCAGAGGTGGAGGTTGCAGTGAGCCAAGATCGAGCCACTGCATTCCAGCCTGGGCAACAAAGTGAGACCTTATTTAAAAAAAAAAAAAAAAAAAAAAGGGAAAAAAGAAAGAAAAAAAGTTAAACATGTAAAGAAATAATTACAATACAATGTAAATGCCAAAAGAGAGTCTTTGGTATAGTAGAGATGCTAACATGGAAGTTATCAACTCTGCTTGGGGTGGTTCCAGGAAGGTTTTGCAGAAATAAAGGCAAACTCTACCTGTAGCTGGTTGTATGAATTAATAAACATGTTATTACCTACTATATGCTAGATACTATGTTATGTACCAGGAATGCACTGATAAGCAAGACAGGCATCGGCCCTGTCTCTCTGGGGTTTATAGACTATTAGGGAAGGCAGACGGTATAAAAGCAAAGGGTATTAAAAAGGAGAAGAAAGGATGAGGCATCCTGTGAACACACAAAGAGGGAACTAGCCAACAATGCTTCCAGTTCCAGAACAGTTAAGCTGAAACCTGAAAAGATGACTAGGATTAGCTAGGTAGCTATTAAAATAGGTGGAGGTAGAGATTGATAGAAGAGGGAGAGAGCAAAGTCTTAAGGTGAGAGCATGCAAAGCACTGAAGCATTGAGAGAAGACCAATATGGCTGGAGAACAGAGAGAAGTGGAAATGCAGGTAGATGTCAGAACATACAAGACCTTGTGGATCATATTAAAGATTTTAGGAATTTATCCAAAGGTCAATGGGAAGCCTTTTTTTTTTTTTTTTTTTTTTTTTCCTGAGACGGAGTCTTGCTCTGTTGCCCAGGCTGGAGTGCAGTGGCACAATCTCCACTCACCTCAACTTCCGCCTCCTGGGTCCAATCAATTCTCCTGCCTCGGCCTCCCGAGTAGCTGAGATTACAGGCATGCACCACCATGCCCGGCTAATTTTGTATTTTTAGTAGAGATGGGTTTTCTCCATGTTAGTCAGGTTGGTCTCGAACTCCCCATCTCAGGTGATCCACCTGCCTTGGCCTCCCAAAGTGCTGGGTTACAGGCATGAGGGAAGCCATAATTTAAGCATTAAAAGTGATATACAGATTTGCTCTTTTAAAAAGGAGGCTGTTGCAATAGCTTGGACAACAGGTGATACTGGTTTAAAAAATGGAGAATAATGATGGTTTTTAGAAATATCTAGATGGTATAATGGCAAAATTAGTGGCCGGGCATGGTGGCTCACGCCTGTAATCCCAGAACTTTGGGAGGCTGAGGCAGGTGGATCACCTGAGGTCGGGAGTTTGAGACCAGCCTGACCAACATGGAGAAACCCCATCTCTACTAAAAATACAAAATTAGCCCAGCGTGATGGTGCATCCCTATAATCCCAGCTACTCGGGAGGCTGAGAATTGCTTGAACCCGGGAGGTGGAGGTTGCAGTGAGCTGAGATTGTGCCATTGTACTCCAGCCTGGGCAACAAGAGTGAAACTCTGTCTCAAAAAAAGAAAGAAAAAAGGCAAAATTAATAATTGATATGGTATGGATGGTGGAAAAGGAGTAGTCAACGATGACTCTCAGATTTCTGCCTTGAACCACTGGTTAGCTGGTAGGGTTATTTACTGAGTTGAGGAACACCAAAGGAGGAGATGGTTTGGGAATGAAGATGATAAGTCCAGATTTGCGTATGCAGAGTTTGAGGTGCCAGTGAAATATTCAGGTTAGGTAGGCTATTGGGTATGAGGGTCTGAAGCTACAGATTGAAGAGCTTTAGGTATATCCATTGTAAGAAAGCCATAGGAGTAAATACATTTACCTCAGGAAAAACTCAAAGTGGGAAGAGAAGTGTACATTCAACAGAACCCTGGAAAACATTGAATGGTCCATAAAGATGTGTCAAAAATGGGTAAGAATGAGCTACTAGTGAGGTAAAAAGAAAATCAGAAAGGCGTGATGTCCACAAAGTCAAGGGAAGAAAGCATTTCAAAGAAGGAATGTCAGGTAAAATGGGAAATAAAAATTGATAACCTTACTGAAAGCCATTTTTTTGAGGAATGGCAGACAGAAAATCCAGATTGATGAGCTTGAAGAGTAGGTGGAAGGTGAAAAAGTAAAGACGGGGTCTGGAAGCAACACTTTCACAGGCTTGACCGGGAAGAAGAGAGAGGAGAGAGCATTAGAGCTGGAGAAGGATGTGGATGAAGGACTAAGGAGGATTTTTCTTTCTTTTTTAAAAAATTTCTCTCTCTCTCTTTTGAATGAGAAATACTTCAGTGTGTTTAAGTGCTGAATAGAAACAATTATTAAAGAGAAAGATATTGGAAACATGAAAAATGTGCTACAGGTGCAAAGACCCCTGAAGAAGACCAGGGCTCCAAAGCAAAGTGGAGTTGTCCTGTCTTTCATTGGAGAAGGGCTTCTTCCCTCTCTGTACCAGGAGAGAACAAGGAAAGAGGGGACAGGTGCAAGTAAGGGGTGTGAAGTTGAAGTAGTTTCCACTTGACAGCTTTTAATCTTTCAAAAATAGTTGCTCAATAAATATTTATTGAGTTGATGAATGAATACAAGCAAATAACATGACTCTGAAATCTGCACACTTCCCTCTTTTCCTCCGGAAGCATTCTATTGTCTAGAGAAGCTTGGGGATGACAGTGAAGGTGAGCAAGATTCAGAGTACTTTTAGGAAGAGGAAGAAGGATGTTTCCAAATCAAACAATAAGGATACTAAAATCTTGCTCCAAATGGAAATCAGCATGGAATAGCCGCTGTGTTGGATAAGGTGAAAGCAAAATGGCTGGCTATCTGTTCTATACAGGTCTGTTCTGATCTATGCTTTAAAAAAAATCCTTTTCAATTTCTAGAAGTTTCAAGTCACAAACTTGCACTTTGAGGGGACAACATGGAACTCTCACCTATTGAACCCTTACTATTTGCCAATAACTGTGGTGAGTACCTTTCATTTAATCCTCATATCAACTTCATTAAGTTAACATTGTCTCCGTTTTAAGCTTGTGGAAACAGAGCTTCAGAGAAGGTAAATGTGACAAGGTCATTCAACCAATAAGTGGTTGAAATAGGATTCAAACCCAGCTCTGCCTTCAGTTGCTCTTAACTATGATGCTATATTTCCATGAAATTTTAATAACTCTCATCACTACAAATACTCTTTATGACACAACTCTTGCATAAATTGTTCCCTGACATACCATGGGCATTATTCTTGTAATATTTTCCACTCTTCAATATTCAACTTTTATATCTTTTAATGTCCTACTTAAATCTTATCTTTGTAAACTATCACAAGAACAAAAAACCAAACACCGCATATTCTCACTCATAGGTGGGAATTGAACAATGAAAACACATGGACACAGGAAGGGGAACATCACACTCTGGGGACTGTTGTGGGGTGGGGGGAGGGGGGAGGGATAGCACTGGGAGATATACCTAATGCTAGATGACGAGTTAGTGGGTGCAGCGCACCAGTATGTCACATGTATACATATGTAACTAACCTGCACATTGTGCACATGTACCCTAAAACTTAAAGTATAATAATAATAATAATAATAATAAAAATCTTATCTTTGTCCAAAACACTTAAGGACATCTCAAACCATGATGGTTTCTCTGGCTTTTGAAAACCTGCAACAATTTGCCTGTATTACCCATTTGATATATTTTATCTGCATTATAAAATTGAATTTGGGTTTATTTAACCTTTCTTTTGATTATGAGTTAATGCTACAATTCTACAAGCTTCTTAGGGGATAGGAAGTGCATTTTGTGCCTTTTTGGGGGGATGGGGTGGGCATCTTTTACAGCTTCTTCCTACTGCCTTGATTCATACATAGTATGTAGTCAGTAAATATTTGTTGCTAGATTGCCAGACGGTCAATCTTGGCATTGATATTGGCTGACTGTCTTTGGGAGCTACCTGCAACTACTTCAGAAAGTTTCTTGTTGGAGTCAATATGAAAAATGGAGGATTTATTATTTCTACTGTGAATTTATTTTTTCTTTTTGGGTGATAAAACTGGAAATCTCAAAAAGTCTCCTGGTTTATGTGTTGGGCATAGATGAGGGAGATTCCTTTTGAAAGTGAGTGTAGAAAAGCAGACTTTTTATTTTGTGAAGGTTTTTTGAAGCTTACAAGTCCTTATATATATATTTTAAAAGTCCAGATTGCTCAAACTTGAAGTTCCCCTCCTCCTTGCTCCTCCTTCAGGGCCTTTTTCTAAACCTACTTCCCTTAAAATGACTTTTATTGATTTTCACTCAATGAGAGTTATTCTTCAGAATGAGGATGGAAGGGTCAGAGAGAGAAATTTACCCTGTGTTACCTGTGGAATAGGTGTGCATTTGTATCCAGTCTTGCTTTATTTGTTCTGTTTCCTGTATCCAGAAACCCACACACTGGGGATCATTAGGTCCTCTGTGTCTTGGTCGGAGCTTGAGTACAGTATACTAATAGATCAATTTATGTGTTCATTCATTCAGCAAACATTTATTGAGCAGGCATGTCCTAGGCATTGGAGATACTAAGATGAATAAGACATAGTCACTGCCCTCAGTGACCTCCAGATGTACAAGAAGACACCAGCCTGAAGGCAGCTGGGGTCAGGGAACAAGGCAACTGAATATCCTCCATCAGGAAATCCTAAGAGAATAAAAAGACCAGTCTTGTAACATAAATATAAACATCTAATCAAATTAGCCAATTAGAAAAACATTTTTAAGAAAAGGCAATCTTTTACCAATTTGTCCTATGTATCTTTTGCATTTTTTCTCCCTAATTTCTTTGTCTCCAGTCTTACTCGTCTCCAGTCTACATTTAAAATTGCCTCCAATTTTATTTTTCTAAACCCTGATCTGATCATGTCATTCCTGTTTTGAGAATTTTCACTCATTCATTCTGCACTTTTTATCAATCACCTACTGGATGTTTCCAGTGAGTGTGAAGTGTTTGGGATGCAGTGGTACGCAAGCAGGCCCTACCTTCAAGAAGCTTTAGAATCTAGACCAGGTAGTACTTTCTGAATCTTGTCCTTTTATCTAAATCAGTTGAGTCCGACAGACACCAGTATCTGTTGTGCTAAGTACCACGCAAAACAACTAAGACAGAATTCTGCTTTAAGCAGATCAGAGTCTATTAGAGGAATCTGAAAACAATCGATAATTCCAGTACAATGTGATAAATGAATAGATGCATGCATAGACTGCTATGATAATCAGATTTGAGGAGAAGAGAGGCTGGTGGGCAGGGTGGCTTCCTGGAAGAGTCCATCCCAAACAAAGTCTTGAAGTATAAATAGGAGTTGGCTAGACACTGGGAGTGTCCAGTTAGTTCCTTAATGTGACAAACAAGATCTTTCACAGTCCATTAATCTATTTTTCCAGTCTCCCCTTATATCTTCTACATCTTTTTTTTCAGCTCCCAGCCCAATTTCTGAATGTTTTTCAAATTAGGAATGAATGCCCCTGGTTTATTTAGTGTTGTGCTTTGGATGTGAGAAAGCACCAAATAAATGTGGTGCATCTTTCTGGAGCATCAGTTCTATCAAATGATAAGTAATTTAAAACATGGTTTTATATTAAAGCTTAATATATTTGTGGAATTGAAGGCAAAATTTTCATTCATTTTTCAAGATAAAACAGGATACATAAATTTCAAGCTAGTGGCAAGCCATTTTAGGCTTGCCCTTAGACATCACCACCTGCACCACCTCTTTCTTGAGGAAAAATTTGAGATGTACTATCGGAATGTGGCAGGAAATTTCATGTGCCTTTGCATACGCTATTTGCTCATCCTGGAGTGCTCTTCCTATTTTTCTCCCTTGATAAACTACTTATCCTTCAAAGCCCAACTTAAGTGTCATTCCATATAACAGTCATTTTTAACGAAGCTTAAATGTCATCCCATATGATAGTTATTTTTTAAAACACCCACTTCTGTCTCTGCCTCCTTTCCTAATAGCTCCAGGCAGACTCAGCACCTCCTTCTTTTGTGTTTCTACCACCCTATACTCAGAATATCCATTATAGCACTGCTTTCATTGTGCCATATGTATTTGCTTTCCAATCCATCTCTGCTGTTGGACTATAAACCTCTCTAGGGCAGGCACTATTATTTATCTTTCTATTCTTAGTGACTGGCACTTGGTAGACACTCAATAAATGTTTGTTGAATTTGTGGACCATTCCTTACTCTGCATCACCTCTGTTCTTATATAAAGTGATATCTCCTTTACTTCTCATCTTCAGGGAATGATGTGTTACACAAAAGTATATTTTCCAGACAACTGAAATTTACTTCTTAAAGTATCAAAATCTTCTGTTTAAATCATTTTGGTAGGAATTTATTTTTCTATATTTTCACACGTGTGCTTACTCTCATAAGTAAAATATACTAAGTGTAATGTGTTCCTTGATGACCTATCCCCAAAAGTATCAGGATATGTTTGGTTGGAATTCATGACATCCGCTGGGAGCACTGATGGGATAGGGCTTTTTGCCTTCACACCAAATAACCCTATTTTGTTGTAGTTTTTGAGTTATGGTGCTTGCTTCTTATAGTTCGGTCACCATTTCTCATTGTCAGTGTTCTTGCTCTAACAACACTACCCTTTGCTCTTTTTATATACGTTTTAACGGATATTAAAATTACAAAACTAATATATGTTCACTGAAAACAAACAGAAGTCTATGGAGTAAAAAGTCAAAGTCCTCCCTTCATTCCTGTCTAACCCCCCACCCTGTCACGTCCACACTTTCACTCCCTAGCCATAACCATTGTTAACGGTTTAATGTATCCCTACAGGCCTTTTTCTGTCAATGTGTGTGTACACGTATACGGACAAATATCAAATCATATTGTACATACTGTTGTATGACTTGCTTTTCTCACTCGACAGTATATAATAGGTATCCTTCTATGTCAATACATCCTAGTCTATATCATTCTTTTTAATGGCTGCCCCCTTTTAATTTGACAATCTTAATCAGCTGTGAATGGGAAAGCCAAATAATCAAGCTTATTAGAATTGTACCTAAGAAAGAATAAATCGGCTCTGAATGAAGGCTTGTGTAATTCTCCTAGGAGGGAAATGTGTTAACTTTAGTGCATGGACTTTGTAATGTTTATTTTGGCTATTCTGGGACCCTTTTTGCTTATTTCCTGCTTCATTGTGTTTTGGATAGCTGAGGTTGCTGGACATATGACCTGTGAATTAGTGAGGTATTACATATTCAATTTTGCATTACATAATTTTGCTCTGATTTTATGAGGGATTTGCATTTAATTTATTCGTTTAGATTGCTGTTATAGACAGTGATTAATTCTAGTTTCTGAGTACTTGCATCGTAGTGAGGACCACTGCATGTGGTAACAGCTAAAAATATTTGGCTTGATGATTGAACAGGCCTTCTT